>NC_000021.9:11146733-11746733 GCF_000001405.40 Homo sapiens
AGCATTCTGTGAAACTTGTTTGTGATGTGTGTACTCAACTAACAGTGTTGAACCTTTCTTTTTACAGAGCAGTTTTGAAACACTCTTTTTGTAGAATCTGCGAGGGGATATTTGGATACATTTCAGGATTTCGTTGGAAACGGGAATATCTTCATATAAAATCTCGACAGAAGCATTCTCAGAAACTTCTTTGTGATATGTGCATTCAAGTCACAGAGTTGAATATTCCCTTTCACAGAGTAGGTTTGAAACACTCTTTTTGTAGTATCTGAAAGTGGACATTTGGAGCGCCTTGACACCTACGGTGAAAAGGGAAATATCTTCCCATAAAAACTAGACAGAAGCAATCTCAGAATCTTCTTTGGGATATATGCACGCAGCTAACAGAGTTGAACCTTTCTATTGACAGAGCAGTTTTGAAACAGTCTTTCTGTGGAATCTACAAGTGGATATTTGGATAGCTTGGAGGATTTCGTTGGAAACGGGATTACGTATAAAAAGTAGACAGCAAGCATTCTCATAAACTTGTTTGTGATGTGTGAACTCAGCTAACAGGCGTGGATCTTTCTTTTGATACAGCAGTTTTGAAAAACACTTTTTGTTGAATCTGCAAGTGGACATTTGGATAGATTTGAAGATTTCGTTGGAAACGGGAATATCTTCATATCAAATCTAGACAGAAGCATTCTCAGAAACGTCTTTGTGATGTTTGCATTCAACTCATAGAGTTGAACATTCCGTTTCAGAGAGCAGGTTTGAAGCACTCTTTTTGTAGTATGTGCAAGTGGATATTTGGAGCGCTCTGAGGCCTACGGTGAAAAAGCAGATATCTTCCCATAACCACTAGACAGAAACATTCTCAGAAACTCCTTTATGACGTATGCACCTCACCTAACAGAGAAGAACCTTCCTTTTGACAGAGCAGTTTTGATACACTCTTTTTGTAGAATCTGCAAGTGGATACTTGGATAGCTGTGAAGATTTCGTTGGAAACGGGAATATCTTCCTATAAAATCTAGACAGAAGCATTCTCAGAAACTGCTCTGTGATGTCTGCATTCAAGTCACAGAGTTGAACATTGCCTTTCCTAGAGTAGGTTTGAAACGCTCTTTTTGTAGTATATGGAAGTGGACGTTTCGGACGGTTTGAGGCCCATGGTGATAAAGGGAATATCTTCCCCTACAAGCTAGAAAGAAGCATTCTGTGAAACTTGTTTGTGATGTGTGTACTCAACTAAGAGAGTTGAACCTTTCTTTTTACAGAGCAGTTTTGAAACACTCATTTTGTAGAATCTGCGAGGGGATATTTGGATAGATTTCAGGATTTCGTTGGAAACGGGAATATCTTTATATAAAATCTCGACAGAAGCATTCTCAGAAGCTTCTTTGTGATATGTGCATTCAAGTCACAGAGTTGAATATTCCCTTTCACAGAGTAGGTTTGAAACACTCTTTTTGTAGTATCTGGAAGTGGACATTTAGAGCGCCTTGACGCCTACGGGTGAAAAGGGAAATATCTTCTCATAAAAAGTAGACAGAAAGCAATCTCAGAATCTTCTTTGGGATATATGCACGCAGCTAACAGAGTTGAACCTTTCTATTGACAGAGCAGTTTTGAAACAGTCTTTCTGTGGAATCTGCAAGTGGACATTTGGATAGCTTGGAGGATTTCGTTGGAAACGGGATTACGTATAAAAAGTAGACAGCAGCATCCTCAGAAACTTCTTTGTGATGTGTGCATTCAAGTCACAGAGTTGAACATTCCCCTTCGTACAGCAGTTTTGAAACACTCTTTGTGTATTATCTGGGAGTGAACATTAGGACAGCTTTCAGGTCTATGGTGAGAAAGGAAATATCTTCAAATAAAAACAAGACAGAAGCATTCTCATAAACTTGTTTCTGATGTGTGAACTCAGCTAACAGAGGTGGATCTTTCTTTTGATAGAGCAGTTCTGAAAAACACTTTTTGTTGAATCTGCAAGTGGATATTTGCATAGATTTGAAGATTTCGTTGGAAACGGGAATATCTTCATATCAAATCTAGACAGAAGCATTCTCAGAAACGTCTTTGCGATGTTTGCATTCAACTCATAGAGTTGAACATTCCGTTTCAGAGAGCAGCTTTGAGGCACTCTTTTTGTAGTATGCGCAAGTGGATATTTGGAGCGCTCTGAGGCCTACGGTGAAAAAGCAAATATCTTCCCATAACCACTAGACAGAAACATTCTCAGAAACTCCTTTATGACGTATGCACTCACCTAACAGAAAAGAACCTTCCTTTTGACAGAGCAGTTTTGATACACTCTTTTTGTAGAATCTGCAAGTGGATATTTGGATAGATGTGAAGATTTCGTTGGAAACGGGAATATCTTCCTATAAAATCTAGACAGAAGCATTCTCAGAAACTGCTCTGTGATGTCTGCATTCAAGTCACGGAGTTGAACATTGCCTTTCCTAGAGCAGGTTTGAAACGCTCTTTTTGTAGTATATGGAAGTGGACGTTTCGGACGGTTGGAGGCCCATGGTGATAAAGGGAATATCTTCCCCTACAA
This sequence comes from Homo sapiens, assembly GCF_000001405.40. Classification (NCBI taxonomy): domain Eukaryota; kingdom Metazoa; phylum Chordata; class Mammalia; order Primates; family Hominidae; genus Homo; species Homo sapiens. The sequence goes on from NC_000021.9 coordinate 11,149,285, forward strand.
GCTAGAAAGAAGCATTGTGTGAAACTTGTTTCTGATGTTTGTACTCAACTAACAGAGTTGAACCTTTCTTTTTACAGAGCAGTTTTGAAACACTCTTTTTGTAGAATCTGCGAGGGGATATTTGGATACATTTCAGGATTTCGTTGGAAACGGGAATATCTTCATATAAAATCTCGACAGAAGCATTCTCAGAAACTTCTTTGTGATATGTGCATTCAAGTCACAGAGTTGAATATTCCCTTTCACAGAGTAGGTTTGAAACACTCTCTTTGTAGTATCTGGAAGTGGACATTTGGAGCGCCTTGACGCCTACGGTGAAAAGGGAAGTATCTTCCCATAATAACTAGACAGAAGCAATCTCAGAATCTTCTTTGGGATATATGCACGCAGCTAACAGAGTTGAACCTTTCTGTTGACAGAGCAGATTTGAAACAGTCTTTCTGTGGAATCTGCAAGTGGATATTTGGATAGATTGGAGGATTTCGTTGGAAACGGGATTACGTATAAAAAGTAGACAGCAGCATCCTCAGTAAACTTCTTTGTGATGTGTGCATTCAAGTCACAGAGTTGAACATTCCCTTTCGTACAGCAGTTTTGAAACACTCTTTCTGTAGTATCTGGAAGTGAACATTAGGACAGCTTTCAGCTCTATGGTGAGAAAGGAAATATCTTCAAATATAAACTAGACAGAAGCATTCTCATAAACTTGCTTGTGATGTGTGAACTCAGCTAACAGAGGTGAATCTTTCTTTTGATAGAGCAGTTCTGAAAAACACTTTTTGTTGAATCTGCAAGTGGACATTTGGATAGATTTGAAGATTTCGTTGGAAACGGGAATATCTTCATATCAAATGCTAGACAGAAGCATTCTCAGAAACGTCTTTGTGATGTTTGCATTCATCTCATAGAGTTGAACATTCCCTTTCAGAGAGCAGCTTTGAAGCACTCTTTTTGTAGTATGTGCAAGGGGATATTTGGAGCGCTCTGAGGCCTAAGGTGAAAAAGCAAATATCTTCCCATAACCACTAGACAGAAACATTCTCAGAAACTCCTTTATGACGTATGCACTCACCTAACAGAGAAGAACCTTCCTTTTGACAGAGCAGTTTTGATACACTCCTTTTGTAGAATCTGCAAGTGGATATTTGGATAGCTGCGAAGATTTCCTTGGAAACGGGAATATCTTCCTATAAAATCTAGACAGAAGCATTCTCAGAAACTGCTCTGTGATGTCTGCATTCAAGTCACAGAGTTGAACATTGCCTTTCATAGAGCAGGTTTGAAACGCTCTTTTTGTAGTATATGGAAGTGGAATTATCGGACGGTTTGAGGCCCATGGTGATAAAGGGAATATCTTCCCCTACAAGCTAGAAAGAAGCATTCTGTGAAACTTGTTTGTGATGTGTGTACTCAACTAAGAGAGTTGAACCTTTCTTTTCACAGGGCAGTTTTGAAACACTCTTTTTGTAGAATCTGCGAGGGGATATTTGGATAGATTTCAGGATTTCGTTGGAAACGGGAATATCTTCATACAAAATCTCGACAGAAGCATTCTCAGAAACTTCCTTGTGATATGTGCATTCAAGTCACAGAGTTGAATATTCCTTTTCACAGAGTAGGTTTGAAACACTCTTTTTGTAGTATCTGGAAGTGGACATTTGGAGCGCCTTGACGCCTACGGTGAAAAGGGAAATATCTTCCCATAAAAACTAGACAGAAGCAATCTCAGAATCTTCGTTGGGATATATGCACGCAGCTAACAGAGTTGAACCTTTCTATTGACAGAGCAGTTTTGAAACAGTCTTTCTGTGGAATCTGCAAGTGGATATTTGGATAGCTTGGAGGATTTCTTTGGAAACGGGATTACGTATAAAAAGTAGACAGCCAGCATCCTCAGAAACTTCTTTGTGATGTGTGCATTCAAGTCACAGAGTTGAACATTCCCTTTCGTACAGCAGTTTTGAAACACTCTTTCTGTAGTATCTGGAAGTGAACATTAGGACAGCTTTCAGGTCTATGGTGAGAAAGGAAATATATTCAAATAAAAACTAGACAGAGAATTCTGATAAACTTGTTTGTGAAGTGTGAACTCAGCTAACACAGGTGGATCTTTCTTTTGATACAGCAGTTTTGAAAAACACTTTGTTGAATCTGCAAGTGGACATTTGCATAGATTTGAAGATTTCGTTGGAAACGGGTATATCTTCATAACAAATCTAGACAGAAGCATTCTCAGAAACGTCTTTGTGATGTTTGCATTCAACTCATAGAGTTGAACATTCCCTTTCAGAGAGCAGCTTTGAAACACTCTTTTTGTAGTATGTGCAAGTGGATATTTGGAGCGCTCTGAGGCCTACGGTGAAAAAGCAAATATCTTCCCATAACCACTAGACAGAAAACATTCTCAGAAACTTCTTTATGACGTATGTACTCAACTAGCAGAGAAGAACTTTCCTTTTGACAGAGCAGTTTTGATACACTCTTTTTGTAGAATCTGCAAGTGGATATTTGGATAGTTGTGAAGATTTCGTTGGAAACGGGAATATCTTCCTATAAAATCTAGACAGAAGCATTCTCAGAAACTGCTCTGTGATGTCTGCATTCAAGTCACAGAGTTGAACATTGCCTTTCATAGAACAGGTTTGAAACGCTCTTTTTGTAGTATATGGAAGTGGATGTTTCGGACGGTTGGAGGCCCATGGTGATAAAGGGAATATCTTCCCCTACAAGCTAGAAAGAAGCATTGTGTGGAACTTGTTTGTGATGTGTGTACTCAACTAACAGAGTTGAACCTTTCTTTTTACAGAGCAGTTTTGAAACTCTCTTTTTGTAGAATCTGCGAGGGGATATTTGGATAGATTTCAGGATTTCTTTGGAAACGGGAATATCTTCATATAAAATCTCGACAGAAGCATTCTCAGAAACTTCTTTGTGATATGTGCATTCAAGTTACAGAGTTGAATATTCCCTTTCACAGATTAGGTTTGAAACACTCTTTTTGTAGTATCTGGAAGTGGACATTTGGAGCGCCTTGACGCCTACGGTGAAAAGGGAAATATCTTCCCATAAAAACTAGACAGAAGCAATCTCAGAATCTTCTTTGGGATATATGTACGCAGCTAATAGAGTTGAACCTTTCTATTGACATAGCAGTTTTGAAACAGTCTTTCTGTGGAATCTGCAAGTGGATATTTGGATAGCTTGGAGGATTTCGTTGGAAACGGGATTACGTATAAAAAGTAGACAGCAGAATCCTCAGAAACTTCTTTGTGATGTGTGCATTCAAGTCACAGAGTTGAACATTCCCTTTCGTACAGCAGTTTTGAAACACTCTTTCTGTAGTATCTGGAAGTGAACACTAGGAGAGCTTTCAGGTCTATGGTGAGAAAGGAAATATCTTCAAATAAAAACTAGACAGAAGCCTTCTCATAAACTTGTTTGTGATGTCTGAACTCAGCTAACAGAGGTGGATCTTTCTTTTGATAGAGCAGTTCTGAAAAACACTTTTTGTTGAATCTGCAAGTGGACATTTGGATAGATTTGAAGATTTCGTTGGAAACGGGAATATCTTCATATCAAATCTAGACAGAAGCATTCTCAGAAACGTCTTTGTGATGTTTGCATTCAACTCATAGAGTTGAACATTCCGTTTCAGAGAGCAGATTTGAGGCACTCTTTTTGTAGTATGTGCAAGTGGATATTTGGAGCGCTCTGAGGCCTACGGGGAAAAAGCAAATATCTTCCCATAACCACTAGACAGAAACATTCTCAGAAACTCCTTTATGACGGTATGCACTCACCTAACAGAGAAGAACCTTCCTTTTGACAGAGCAGTTTTGATACACTCTTTTTGTAGAATCTGCAAGTGGATATTTGGATAGCTGTAAAGATTTCGTTGGAAACGGGAATATCTTCCTATAAAATCTAGACAGAAGGATTCTCAGAAACTGCTCTGTGATGTCTGCATTCAAGTCACAGAGTTGAACATTGCCTTTCATAGAGCAGGTTTCAAGCACTCTTTTTTTAGTATATGGAAGTGGACGTTTCGGACGGTTTGAGGCCCATGGTGATAAAGGAAATATCTTCCCCTACAAGCTAGAAAGAAGCATTCTGTGAAACTTGTTTGTGATGTGTGTACTCCACTAACAGAGTTGAACCTTTCTTTTTGCAGAGCAGTTTTGAAACACTCTTTTTGTAGAATCTGCGAGGGGATATTTGGATAGATTTCAGGATTTCGTTGGAAAGGGGAATATCTTCATATAAAATCTCGACAGAAGCATTCTCAGAAACTTCCTTGTGATATGTGCATTCAAGTCACAGAGTTGAATATTCCCTTTCACAGAGTAGGTTTGAAACACTCTTTTTGTAGTATCTGGAAGTGGACATTTGGAGCGCCTTGACGCCTACGGTGAAAAGGGTAATATCTTCCCATAAAAACTAGACAGAAGCAATCTCAGAATCTTCTTTGGGATATATGTACGCAGCTAACAGAGTTGAACCTTTCTATTGACAGACCCGTTTTGAAACAGTCTTTCTGTGGAATCTGCAAGTGGATATTTGGATAGCTTAGAGGATTTCTTTGGAAACGGGATTACGTATAAAAAGTAGACAGCAGCATCCTCAGAAACTTCTTTGTGACGTGTGCATTCAAGTCACAGAGTTGAACATTCCCTTTCGTACAGCAGTTTTGAAACACTCTTTCTGTAGTATCTGGAAGTGAACATTAGGACAGCTTTCAGGTCTATGGTGAGAAAGGAAATATCTTCAAATAAAAACTAGACAGAAGCATTCTCATAAACTTGTTTGTGATGTGTGAACTCAGCCAACAGAGGTGGATCTTTCTTTTGATAGAGCAGTTCTGAAAAACACTTTTTGTTGAATCTGCAAGTGGACATTTGGATAGATTTGAAGATTTCGTTGGTAACGGGAATATCTTCATATCAAATCCTAGACAGAAGCATTCGCAGAAACGTCTTTGTGATGTTTGCATTCAACTCATAGAGTTGAACATTCCGTTTCAGAGAGCAGCTTTGAGGCACTCTTTTTGTAGTATGTGCAAGTGGATATTTGGAGCGCTCTGAGGCCTACGGTGAAAAAGCAAATATCTTCCCATAACCACTAGACAGAAACATTCTCAGAAACTCCTTTATGACGTATGCACTCACCTAACAGAGAAAAACCTTCCTTTTGACAGAGCAGTTTTGATACACTCTTTTTGTAGAATCTGCAAGTGGATATTTGGATAGCTGGGAAGATTTCGTTGGAAACGGGAATATCTTCCTATAAAATCTAGACAGAAGCATTCTCAGAAACTGCTCTGTGATGTCTGCATTCAAGTCACAGAGTTGACGATTGCCTTTCATAGAGCAGGTTTAAAACGCTCTTTTTGTAGTATATGGAAGTGGACGTTTCGGACGGTTTGAGGCCCATGGTGATAAAGGAAATATCTTCCCCTACAAGCTAGAAAGAAGCATTCTGTGAAACTTGTTTGTGATGTGTGTACTCAACTAACAGAGTTGAACCTTTCTTTTTACAGAGCAGTTTTGAAACACTCTTTTTGTAGAATCTGCGATGGGATATTTGGATACATTTCAGCATTTCGTTGGAAACAGGAATATCTTCATATAAAATCTCGACAGAAGCATTTTCAGAAACTTCTTTGTGATATGTGCATTCAAGTCACAGAGTTGAATATTCCCTTTCACAGAGTAGGTTTGAAACACTCTTTTTGTAGTATCTGGAAGTGGACATTTGGAGCGCCTTGACACCTACGGTGAAAAGGGAAATATCTTCCCATAAAAACTAGACAGAAGCAATCTCAGAATCTTCTTTGGGATATATGCACGCAGCTAACAGAGTTGAACGTTTCTATTGACAGAGCAGTTTTGAAAGAGTCTTTCTGTGGAATCTGCAAGTGGATATTTGGATAGCTTGGAGGATTTCGTTGGAAACGGGATTACGTATAATAAGTAGACAGCAGCATCCTCAGAAACTTCCTTGTGATGTCTGCATTCAAGTCACAGAGTTGAACATTCCCTTTCGTACAGCAGTTTTGAAACACTCTTTCTGTAGTATCTGGAAGTGAACATTAGGACAGCTTTCAGGTCTATGGTGAGAAAGGAAATATCTTCAAATAAAAACTAGACAGAAGCATTCTCATAAACTTGTTTTGATGTGTGAACTCAACTAACAGAGGTGCTTCTTTCTTTTTATACAGCACTTTTGAAAAACACTTTTTGTTGAATCTGCAAGTGGACATTTGGATAGATTTGAAGATTTCTTTGGAAACGGGAATATCTTCATATCAAATCTAGACAGAAGCATTCTCAGAAACGTCTTTGTGATGTTTGCATTCAACTCATAGAGTTGAACATTCCGTTTCAGAGAGCAGCTTTGAAGCACTCTTTTTGTAGTATGTGCAACTGGATATTTGGAGAGCTCTGACGCCTACGGTGAAAAAGCAAATATCTTCCCATAACCACTAGACAGAAACATTCTCAGAAACTCCTTTATGACGTATGCACTCAACTAATAGAGAAGAACCTTCCTTTTGACAGAGTAGTTTTGATACACTCTTTTTGTAGAATCTGCAAGTGGATATTTGGACAGCTGTGAAGATTTCGTTGGAAACGGGAATATCTTCCTATAAAATCTAGACAGAAGCATTCTCAGAAACTGCTCTGTGATGTCTGCATTCAAGTCACGGAGTTGAACATTGCCTTTCATAGAGCAGGTTTGAAACGCTCTTTTTGTAGTATATGGAAGTGGACGTTTCGGACGGTTTGAGGCCCATGGTGATAAAGGGAATATCTTTCCCTACAAGCTAGAAAGAAGCATTCTGTGAAACTTGTTTGTGATGTGTGTACTCAACTAACAGAGTTGAACCTTTCTTTTTACAGAGCAGTTTTGAAACACTGTTTTTGTAGAATCTGCGAGGGGATATTTGGATAGATTTCAGGATTTCGTTGGAAAGGGGAATATCTTCATATAAAATCTCGACAGAAGCATTCTCAGAATCTTCTTTGTGATATCTGCATTCAAGTCACAGAGTTGAATATTCCCTTCCACAGAGTAGGTTTGAAACACTCTTTTTGTAGTATCTGGAAGTGGACATTTGGAGCGCCTTGACGCCTACGGTGAAAAGGGAAATATCTTCCCATAAAAACTAGACAGAAGCAATCTCAGAATCTTCTTTGGGATATATGCACGTAGCTAGCAGAGTTGAACCTTTCTATTGACAGAGCAGTTTTGAAACAGTCTTTCTGTGGAATCTGCAAGTGGATATTTGGATAGCTTGGAGGATTTCGTTGGAAACGTGATTACGTATAAAAAGTAGACAGCAGCATCCTCAGGAACTTCTTTGTGATGTGTGCATTCAAGTCACAGAGTTGAACATTCCCTTTCGTACAGCAGTTTTGAAACACTCTTTCTGTAGTATCTGGAAGTGAACATTAGGACAGCTTTCAGGTCTATGGTGAGAAAGGAAATATCTTCAAATAAAAACTAGACAGAAGCATTCTCATAAACTTGTTTGTGATGTGTGAACTCAGCTAACACACGTGGATCTTTCTTTTGATAGAGCAGTTCTGAAAATCACTTTTGTTGAATCTGCAAGTGGACATTTGGATAGATTTGAAGATTTCGTTGGAAACGGGAATATCTTCATATCAAATCTAGACAGAAGCATTCTCAGAAACGTCTTTGTGATGTTTGCATTCAACCCATAGAGTTGAACATTCCGTTTCAGAGAGCAGCTTTGAAGCACTCTTTTTGTAGTGTGTGCAAGGGGATATTTTGAGCGCTCTGAGGCCTAAGGTGAAAAAGCAAATATCTTCCCATAACCACTAGACAGAAACATTCTCAGAAACTCCTTTATGACGTATGTACTCAACTAACAGAGAAGAACCTTCCTTTTGACAGAGCAGTTTTGATACACTCTTTTTGTATAATCTGCAAGTGGATATTTGGATAGCTGTGAAGATTTCGTTGGAAACGGGAATATCTTCCTATAAAATCTAGACAGAAGCATTCTCAGAAACTGCTCTGTGATGTCTGTATTCAAGTCACAGAGTTGAACATTGCCTTTCATAGAGCAGGTTTGAAACGCTCTTTTTGTAGTATATGGAAGTGGATGTTTCGGACGGTTGGAGGCCCATGCTGATAAAGGGAATATCTTCCCCTACAAGCTAGAAAGAAACATTCTGTGAAACTTGTTTGTGATGTGTGTACTCAGCTAACAGAGTTGAACCTTTCTTTTTACAGAGCAGTTTTGAAACACTCTTTTTGTAGAATCTGCGAGGGGATATTTGGATAGATTTCAGGATTTCGTTGGAAAAGGGAATATCTTCATATAAAATCTCGACAGAAGACCGAAGCATTCTCAGAAACTTCATTGTGATATCTGCATTGAAGTCACAGACTTGAATACTCCCTTTCACAGAGTAGGTTTGAAACACTCTTTTTGTAGTATCTGGAATTGGACATTTGGATCGCTTTGACGCCTATTGTGAAAAAGGAAATATCTTCCCCTAAAAACTAGACAGAAGCAACCTCAGAATGTTCTTTGGGATGTATGCACGCAGCTAACAGAGTTGAACCTTTGTATTGACAGAGCGGTTTTGAAACACTCTTTTTGTGGAATCTGCAAGTGGATATTTGGATAGCTTGGAGGATTTCGTTGGAAACGGGATTACGTATAAAAAGTAGACAGCAGCATCCTCAGAAACTTCTTTGTGATGTGTGCATTCAAGTCACATAGTTGAACATTCCCTTTCGTACAGCAGTTTTGAAACACTCTTTCTGTAGTATCTGGAAGTGAACATTAGGACAGCTTTCAGCTCTATGGTGAGAAAGGAAATATCTTCAAATAAAAACTAGACAGATAAGCATTCTCATAAACTTGTTTGTGATGTGTGAACTCAGCTAACAGAGGTGGATCTTTCTTTTGATAGAGCAGTTCTGAAAAACACTTTTTGTTGAATCTGCAAGTGGAGATTTGGATAGATTTGAAGATTTCGTTGGAAACGGGAATATCTTCATATCAAATCTAGACAGAAGCATTCTCGGAAACGTCTTTGTCATGTTTGCATTCAACTCATAGAGTTGAACATTCCGTTTCAGAGAGCAGCTTTGAAGCACTCTTTTTGTAGTATGTTCAAGGGGATATTTGGAGCGCTCTGAGGCCTAAGGTGAAAAAGCAAATATCTTCCCATAACCACTAAACAGAAACATTCTCAGAAACTCCTTTATGACGTATGCACTCACCTAACAGAGAAGAACCTTCCTTTTGACAGAGCAGTTTTGATACACTCTTTTTGTAGAATATGCAAGTGGATATTTGGATAGCTGTGAAGATTTCGTTGGAAACGGGAATATCTTCCTATAAAATCTACACAGAAGCATTCTCAGAAACTGCTCTGTGATGTCTGCATTCAAGTCACAGAGTTGAACATTGCCTTTCATAGAGCAGGTTTGAAACGCTCTTTTTGTAGTATATGGAAGTGGATGTTTCAGACGGTTGGAGGCCCATGGTGATAAAGGGAATATCTTCCCCTACAAGCTAGAAAGAAGCATTCTGTGAAACTTGTTTGTGATGTGTGTACTCAACTAACAGAGTTGAACCTTTCTTTTACAGAGCAGTTTTGAAACACTCTTTTTGTAGAATCTGCGAGGGGTATTTGGATAGATTTCAAGATTTCGTTGGGAACGGGAATATCTTCATATAAAATCTCGACAGAAGCATTCTCAGAAACTTCTTTGTGATATCGGCATTCAAGTCACAGAGTTGAATATTCCCTTTCACAGAGTAAGTTTGAAACAATCTTTTTGTAGTATCTGGAAGTGGACATTTGGATCGCCTTGACGCCTACGGTGAAAAGGGAAATATCTTCCCATAAAAACTAGACAGAAGCAATCTCAGAATCTTCTTTGGGATATATGCACGCACCTAACAGAGTTGAACCTTTCTATTGACAGAGCAGTTTTGAAACAGTCTTTCTGTGGAATCTGCAGGTGGATATTTGGATAGCTTGGAGGATTTCGTTGGAAACGGGATTACGTATAAAAAGTAGACAGCAGCATCCTCAGAAACTTCTTTGTGATGTGTGCATTCAAGTCACAGAGTTGAACATTCCCTTTCGTACAGCAGTTTTGAAACACTCTTTCTGTAGCATCTGGAAGTGAACATTAGTTCAGCTTTCAGGTCTATGGTGAGAAAGGAAATATCTTCAAATAAAAACTAGACAGAAGCATTCTCATAAACTTGTTTGTGATGTCTGAACTCAGCTAACAGAGGTGGACCTTTCTTTTGATAGAGCAGTTCTGAAAAACACTTTTTGTTGAATCTGCAAGTGGACATTTGGATAGATTTGAAGATTTCGTTGGAAACGGGAATATCTTCATATCAAATCTAGACAGAAGAATTCTCGGAAACGTCTTTGTGATGTTTGCATTCAACTCATAGAGTTGAACATTCCCTTTCAGAGAACAGCTTTGAAGCACTCTTTTTGTAGTATGTGCAAGGGGATATTTGGAGCGCTCTGAGGCCTAAGGTGAAAAAGCAAATATCTTCCCATAACCACTAGACAGAAAACATTCTCAGAAACTTCTTTATGACGTATGTACTCAATTAGCAGAGAAGAACTTTCCTTTTGACAGAGCATTTTTGATACACTCTTTTTGTAGTATCTGCAAGTGGATATTTGGATAGCTGTGAAGATTTCGTTGGAATCGGGAATATCTTCCTATAAAGTCCGGACAGAAGCATTCTCAGAAACTGATCTGTGATGTCTGCATTCAAGTCACAGAGTTGAACATTGCCTTTCATAGAGCAGGTTTGAAACGCTCTTTTTGTAGTATATGGAAGTAGACGTTTCGGACGGTTTGAGGCCCATGGTGATAAAGGGAATATCTTCCCCTACAAGCTAGAAAGAAGCATTCTGTGAAACTTTTTTGTGATGTGTGTACTCAACTAACAGAGTTGAACCTTTCTTTTTACAGAGCAGTTTTGAAACACTCTTTTTGTAGAATCTGCGAGGGGATATTTGGATAGTTTTCAGGATTTCGTTGGAAACGGGAATATCTTCATATAAAATCTCGACAGAAGCATTCTCAGAAACTTCATTGTGATATCTGCATTCAAGTCACAGAGTTGAATATTCCCTTTCACAGAGTAGGTTTGAAACACTCTTTTTGTAGTATCTGGAAGTGGACATTTGGAGCGCCTTGACACCTACGGTGAAAAGGGAAATATCTTCACATAAAAACTAGACAGAATCAATCTCAGAATCTTCTTTGGGATATATGCAGGCAGCTAACAGAGTTGAACCTTTCTATTGACAGAGCAGTTTTGAAACAGTCTTTCTGTGGAATCTGCAAGTGGATATTTGGATAGATTGGAGGATTTCGCTGGAAACGGGATTACGTATAAAAAGTAGACAGCAGCATCCTCAGAAACTTCTTTGTGATGTGTGCATTCAAGTCACAGAGTTGAACATTCCCTTTCGTACAGCAGTTTTGAAACACTCTTTCTGTAGTATCTGGAAGTGAACATTAGGACAGCTTTCAGGTCTATGGTGAGAAAGGGAATATCTTCAAATAAAAACTAGACAGAAGCATTCTCATAAACTTGTTTGTGATGTGTGAACTCAGCTAACAGAGGTGGATCTTTCTTTTCATAGAGCAGTTCTGAAAAACACTTTTTGTTGAATCTGCAACTGGACATTTGGATAGATTTGAAGATTTCGTTGGAAACGGGAATATCTTCATATCAAATCTAGACAGAAGCATTCTCAGAAACGTCTTTGTGATGTTTGCATTCAACTCATAGAGTTGAACATTCCGTTTCAGAGAGCAGGTTTGAAGCACTCTTTTTGTAGTATGTGCAAGTGGATATTTGGAGCGCTCTGAGGCCTACGGTGAAAAACAAATATCTTCCCATAACCACTAGACAGAAACATTCTCAGAAACTCCTTTATGACGTATGTACTCAACTAACAGAGAAGAACCTTCCTTTTGAAAGAGCAGTTTTGATACACTCTTTTTGTAGAATCTGCAAGTGGATATTTGGATAGCTGTGAAGATTTCGATGGAAACGGGAATATCTTCCTATAAAATCTAGACAGAATAATTCTCAGAAAGTGCTCTGTGATGTCTGCATTCAAGTCACAGAGTTGAACATTGCCTTTCATAGAGCAGGTTTGAAACACTCTTTTTGTAGTATATGGAAGTGGACGTTTCGGACGGTTTGAGGCCCATGGTGATAAAGGGAATATCTTCCCCTACAAGCTAGAAAGAAGCATTCTGTGAAACTTGTTTGTGATGTGTGTACTCAACTAACACAGTTGAACCTTTCTTTTTACAGAGCAGTTTTGAAACACTCTTTTTGTAGAATCTGCGAGGGGATATTTGGATACATTTCAGGATTTCGTTGGAAACGGGAATATCTTCATATAAAATCTCGACAGAAGCATTCTCAGAAACTTCTTTGTGATATCTGCCTTTAAGTCACAGAGTTGAATATTCCCTTTCACAGAATAGGTTTGAAACACTCTTTTTGTAGTATCTGGAAGTGGACATTTGGAGCGCCTTGACACCTACGGTGAAAAGGGAAATATCTTCCCATAAAAACTAGACAGAAGCAATCTCAGAATCTTCTTTGGGATATATGCACGCAGCTAACAGAGTTGAACCTTTCTAGTGACAGAGCAGTTTTGAAACAGTCTTTCTGTGGTATCTGCAAGTGGATATTTGGATAGATTGGAGGATTTCGTTGGAAACGGGATTACGTATAAAAAGTAGACAGCAGCATCCTCAGAAACATCCTTGTGATGTGTGCATTCAAGTCACAGAGTTGAACATTCCCTTTCGTACAGCAGTTTTGAAACACTCTTTCTGTAGTATCTGGAAGCGAACTTTAGGACAGCTTTCAGGTCTATAGTGAGAAAGGATATATCTTCAAATAAAAACTAGACAGAAGCATTCTCATAAACTTGTTTGTGATGTGTGAACTCAGCTAACAGAGGTGGATCTTTCTTTTGATAGAGCAGTTCTGAAAAACACTTTTTGTTGAATCTGCAAGTGGACATTTAGGGATAGATTTGAAGATTTCGTTGGAAACGGGAATATCTTCATATCAAATCTAGACAGAAGCATTCTCAGAAACGTCTTTGTGATGTTTGCATTCAACTCATAGAGTTGAACATTCCGTTTCAGAGACCAGCTTTGAAGCACTCTTTTTGTAGTATGTGCAAGTGGATATTTGGAGCGCTCTGAGGCCTACGGTGAAAAAGCACATATCTTCCCATAACCACTAGACAGAAACATTCTCAGAAACTTCTTTATGACGTATGTACTCAACTAGCAGAGAAGAACTTTCCTTTTGACAGAGCATTTTTGATACACTCTTTTTGTAGTATCTGCAAGTGGATATTTGGATAGCTGTGAAGATTTCGTTGGAATCGGGAATATCTTCCTATAAAGTCCGGACAGAAGCATTCTCAGAAACTGCTCTTTGATGTTTGCATTCAAGTCACAGAGTTGAACATTGCCTTTCATAGAGCAGGTTTCAAGCACTCTTTTTTTAGTATATGGAAGTGGACGTTTCGGACGGTTTGAGGCCCATGGTGATAAAGGAAATATCTTCCCCTACAAGCTAGAAAGAAGCATTCTGCGAAACTTGTTTGTGATGTGTGTACTCAACTAACAGAGTTGAACCTTTCTTTTTACAGAGCAGTTTTGAAACACTCTTTTTGTAGAATCTGCGAGGGGATATTTGGATAGATTTCAGGATTTCGTTGGAAACGGGAATATCTTCATATAAAATCTCGACAGAAGCATTCTGAGAAACCTCTTTGTGATACCTGCATTCAAGTCACAGGGTTGAATATTCCCTTTCACAGAGTATTTTTGAAACACTCTTTTTGTAGTATTTGGAAGTGGACATTTGGAGCGCCTTGACACCTACGGTGAAAAAGGAAATATGAAATATCTTCCCATAAAAACTAGACAGAAGCAATCTCAGAATCTTCTTTGGGATATATGTACGCAGCTAATAGAGTTGAACCTTTCTATTGACAGAGCAGTTTTGAAACAGTCTTTCTGTGGAATCTGCAAGTGGATATTTGGATAGCTTGGAGGATTTCATTGGAAACGGGATTACGTATAAAAAGTAGACAGCAGCATCCTCAGAAACTTCTTTGTGATGTGTGCATTCAAGTCACAGAGTTGAACATTCCCTTTCGTACAGCAGTTTTGAAACACTCTTTCTGTAGTATCTGGAAGTGAACATTAGGACAGCTTTCAGCTCTATGATGAGAAAGGAAATATCTTCAAATAAAAACTAGACAGAAGCATTCTCATAAACTTGTTTGTGATGTGTGAACTCAGCTAACACACGTGGATCTTTCTTTTGATAGAGCAGTTCTGAAAAACACTTTTTGTTGAATCTGCAAGTGGACATTTGGATAGATTTGAAGATTTCGTTGGAAACGGGAATATCTTCATATCAAATCTAGAGAGAAGCATTCTCAGAAACGTCTTTGTGATGTTTGCATTCAACTCATAGAATTGAACATTGCGGTTCAGAGAGCAGCTTTGAAGCACTCTTTTTGTAGTATGTGCAAGTGGATATTTGGAGCGCTCTGAGGCCTACGGTGAAAAAGCAAATATCTTCCCATAACCACTAGACAGAAACACTCTCAGAAACTCCTTTATGACGTATGTACTCAACTAACAGAGAAGAACTTTCCTTTTGACAGAGCATTTTTGATACACTCTTTTTGTACTATCTGCAAGTGGATATTTGGATAGCTGTGAAGATTTCGTTGGAAACGGGAATATCTTCCTATAAAACCTAGACAGAAGCATTCTCAGAAACTGCTCTGTGATGTCTGCATTCAAGTCACAGAGTTGAACATTGCCTTTCATAGAGCAGGTTTCAAACACTCTTTTTTTAGTATATGGAAGTGGACGTTTCGGACGGTTTGAGGCCCATGGTGATAAAGGAAATATCTTCTCCTACAAGCTAGAAAGAAGCATTCTGTGAAACTTGTTTGTGATGTGTGTACTCAACTAACAGAGTTGAACCTTTCTTTTTACAGAGCAGTTTTGAAACACTCTTTTTGTAGAATCTGTGAGGGGATATTTGGATACATTTCAGCATTTCGTTGGAAACGGGAATATCTTCATATATAATCTCGACAGAAGCATTCTCAGAAACTTCATTGTGATATCTGCATTCAAGTCACAGAGTTGAATATTCGCTTTCACAGAGTAGGTTTGAAACACTCTTTTTGTAGTATCTGGAAGTGGACATTTGGAGCGCCTTGACACCTACGGTGAAAAGGGAAATATCTTCCCATAAAAACTAGACAGAAGCAATCTCAGAATCTTCTTTGGGATATATGCACGCAGCTAACAGAGTTGAACCTTTCTATTGACAGAGCAGTCTTGAAACAGTCTTTCTGTGGAATCTGCAAGTGGATATTTGGATAGCTTGGAGGATTTCGTTGGAAACGGGATTAAGTATAAAAAGTAGACAGCAGCATCCTCAGAAACTTCTTTGTGATGTGTGCATTCAAGTCACAGTGTTGAACATTCCCTTTCGTACAGCAGTTTTGAAACACTCTTTCTGTAGTATCTGGAAGTGAACATTAGGACAGCTTTCAGGTCTATGGTGAGAAAGGAAATATCTTCAAGTAAAAACTAGACAGAAGCATTCTCATAAACTTGTTTGTGATGTGTGAACTCAGCTAACAGAGGTGGAACTTTCTTTTGATAGAGCAGTTCTGAAAAACACTTTTTGTTGAATCTGCAAGTGGACATTTGGATAGATTTGAAGATTTCGTTGGAAACGGGAATATCTTCATATCAAATCTAGACAAAAGCATTCTCAGAAACGTCTTTGTGATGTTTGCATTCAACTCATAGAGTTGAACATTCCGTTTCAGAGAGCAGCTTTGAAGCACTCTTTTTGTAATATCTGCAAGTGGATATTTGGAGCGCTCTGAGGCCTACGGTGAAAAAGCAAATATCTTCCCATAACCGCTAGACAGAAACATTCTCAGAAACTGCTTTATGACGTATGCACTCAACTAACAGAGAAGAACCTTCCTTTTGACAGAGCAGTTTTGATACACTCTTTTTGTAGAATCTGCAAGTGGATATTTGGATAGCTGTGAAGATTTCTTTGGAAACGGGAATATCTTCCTATAAAATCTAGACAGAAGCATTCTCAGAAACTGCTCTGTGATGTCTGCATTCAAGTCACAGAGTTGAACATTGCCTTTCCTAGAGCAGCTTTGAAAAGCTCTTTTTGTAGTATATGGAAGTGGACGTTTCGGATGGTTTGAGGCCCATGGTGATAAAGGGAATATCTTCCCCTACAAGCTAGAAAGAAGCATTCTGTGAAACTTGTTTGTGATGTGTGTACTCAACTAACAGAGTTGAACCTTTCTTTTTACAGAGCAGTTTTGAAACACTCTTTTTGTAGAATCTGCGAGGGGATATTTGATAGATTTCAGGATTTCGTTGGAAACGGGAATATCTTCATATAAAATCTCGACAGAAGCATTTTCAGAAACTTCTTCGTGATATCTGCATTCAAGTCACAGAGTTCAATATTCCCTTCCATAGAGAAGGTTTGAAACACTCTTTTTGTAGTATCTGGAAGTGGACATTTGGAGCGCCTTGACACCTACGGTGAAAAGGGAAATATCT
Organism: Homo sapiens; assembly: GCF_000001405.40. NCBI lineage: Eukaryota > Metazoa > Chordata > Mammalia > Primates > Hominidae > Homo > Homo sapiens. Next base: position 11,166,001 of record NC_000021.9, read on the forward strand.
TCCCATAAAAACTAGACAGAGGCAATCTCAGAATCTTCTTTGGGATATATGCACGCAGCTAACAGAGTTGAACCTTTCTATTGACAGAGCAGTTTTGAAACAGTCTTTCTGTGGAATCTGCAAGTGGATATTTGGATAGCTTGGAGGATTTCGTTGGAAATGGGATTACGTATAAAAAGTAGACAGCAGCATCCTCAGAAACTTCTTTGTGATGTGTGCATTCAAGTCACAGAGTTGAACATTCCCTTTCGTACAGCAGTTTTGAAACACTCTTTCTGTAGTATCTGGAAGTGAACATTAGGACAGCTTTCAGGTCTATGGTGAGAAAGGAAATATCTTCAAATAAACACTAGACAGAAGCATTCTCATAAACTTGTTTGTGATGTGTGAACTCAGCTAACACACGTGGATCTTTCTTTTGATAGAGCAGTTCTGAAAAACACTTTTTGTTGAATCTGCAAGTGGACATTTGGATAGATTTGAAGATGTCGTTGGAAACGGGAATATCTTCATATCAAATCTAGACAGAAGCATTCTCAGAAACGTCTTTGTGATGTTTGCATTCAACTCATAGAGTTGAACATTCCGTTTCAGAGACCAGCTTTGAAGCACTCTTTTTGTAGTATGTGCAAGTGGATATTTGGAGCGCTCTGAGGCCTACGGTGAAAAAGCAAATATCTTCCCATAACCACTAGACAGAAACATTCTCAGAAACTCCTTTATGACGTATGCACTCACCTAACAGAGAAGAACCTTCCTTTTGACAGAGCAGTTTTGAAACACTCTTTTTGTAGAATCTGCAAGTGGATATTTGGATAGCTGTGAAGATTTCGTTGGAAACGGGAATATCTTCCTATAAAATCTATACAGAAGCATTCTCAGAAACAGCTCTGTGATGTCTGCATTCAAGTCACAGTGTTGAACATTGCCTTTCATAGAGCAGGTTTGAAACGCTCTTTTTGAAGTATATGGAAGTGGACGTTTCGGACGGTTTGAGGCCCATGGTGATAAAGGGAATATCTTCCCCTACAAGCTAGAAAGAAGCATTCTGTGAAACTTGTTTGTGATGTGTGTACTCAACTAACAGAGTTGAACCTTTCTTTTTACAGAGCAGTTTTGAAACACTCTTTTTGTAGAATCTGCGAGGGGATATTTGGATACATTTCAGGATTTCGTTGGAAACGGGAATATCTTCATATAAAATCTCGACCGAAGCATTCTCAGAAACTTCTTTGTGATATCTGCATTCAAGTCACAGGGTTGAATATTCCCTTTCACAGAGTAGGTTTGAAACACTCTTTTTGTAGTATCTGGAAGTGGACATTTGGAGCGCCTTGACACCTACGGTGAAAAGGGAAATATCTTCCCATAAAAACTAGACAGAAGCAATCTCAGAATCTACTTTGGGATATATGCACGCAGCTAACAGAGTTGAACCTTTGTATTGACAGAGCAGTTTTGAAACAGTCTTTCTGTGGAATCTGCAAGTGGATATTTGGATAGCTTGGAGGATTTCGTTGGAAACGGGATTACGTATAAAAAGTAGACAGCAGCATCCTCAGAAACTTCTTTGTGTTGTGTGCATTCAAGTCACAGAGTTGAACATTCCCTTTCGTACAGCAGTTTTGAAAAACTCTTTCTGTAGTATCTGGAAGTGAACATTAGGACAGCTTTCACGTCTATGGTGAGAAAGGAAATATCTTCAAATAAAAACTAGACAGATAGCATTCTCATAAACTTGTTTGTGATGTGTGAACTCAGCTAACACAGGTGGATCTTTCTTTTGATTGAGCAGTTCTGAAAAACACTTTTTGTTGAATCTGCAAGTGGACATTTGGATAGATTTGAAGATTTCGTTGGAAACGGGAATATCTTCATATCAAATCTAGACAGAAGCATTCTCAGAAACGTCTTTGTGATGTTTGCATTCAACTCATAGAGTTGAACATTCCGTTTCAGAGACCAGCTTTGAAGCACTCTTTTTGTAGTATGTGCAAGTGGATATTTGGAGCGCTCTGAGGCCTACGGTAAAAAGCAAATATCTTCCCATAACCACTAGACAGAAACATTCTCAGAAACTCCTTTACGACGTATGCACTCACCTAAGAGAGAAGAACCTTCCTTTTGACAGAGCAGTTTTGATACACTCTTTTTGTAGAATCTGCAAGTGGATATTTGGATAGCTGTGAAGATTTCGTTGGAAACGGGAATAACTTCCTATAAAATCTAGACAGAAGCATTCTCAGAAACTGTTCTGTGATGTCTGCATTCAAGTCACAGAGTTGAACATTGCCTTTCATAGAGCAGGTTTGAAACGCTCTTTTTGTAGTATATGGAAGTGGACGTTTCGGACGGTTTGAGGCCCATGGTGATAAAGGGAATATCTTCCCCTACGAGCTAGAAAGAAGCATTCTGTGAAACTTGTTTGTGATGTGTGTACTCAACTAACAGAGTTGAACCTTTCTTTTTACAGAGCAGTTTTGAAACACTCTTTTTGTAGAATCTGCGTGGGGATATTTGGATACATTTCAGCATTTCGTTGGAAACGGGAATATCTTCATATAAAATCTCGACAGAAGCATTCTCAGAAACTTCTTTGTGATATGTGCATTCAAGTCACAGAGTTGAATATTCCCTTTCACCGAGTAGGTTTGAAAAACTCTTTTTGTAGTATCTGGAAGTGGACATTTGGAGCGCCTTGACGCCTACGGTAAAAAGGGAAATATCTTCCCATAAAAACTAGACAGAAGCAATCTCAGAATCTTCTTTGGGATATATGCACGCAGCTAACAGAGTTGAACCTTTCTATTGACATAGCAGTTTTGAAACAGTCTTTCTGTGGAATCTGCAAGTGGATATTTGGATAGCTTGGAGGATTTCCTTGGAAACGGGATTACGTATAAAAAGTAGACAGCAGCATCCTCAGCAAACTTCTTTGTGATGTGTGCATTCAAGTCACAGTAGTTGAACATTCCCTTTCGTACAGCAGTTTTGAAACACTCTTTCTGTAGTATCTGGAAGTGAACATTAGGACAGCTTTCAGGTCTATGGTGAGAAAGGTAATATCTTCAAATAAAAACTAGACAGAAAGCATTCTCATAAACTTGTTTGTGATGTGTGAACTCATCTAACAGAGGTGGATCTTTCTTTTGATAGAGCAGTTCTGAAAAACACTTTTTGTTGAATCTGCAAGTGGACATTTGGATAGATTTGAAGATTTCGTTGGAAACGGGAATATCTTCATATCAAATCTAGACAGAAGCATTCCCAGAAACGTCTTTGTGATGTTTGCATTCAACTCATAGAGTTGAACATTCCCTTTGAGAGAGCAGCTTTATAGCACTCTTTTTGTAGTATGTGCAAGGGGATATTTAGAGCGCTCTGAGGCCTAAGGTGAAAAAGCAAATATCTTCCCATAACCACTAGACAGAAACATTCTCAGAAACTCCTTTATGACGTGTGCACTCACCTAACAGAGAAGAACCTTCCTTTTGAAAGAGCAGTTTTGATCCACTCTTTTTGTAGAATCTGCAAGTGGATATTTGGATAGCTGTGAAGATTTCGTTGGAAACGGGAATATCTTCCTATAAAATCTAGACAGAAGCATTCTCAGAAACTGCTCTGTGATGTCTGCATTCAAGTCACAGAGTTGAACATTGACTTTCATAGAGCAGGTTTGAAACGCTCTTTTTGTAGTATATGGAAGTGGATGTTTCGGACGGTTGGAGGCCCATGGTGATAAAGGGAATATCTTCCCCTACAAGCTAGAAAGATAAGCATTCTGTGAAACTTGTTTGTGATGTGTGTACTCAACTAACAGAGTTGAACCTTTCTTTTTACAGAGCAGTTTTGAAACACTCTTTTTGTAGAATCTGCGAGGGGATATTTGGATAGATTTCAGGATTTCGTTGGAAACGGGAATATCTTCATATAAAATCTCGACAGAAGCATTCTCAGAAGCTTCTTTGTGATATGTGCATTCAAGTCACAGAGTTGAATATTCCCTTTCACAGAGTAAGTTTGAAACACTCTTTTTGTAGTATCTGGAAGTGGACATTTGGAGCACCTTGACGCCTACGGTGAAAAGGGAAATATCTTCTCATAAAAAGTAGACAGAAGCAATCTCAGAATCTTCTTTGGGATATATGCACGCAGCTAACAGAGTTGAACCTTTCTATTGACAGAGCAGTTTTGAAACAGTCTTTCTGTGGAATCTGCAAGTGGATATTTGGATAGCTTGGGGGATTTCGTTGGAAACGGGATTACGTATAAAAAGTAGACAGCAGCATCCTCAGAAACATCCTTGTGATGTGTGCATTCAAGTCACAGAGTTGAACATTCCCTTTCGTACAGCAGTTTTGAAACACTCTTTCTGTAGTATCTGGAAGTGAATTTTAGGAGAGCTTTCAGGTCTATAGTGAGAAAGGATATATCTTCAAATAAAAACTAGACAGAATCATTCTCATAAACTTGTTTGTGATGTGTGAACTCAGCTAACAGACGTGGATCTTTCTTTTGATACAGCAGTTTTGAAAAACACTTTTTGTTGAATCTGCAAGTGGACATTTGGATAGATATGAAGATTTCGTTGGAAACGGGAATATCTTCATATCAAATCTAGACAGAAGCATTCCCAGAAACGTCTTTGTGATGTTTGCATTCAACTCATAGAGTTGAACATTCTCTTTCAGAGAGCAGCTTTGAAGCACTCTTTTTGTAGTATTTGCAAGGGGATATTTGGAGCGCTCTGAGGCCTAAGGTGAAAAAGCAAATATCTTCCCATAACCACTAGACAGAAACATTCTCAGAAACTCCTTTATGACGTATGCACTCAGCTAACAGAAAAGAACCTTCCTTTTGACAGAGCAGTTTTGATACACTCTTTTTGTAGAATCTGCAAGTGGATATTTGGATAGCTGTGAAGATTTCGTTGGAAACGGGAATATCTTCCTATAAAATCTAGACAGAAGCATTCTCAGAAACTGCCCTGTGATGTCTGCATTCAAGTCACAGAGTAGAACATTGCCTTTCATAGAGGAGGTTTCAAACACTCTTTTTTTAGTATATGGAAGGGGACGATTCGGACAGTTTGAGGCCCATGGTGATATAGGAAATATCTTCCCCTACAAGCTAGAGAGAAGCATTCTGTGAAACTTGTTTGTGATGTGTGTACTCAACTAACAGAGTTGAACCTTTCTTTTTACAGAGGAGTTTTGAAACACTCTTTTTGTAGAATCTGCGAGGGGTTATTTGGATAGAATTCATGATTTCGTTGGAAAAGGGAATATCTTCCTATAAAATCTCGACAGAAGCATTCTCAGAAACTTCTTTGTGATATGTGCATTCAAGTCACAGAGTTGAATATTCCCTTTCACAGAGTAGGTTTGAAACACTCTTTTTGTAGTATCTGGAAGTGGACATTTGGAGCGCCTTGACACCTACGGTGAAAAGGGAAATATCTTCCCATAAAAATTCGACAGAAGCAATCTCAGAATCTTCTTTGGGATATATGCACGCAGCTAACAGAGTTGAACCTTTCTATTGACAGAGCAGTTTTGAAACAGCCTTTCTGTGGAATCTGCAAGTGGATATTTGGATAGCTTGGAGGACTTCGTTGGAAACGGGATTACGTATAAAAAGTAGACAGCAGCATCCTCAGAAACTTCTTTGTGATGTGTGTATTCAAGTCACAGAGTTGAACATTCCCTTTCGTACAGCAGTTTTGAAACACTCTTTCTGTAGTAACTGGAAGTGAACATTAGGACAGCTTTCAGGTCTATGGTGAGAAAGGAAATATCTTCAAATAAAAACTAGACAGAAGCATTCTCATAAACTTGTTTGTGATGTGTGAACTCAGCTAACAGACGTGGATCTTTCTTTTGATACAGCAGTTTTGAAAAACACTTTTTGATGAATCTGCAAGTGGACATTTGGATAGATTTGAAGATTTCGTTGGAAACGGGAATATCTTCATATCAAATACTAGACAGAAGCATTCTCAGAAACGTCTTTGCGATGTTTGCATTCAACTCATAGAGTTGAACATTCCGTTTCAGAGAGCAGCTTTGAGGCACTCTTTTTGTAGTATGTGCAAGTGGATATTTGGAGCGCTCTGAGGCCTACGGTGAAAAAGCAAATATCTTCCCAAAACCACTAGACAGAAACATTCTCAGAAACTCCTTTATGACGTATGCACTCACCTAACAGAAAAGAACCTTCCTTTTGACAGAGCAGTTTTGATACACTCTTTTTGTAGAATCTGCAAGTGGATATTTGGATAGCTGTGAAGATTTCGTTGGAAACGGGAATATCTTCCTATAAAACCTAGACAGAAGCATTCTCAGAAACTGCTCTGTGATGTCTGCATTCAAGTCACAGAGTTGAACATTGCTTTTCATAGAGCAGGTTTGAAACGCTCTTTTTGTAGTATATGGAAGTAGACTTTTCGGACGGTTTGAGGCCCATGGTGATAAAGGGAATATCTTCCCCTACAAGCTAGAAAGAAGCAATCTGTGAAACCTGTTTGTGATGTGTGTACTCAACTAACAGAGTTGAACCTTTCTTTTTACAGAGCAGTTTTGAAACACTCTTTTTGTAGAATCTGCGAGGGGATATTTGGATAGATTTCAGGATTTCGTTGGAAACGGGAATATCTTCATATAAAATCTCGACAGAAGCATTCTCAGAAACTTCCTTGTGATATGTGCATTCACGTCACAGAGTTGAATATTCCCTTTCACAGAGTAGGTTTGAAACACTCTTTTTGTAGTATCTGGAAGTGGACATTTGGAGCGCCTTGACACCTACGGTGAAAAGGGAAATATCTTCCCATAAAAACTAGACAGAAGCAATCTCAGAATCTTCTTTGGGATATATGCACGCAGCTAACAGCAGTTGAACCTTTCTATTGACAGAGCAGTTTTGAAACAGTCTTTCTGTGGAATCTGCAAGTGGATATTTGGATAGCTTGGAGGATTTCGTTGGAAACGGGATTAAGTATAAAAAGTAGACAGCAGCATCCTCAGAAACTTCATTGTGATGTGTGCATTCAAGTCACAGAGTTGAACATTCCCTTTCGTACAGCAGTTTTGAAACACTCTTTCTGTAGTAACTGGAAGTGAACATTAGGACAGCTTTCAGGTCTATGGTGAGAAAGGAAATATCTTCAAATAAAAACTAGACAGAAGCATTCTCATAAACTTGTTTGTGATGTGTCAACTCAGCTAACAGAGGTGGATCTTTCTTTTGATAGAGCAGTTCGGAAAAACACTTTTTGTTGAATCTCCAAGTGGACATTTGGATAGATTTGAAGATTTCGTTGGAAACGGGAATATCTTTATATCAAATCTAGACAGAAGCATTCTCAGAAACGTCTTTGTGATGTTTGCATTCAACTCATAGAGTTGAACATTCCGTTTCAGAGAGCAGGTTTGAAGCACTCTTCTTGTAGTATGTGCAAGTGGATATTTGGAGCGCTCTGAGGCCTACGGTGAAAAAGCAAATATCTTCCCATAACCACTAGACAGAAACATTCTCAGAAACTCCTTTATGACGTATGCACTCACCTAACAGAAAAGAACCTTCCTTTTGACAGAGCAGTTTTGATACACTCTTTTTGTAGAATCTGCAAGTGGATATTTGGATAGTTGTGAAGGTTTCGTTGGAAACGGGAATATCTTCCTATAAAATCTAGACAGAAGCATTCTCAGAAACTGCTCTGTGATGTCTGCATTCAAGTAACAGAGTTGAACATTGCCTTTCCTAGAGCAGGTTTGAAACGCTCTTTTTGTAGTATATGGAAGTGGACGTTTCGGACGGTTTGAGGACCATGGTGATAAAGGGAATATCTTCCCCTACAAGCTAGAAAGAAGCATTGTGTGAAACTTGTTTGTGATGTGTGTACTCAACTAACAGAGTTGAACCTTTCTTTTTACAGAGCAGTTTTGAAACACTCTTTTTGTAGAATCTGCGAGGGGATATTTGGATACATTTCTGCATTTCGTTGGAAACGGGAATATCTTCATATAAAATCTCGACAGAAGCATTCTCAGAAACTTTCCTTGTGATATGTGCATTCAAGTCACAGAGTTGAATATTCCCTTTCACAGAGTAGGTTTGAAACACTCTTTTTGTAGTATCTGGAAGTGGACATTTGGAGCGCCTTGACACCTACGGTGAAAAGGCAAATATCTTCCCATAAAAACTAGACAGAAGCAATCTCAGAATCTTCTTTGGGATATATGCACACAGCTAACAGAGTTGAACCTTTCTATTGACAGAGCAGTTTTGAAACAGTCTTTCTGTGGAATCTGCAAGTGGATATTTGGATAGATTGGAGGATTTCATTGGAAACGGGATTACGTATAAAAAGTAGACAGCAGCATCCTCAGAAACTTCTTTGTGATGTGTGCATTCAAGTCACAGAGTTGAACATACCCTTTCGTACAGCAGTTTTGAAACACTCTTTCTGTAGCATCTGGAAGTGAACATTAGGACAGCTTTCAGCTCTATGGTGAGAAAGGAAATATCTTCAAATAAAAACTAGACAGAAGCATTCTCATAAACTTGTTTGTGATGTGTGAACTCAGCTAATAGACGTGGATCTTTCTTTTGATAGAGCAGTTCTGAAAAACACGTTTTGTTGAATCTGCAAGTGGACATTTGGATAGATTTGAAGATTTCATTGGAAACGGGAATATCGTCATATCAAATCTAGACAGAAGCATTCTCAGAAACGTCTTTGTGATGTTTGCATTGAACTCATAGAGTTGAACATTCCCTTTCAGAGAGCAGCTTTGAAGCACTCTTTTTGTAGTATGTTCAAGTGGACATTTGGAACGCTCTGAGGCCTACGGGGAAAAAGCAAATATCTTCCCATAACAACTAGACAGAAACATTCTCAGAAACTTCTTTATGACGTATGTACTCAACTAGCAGAAAAGAACTTTCCTTTTGACAGAGCTTTTTTGATACACTCTTTTTGTAGTATCTGCAAGTGGATATTTGGATAGCTGTGAAGATTTCGTTGGAATCGGGAATATCTTCCTATAAAGTCTGGACAGAAGCATTCTCAGAAACTGCTCTGTGATGTCTGTATTCAAGTCACAGAGTTGAACATTGCCTTTCATAGAGCAGGTTTGAAACGCTCTTTTTGTAGTATATGGAAGTGGACTTTTCGGACGGTTTGAGGCCCATGGTGATAAAGGGAATATCTTCCCCTACAAGCTAGAAAGAAGCATTCTGTGAAACTTGTTTGTGATGTCTGTACTCAACTAACAGAGTTGAACCTTTCTTTTCACAGAGCAGTTTTGAAACACTCTTTTTGTAGAATCTGCGAGGGGATATTTGGATAGATTTCAGGATTTCGTTGGAAACGGGAATATCTTCATACAAAATCTCGACAGAAGCATTCTCAGAAACTTCTTTGTGATATCTCCATTCAAGTCACAGAGTTGAATATTCCCTTTCACAGAGTAGGTTTGAAACACTCTTTTTGTAGTATCTGGAAGTGGAGATTTGGAGCGCCTTGACGCCTACGGTGAAAAGGGAAATATCTTCCCATAAAAACTAGACAGAAGCAATCTCAGAATCTTCTTTGGGATATATGCACGCAGCTAACAGAGTTGAACCTTTCTATTGACAGAGCAGTTTTGAAACAGTCTTTCTGTGGAATCTGAAAGTGGATATTTGGATAGCTTGGAGGATTTCGTTGGAAACGGGATTAAGTATAAAAAGTAGACAGCAGCATCCTCAGAAACTTCTTTGTGATGTGTGCATTCAAGTCACAGAGTTGAACATTCCCTTTCGTACAGCAGTTTTGAAACACTCTTTCTGTAGTATCTGGAAGTGAACATTAGGACAGCTTTCAGGTCTATGGCGAGAAAGGAAATATCTTCAAATAAAAACTAGACAGAAAGCATTCTCATAAACTTGTTTGTGATGTGTCAACTCAGCTAACAGAGGTGGATCTTTCTTTTGATAGAGCAGTTCGGAAAAACACTTTTTGTTGAATCTCCAAGTGGACATTTGGATAGATTTGAAGATTTCGTTGGAAACGGGAATATCTTTATATCAAATCTAGACAGAAGCATTCTCAGAAACGTCTTTGTGATGTTTGCATTCAACTCATAGAATTGAACATTCCCTTTCAGAGAGCAGCTTTGAAGCACTCTTTTTGTAGTATGTGCAAGGGGATATTTTGAGCGCTCTGAGGCCTAAGGTGAAAAAGCAAATATCTTCCCATAACCACTAGACACAAACATTCTCAGAAACGCCTTTATGACGTATGCACTCACCTAACAGAAAAGAACCTTCCTTTTGACAGAGCAGTTTTGATACACTCTTTTTGTAGAATCTGCAAGTGGATATTTGGATAGCTGTGAAGATTTCGTTGGAAACGGGAATATCTTCCTATAAAATCTAGACAGAAGCATTCTCAGAAACTGCTCTGTGGTGTTTGCATTCAAGTCACAGAGTTGAACATTGGCTTTCATAGAGCAGCTTTCAAACACTCTTTTTTTAGTATATGGAAGTGGACGTTTCGGACGGTTTGAGGACAATGGTGATAAAGGAAATATCTTCCCCTACAAGCTAGAAAGAAGGATTCTGTGAAACTTGTTTGTGATGTGTGTACTCAACTAACAGAATTGAACCTTTCTTTTTACAGAGCAGTTTTGAAACACTCTTTTTGTAGAATCTGCGAGGGGATATTTGGATAGATTTCAGGATTTCGTTGGAAACGGGAATATCTTTATATAAAATCTCGACAGAAGCATTCTCAGAAGCTTCTTTGTGATATGTGCATTCAAGTCACAGAGTTGAATATTCCCTTTCACAGAGTAGGTTTGAAACACTTTTTTTCTAGTATCTGGAAGTGGACATTTGGAGCGCATTGACACCTACGGTGAAAAGGGAAATATCTTCTCATAAAAAGTAGACAGAAGCAATCTCAGAATCTTCTTTGGGATATATGCACGCAGCTAACAGAGTTGAACCTTTCTATTGACAGAGCAGTTTTGAAACAGCCTTTCTGTGGAATCTGCAAGTGGATATTTGGATAGCTTGGAGGATTTCGTTGGAAACGGGATTAAGTATAAAAAGTAGACAGCAGAATCCTCAGAAACTTCTTTGTGATGTGTGCATTCAAGTCACAGAGTTGAACATTCCCTTTCGTACAGCAGTTTTGAAACACTCTTTCTGTAGTATCTGGAAGTGAACATTAGGACAGCTTTCAGGTCCATGGTGAGAAAGGAAATATCTTCAAATAAAAACTAGACAGAAGCATTCTCATAAACTTGTTTGTGATGTGTGAACTCAGCTAACAGAGGTGGATCTTTCTTTTGATAGAGCAGTTCTGAAAAACACTTTTTGTTGAATCTGCAAGTGGACATTTGGATAGATTTGAAGATTTCGTTGGAAACGGGGATATCTTCATATCAAATCTAGACAGAAGCATTCTCAGAAACGTCTCTGTCATGTTTGCATTCAACTCATAGAGTTGAACATTCCCTTTCAGAGAGCAGCTTTGAAACACTCTTTTTGTAGTATGTGCAAGTGGATATTTGGAGCGCTCTGAGGCCTACGGTGAAAAAGAAAATATCTTCCCATAACCACTAGACAGAAACATTCTCAGAAACTCCTTTATGACGTGTGCACTCACCTAACAGAGAAGAACCTTCCTTTTGACAGAGCAGTTTTGATACACTCTTTTTGTAGAATCTGCAAGTGGATATTTGAATAGCTGTGAAGATTTCGTTGGAAACGGGAATATCTTCCTATAAAATCTAGACAGAAGCATTCTCAGAAACTGCTCTGTGATGTCTGCATTCAAGTCACAGAGTTGAACATTGCCTTTCATAAAGCAGGTTTGAAACGCTCTTTTTGTAATATATGGCAGTGGACGTTTCGGACGGTTTGAGGCCCATGGTGATAAAGGGAATATCTTCCCCTACAAGCTAGAAAGAAAGCATTGTGTGAAACTTGTTTGTGATGTGTGTACTCAACTAACAGAGTTGAACCTTTCTTTTCACAGAGCAGTTTTGAAACACTCTTTTTGTAGAATCTGCGAGGGGATATTTGGATAGATTTCAGCATTTCGTTGGAAACGGGAATATCTTCATATAAAATCTCGACAGAAGCATTCTCAGAAACTTCTTTGTGATATCTGCATTCAAGTCACAGAGTTGAATATTCCCTTTCACTGAGTAGGTTTGAAACACTCTTTTTGTAGTATCTGGAAGTAGACATTTGGAGCGCCTTGACGCCTACGGTGAAAAGGGAAATATCTTCTCATAAAAAGTAGACAGAAGCAATCTCAGAATCTTCTTTGGGATATATGCACGCAGCTAACAGAGTTGAACCTTTCTATTGACAGAGCAGTTTTGAAACTGTCTTTCTGTGGAATCTGCAAGTGGATATTTGGATAGCTTGGAGGATTTCGTTGGAAACGGGATTACGTATAAAAAGTAGACAGCAGCATCCTCAGAATCTTCCTTATTGATGTGTGCTTTCAAGTCACAGAGTTGAACATTCCCTTTCGTACAGCAGTTTTGAAAAACTCTTTCTGTAGTATCTGGAAGTGAACTTTAGGAGAGCTTTCACGTCTATAGTGAGAAAGGATATATCTTCAAATAAAAACTAGACAGAAGCATTCTCATAAACTTGTTTGTGATGTGTGAACTCAGCTAACAGACGTGGATCTTTCTTTTGATACAGCAGTTTTGAAAAACACTTTTTGTTGAATCTGCAAGTGGACATTTGGATAGATATGAAGATTTCGTTGGAAATGGGAATATCTTCATATGAAATCTAGACAGAAGCATTCTCAGAAACGTCTTTGTGATGTTTGCATTCAACTCATAGAGTTGAACATTCCGTTTCAGAGAGCAGCTTTGAGGCACTCTTTTTGTAGTATGTGCAAGTGGATATTTGGAGCGCTCTGAGGCCTACGGTGAAAAAGCAAATATCTTCCCATAAACACTAGACAGAAACATTCTCAGAAAATCCTTTATGACGTATGCACTCACCTAACAGAGAAGAACCTTCCTTTTGACAGAGCAGTTTTGATACACTCTTTTTGTAGAATCTGCAAGTGGATATTTGGATAGCTGTGAAGATTTCGTTTGAAACGGGAATATCTTCCTATAAGATCTAGACAGAAGCATTCTCAGAAACTGCTCTGTGATGTCTGCATTCAAGTCACAGAGTTGAACATTGCCTTTCATAGAACAGGTTTGAAACGCTCTTTTTGTAGTATATGGAAGTAGACGTTTCGGACGGTTTGAGGCCCATGGTGATAAAGGGAATATCTTCCCCTACAAGCTAGAAAGAAGCATTCTGTGAAACTTGTTTGTGATGTGTGTACTCAACTAACAGAGCCTTTCTTTTTACAGAGCAGTTTTGAAACTCTCTTTTTGAAGAATCTGCGAGGGGATATTTGGATAGATTTCAGGATTTCGTTGGAAACGGGAATATCTTCATATAAAATCTCGACAGAAGCATTCTCAGAAACTTCTTTGTGATATGTGAATTCAAGTCACAGAGTTGAATATTCCCTTTCACAGAGTAGGTTTGAAACACTCTTTTTGTAGTATCTGGAAGTGGACATTTGGAGCGCCTTGACGCCTACGGTGAAAAGGGAAATATCTTCCCATAAAAACTAGACAGAAGCAATCTCAGAATCTTCTCTGGGATATATGCACCCAGCTAACAGAGTTGAACCTTTCTATTGACAGAGCAGTTTTGAAACAGTCTTTCTGTGGAATCTGCAAGTGGATATTTGGATAGCTTGGAGGATTTCGTTGGAAACGGGATTACGTATAAAAATTAGACAGCAGCATCCTCAGAAACTTCTTTGTGATGTGTGCATTCAAGTCACAGAGTTGAACATTCCCTTTCGTACAGCAGTTTTGAAACACTCTTTCTGTAGTATCTGGAAGTGAACATTAGGACAGCTTTCAGGTCTATGGTGAGAAAGGCAAAATCTTCAAATAAAAACTAGACAGAAGCATTCTCATAAACTTGTTTGTGATGTGTGAACTCAGCTAACAGAGATGGATCTTTCTTTTGATAGAGCAGTTCTGAAAAACACTTTTTGTTGAATCTGCAAGTGGATATTTGGATAGATTTGAAGATTTCGTTGGAAACGGGAAGATCTTCATATCAAATCTAGACAGAAGCATTCTCAGAAACGTCTTTGTGATGTTTGCATTCAACTCATAGAGTTGAACATTCCCTTTCAGAGAGCAGTTTTGAAGCACTCTTTTTGTAGTAAGTGCAAATTGACATTTGGAGCGCTTTGAGGCCTAAGGGGAAAAAGCAAATATCTTCCCATAACCAGTAGACAGAAACATTCTCAGAAACTCCTTTATGACGTATGCACTCACCTAACAGAGAAGAACCTTCCTTTTGACAGAGCAGTTTTGATACACTCTTTTTGTATAGTCTGCAAGTAGATATTTGGATAGCTGTGAAGATTTCGTTGGAAACGGGAATATCTTCCTATAAAATCTAGACAGAAGCATTCTCAGAAACTGCTCTGTGATGTCTGCATTCAAGTCACAGTGTTGAACATTGCCTTTCATAGAGCAGGTTTCTAACACTCTTTTTTTAGTATATGGAAGTGGACGTTTCGGACGGTTTGAGGCCCATGGAGATAACGGGAATATCTTCCCCTACAAGCTAGAAAGAAGCATTGTGTGCAACTTGTTTGTGATGTGTGTAGTCAAGTAACAGAGTTGAACCTTTCTTTTTACAGAGCAGTTTTGAAACACTCTTTTTGTAGAATCTGCGAGGGGATATTTGGATAGATTTCAGGATTTCGTTGGAAACGGGAATATCTTCATATAAAATCTCGACAGAAGAATTCTCAGAAACTTCTTTGTGATATCTGCATTCAAGTCACAGAGTTGAATATTCCCTTTCACAGAGTAGGTTTGAAACACTCTTTTTGTAGTATCTGGAAGTGGTCATTTGGAGCGCCTTGACGCCTACGGTGAAAAGGGAAATATCTTCCCATAAAAACTAGACAGCAGCAATCTCAGAATCTTCTTTGGGATATATGCACGCAGCTAACAGAGTTGAACCTTTCTATTGACAGAGCAGTTTTGAAACAGTCTTTCTGTGGAATCTGCAAGTGGATATTTCGATAGCTTGGAGGATTTCGTTGGAAACGGGATTAAGTATAAAAAGTAGACAGCCGCATCCTCAGAAACTTCTTTGTGATGTGTGCATTCAAGTCACAGAGTTGAACATTCCCTTTCGTACAGCAGTTTTGAAACACTCTTTCTGTAGTATCTGGAAGTGAACATTAGGACAGCTTTCAGGTCTTTGGTGAGAAAGGAAATATCTTCAAATAAAAACTAGACAGAAGCATTCTCATAAACTTGTTTGTGATGTGTGAACTCAGCTAACAGAGGTGGATCTTTCTTTTGATAGAGCAGTTCTAAAAAACACTTTTTGTTGAATCTGCAAGTGGACATTTTGATAGATTTGAAGATTTCGTTGGAAACGGGAATATCTTCATATCAAATCTAGACAGAAGCATTCTCAGAAACGTCTTTGTGATGTTTGCATTCAACTCATAGAGTTGAACATTCCGTTTCAGAGAGCAGCTTTGAAGCACTCTTTTTGTAGTATGTGTAAGCGGATATTTGGAGCGCTCTGAGGCCTACGGTGAAAAAGCAAATATCTTCCCATAACCACTAGACAGAAACACTCTCAGAAACTCCTTTATGACGTATGCACTCACCTAACAGAGAAGAACCTTCCTTTTGACAGAGCAGTTTTGAAACACTCTTTTTGTAGAATCTGCAAGTGGATATTTGGATACCTGTGAAGATTTCGTTGGAAACGGGAATATCTTCCTATAAAATCTAGACAGAAGCATTCTCAGAAACTGCTCTGTGATGTCTGTATTCAAGTCACAGAGTTGAACATTGCCTTTCATAGAGCAGGTTTGAAACGCTCTTTTTGTAGTATATGGAAGTGGACGTTTCGGACGGTTTGAGGCCCATGGTGATAAAGGGAATATCTTCCCCTACAAGCTAGAAAGAAGCATTCTGTGAAACTTGTTTGTGATGTGTGTACTCAACTAACAGAGTTGAACCTTTCTTTTTACAGAGCAGTTTTGAAACAGTCTTTTTGTAGAATCTGCGAGGGCATATTTGGATAGATTTCAGGATTTCGTTGGAAAGGGGAATATCTTCATATAAAATCTCGACAGAAGCATTCTCAGAAACTTCTTTGTGATATCTGCATTCAAGTCACAGAGTTGAATATTCCCTTTCACAGAGTAGGTTTGAAACACTCTTTTTGTAGTATCTGGAAGTGGACATTTGGAGCGCCTTGACGCCTACGGTGAAATGGGAAATATCTTCCCATAAAAACTAGACAGAAGCAATCTCAGAATCTTCTTTGGGATATATGCACTCAGCTAACAGAGTTGAACCTTTCTATTGACAGAGCAGTTTTGAAACAGTCTTTCTGTGGAATCTGCAAGTGGATATTTGGATAGATTGGAGGATTTCGTTGGAAACGGGATTACGTATAAAAAGTAGACAGCAGCATCCTCAGAAACTTCTTTGTGATGTGTGCATTCAAGTCACAGAGTTGAACATTCCCTTTCGTACAGCAGTTTTGAAACACTCTTTCTGTAGTATCTGGGAGTGAACATTAGGACAGCTTTCAGGTCTATGGTGAGAAAGGAAATATCTTCAAATAAAAACTAGACAGAAGCATTCTCATAAACTTTTTTCTGATGTGTGAACTCAGCTAACAGAGGTGGATCTTTCTTTTGATAGAGCAGTTCTGAAAAACACTTTTTGTTGAATCTGCAAGTGGACATTTGGATAGATTTGAAGATTTCGTTGGAAACGGGAATATCTTCATATCAAATCTAGACAGAAGCATTCTCAGAAACGTCTTTGTGATGTTTGCATTCAACGCATAGAGTTGAACATTCCGCTTCAGAGAGCAGCTTTGAAGCACTCTTTTTGTAGCATGTGCAAGTTGACATTTGGAGCGCTCTGAGGCCTACGGGGAAAAAGCAAGTATCTTCCCATAACCACTAGACAGAAACATTCTGAGAAACTTCTTTATGACGTATGTACTCAACTAGCAGAGAAGAACTTTCCTTTTGACAGAGCATTTTTGATACACTCTTTTTGTAGTATCTGCAAGTGGATATTTGGATAGCTGTGAAGATTTCGTTGGAAACGGGAATATCTTCCTATAAAATCTAGACAGAAGCATTCTCAGGAAACTGCTCTGTGATGTCTGCATTCAAGTCACAGCAGTTGAACATTGCCTTTCATAGAGCAGGTTTGAAACGCTCTTTTTGTAGTATATGGAAGTGGACTTTTCGGACGGTTTGAGGCCCATGGTGATAAAGGGAATATCTTCCCCTACAAGCTAGAAAGAAGCATTCTGTGAAACTTGTTTGTGATGTGTGTACTCAACTAACAGAGTTGAACCTTTCTTTTTACAGAGCAGTTTTGAAACACTCTTTTTGTAGAATCTGCGAGGGGATATTTGGATAGATTTCAGGATTTCGTTGGAAACGGGAATAACTTCATATAAAATCTCGACAGAAGCATTCTCAGAAACTTCCTTGTGATATGTGCATTCAAGTCACAGAGTTGAATATTCCCTTTCACAGAGTAGGTTTGAAACACTCTTCTTGTAGTATCTGGAAGTGGACATTTGGAGCGCCTTGACGCCCACGGTGAAAAGGGAAATATCTTCCCATAAAAACTAGACAGAAGCAATCTCAGAATCTTCTTTGGGATATATGCACGCAGCTATCAGAGTTGAACCTTTCTATTGACAGAGCAGTTTTGAAACAGTCTTTCTGTGGAATCTGCAAGTGGATATTTGGATAGCTTGGAGGATTTCGTTGGAAACGGGATTACGCATAAAAAGTAGACAGCAGCATCCTCAGAAACTTCTTTGTGATGTGTGCATTCAAGTCACAGAGTTGAACATTCCCTTTCGTACAGCAGTTTTGAAACACTCTTTCTGTAGTATGTGGAAGTGAACATTAGGACAGCTTTCAGGTCTATGGTGAGAAAGGAAATATCTTCAAATAAAAACTAGACAGAAGCATTCTCATAAACTTGTTTGTGATGTGTGAACTCAGCTTAGAGACGTGGATCTTTCTTTTGATAGAGCAGTTCTGAAAAACACGTTTTGTTGAATCTGCAAGCGGACATTTGGATAGATTTGAAGATTTCGTTGGAAACGGGAATATCTTCATATCAAATCTAGACAGAAGCATTCTCAGAAACGTCTTTGTGATGTTTGCATTCAACTCACAGAGTTGAACATTCCCTTTCAGAGAGCAGCTTTGAAGCACTCTTTTTGTAGTATGTGCAAGGGGATATTTGGAGCGCTCTGAGGCCTAAGGTGAAAAAGCAAATATCTTCCCCTAACCACTAGACAGAAACATTCTCAGAAACTCCTTTATGACGTATGCACTCAACTAACAGAGAAGAACCTTCCTTTTGACAGAGCAGTTTTGATACACTCTTTTTGTAGAATCTGCAA
Source organism: Homo sapiens (assembly GCF_000001405.40). Taxonomy (NCBI): domain Eukaryota; kingdom Metazoa; phylum Chordata; class Mammalia; order Primates; family Hominidae; genus Homo; species Homo sapiens. Next base: position 11,184,544 of record NC_000021.9, read on the forward strand.
GTGGATATTTGGATAGCTGTGAAGATTTCGTTGGATACGGGAATATCTTCCTATAAAATCTAGACAGAAGCATTCTCAGAAACTGGTCTGTGATGTCTGCATTCAAGTCACAGAGTTGAACATTGCCTTTCATAGAGCAGGTTTGAAACGCTCTTTTTGTAGTATATGGAAGTAGACGTTTCGGACGGTTTGAGGCCCATGGTGATAAAGGGAATATCTTCCCCTACAAGCTAGAAAGAAGCATTCTGTGAAACTTTTTTGTGATGTGTGTACTCCACTAACAGAGTTGAACCTTTCTTTTTACAGAGCAGTTTTGAAACACTCTTTTTGTAGAATCTGCGAGGGGATATTTGGATAGTTTTCAGGATTTCGTTGGAAACGGGAATATCTTCATATAAAATCTCGACAGAAGCATTCTCAGAAACTTCTTTGTGATATGTGCATTCAAGTCACAGTGTTGAATATTCCCTTTCACAGAGTAGGTTTGAAACACTCTTTTTGTAGTATCTGGAAGTGGACATTTGGAGCGCCTTGACGCCTACGGTGAAAAGGGAAATATCTTCCCATAAAAACTAGACAGACGCAATCTCAGAATCTTCTTTGGGATATATGTACGCAGCTAATAGAGTTGAACCTTTCTATTGACAGAGCAGTTTTGAAACAGTCTTTCTGTGGAATCTGCAAGTGGATATTTGGATAGCTTGGAGGATTTCGTTGGAAACGGGATTACGTATAAAAAGTAGACAGCAGCATCCTCAGAAACTTCTTTGTGATGTGTGCATTCAAATCACAGAGTTGAACATTCCCTTTCGTACAGCAGTTTTGAAACACTCTTTCTGTAGTATCTGGAAGTGAACATTAGGACAGCTTTCAGGTCTATGGTGAGAAAGGAAATATCTTCAAATAAAAACTAGACAGAAGCATTCTCATAAACTTGTTTGTGATGTGTGAACTCAGCTAACAGACGTGGATCTTTCTTTAGATAGAGCAGTTTTGAAAAACACTTTTTGTTGAATCTGCAAGTGGACATTTGGATAGATTTGAAGATTTCGTTGGAAACGGGAATATCTTCATATCAAATCTAGACAGAAGCATTCTCAGAAAAGTCTTTGTGATGTTTGCATTCAACTCATAGAGTTGAACATTCCGTTTCAGAGAGCAGCTTTGAAGCACTCTTTTTGTAGTATGTGCAAGTGGATATTTGGAGCGCTCTGAGGCCTACGGTGAAAAAGCAAATATCTTCCCATAACCACTAGACAGAAACATTCTCAGAAACTCCTTTATGACGTATGCACTCACCTAACAGAGAAGAACCTTCCTTTTGACAGAGCAGTTTTGATACACTCTTTTTGTAGAATCTGCAATTGGATATTTGGATAGCTGTGAAGATTTCGTTGGAAACGGGAATATCTTCCTATAAAATCTAGACAGAAGCATTCTCAGAAACTGCTCTGTGATGTCTGCATTCAAGTCACAGAGTTGAACATTGCCTTTCATAGAGCAGGTTTGAAACGCTCTTTTTGTAGTATATGGAAGTGGATGTTTCGGACGGTTTGAGGCCCAAGGTGATAAAGGGAATATCTTCCCTACAAGCTAGAAAGAAGCATTCTGTGAAACTTGTTTGTGATGTGTGTACTCAACTAACAGAGTTGAACATTTCTTTTTACAGAGTAGTTTTGAAACACTCTTTTTGTAGAATCTGCGAGGGGATATTTGGATAGATTTCAGGATTTCGTTGGAAACGGGAATATCTTCATATAAAATCTCGACAGAAGCATTCTCAGAAACTTCTTTGTGATATCTGCCTTTAAGTCACAGAGTTGAATATTCTCTTTCACAGAGTAGGTTTGAAACACTCTTTTTGTAGTATCTGGAAGTGGACATTTGGAGCGCCTTGACGCCTACGGTGAAAAGGGAAATATCTTCCCATAAAAACTAGACAGAAGCAATCTCAGAATCTTCTTTGGGATATATGCACGCAGCTAACAGAGTTGAACCTTTCTATTGACAGAGCAGTTTTGAAACAGTCTTTCTGTGGAATCTGCAAGTGGATATTTGGATAGCTTGGACGATTTCGTTGGAAACGGGATTACGTATAAAAAGTAGCCAGCAGCATCCTCAGAAACTTCTTTGTGATGTGTGCATTCAAGTCAGAGAGTTGAACATTCCCTTTCGTACAGCAGTTTTGAAACACTCTTTCTGTAGTATCTGGAAGTGAACATTAGGACAGCTTTCAGGTCTATGGTGAGAAAGGAAATATCTTCAAATAAAAACTAGACAGAAGCATTCTGATAAACTTGTTTGTGAAGTGTGAACTCAGCTAACAGAGGTGGATCTTTCTTTCGAAACAGCAGTTTTGAAAAACACTTTTTGTTGAATCTGCAAGTGGACATTTGAATAGATTTGAAGATTTCGTTGGAAACAGGAATATCTTCATATCAAATCTAGACAGAAGCATTCTCAGAAACGTCTTTGCGATGTTTGCATTCAACTCATAGAGTTGAACATTCCGTTTCAGAGAGCAGCTTTGAAGCACTGTTTTTGTAGTATGTGCAAGTGCATATTTGGAGCGCTCTGAGGCCTACGGTGAAAAAGCAAATATCTTCCCATAACCACTAGACAGAAACATTCTCAGAAACTCCTTTATGACGTATGTACTCAACTAACAGAGAAGAACCTTCCTTTTGAAAGAGCAGTTTTGATACACTCTTTTTGTAGAATCTGCAAGTGGATATTTGGATAGCTGTGAAGATTTCGTTGGAAACGGGAATATCTTGCCTATAAAATCTAGACAGAAGCATTCTCAGAAATTGCTCTGTGATGTCTGTATTCAAGTCACAGAGTTGAACATTGCCTTTCATAGAGCAGGTTTGAAACGCTCTTTTTGTAGTATATGGAAGTGGATGTTTCGGACGGTTGGAGGCCCATGGTGATAAAGGGAATATCTTCCCCTACAAGCTAGAAAGAAGCATTCTGTGAAACTTGTTTGTGATGTGTGTACTCAACTAACAGAGTTGAACCTTTCCTTTTACAGAGCAGTTTTGAAACACTCTTTTTGTAGAATCTGCGAGGGGATATATGGATAGATTTCAGGATTTCGTTGGAAACGGGAATATCTTCATATAAAATCTCGACAGAAGCATTCTCAGAAACTTCCTTGTGATATGTGCATTCAAGTCACAGAGTTGAATATTCCCTTTCACAGAGTAGGTTTGAAACACTCTTTTTGTAATATCTGAAAGTGGACATTTGGAGCGCCTTGACGCCTACGGTGAAAAGGGAAATATCTTCCCATAAAAACTAGACAGAAGCAATCTCAGAATCTTCTTTGGGATATATGCACGCAGCTAACAGAGTTGAACCTTTCTATTGACAGAGCAGTTTTGAAACAGTCTTTCTGTGGATTCTGCAAGTGGATATTTGGATAGCTTGGAGGATTTCGTTGGAAACGGGATTACGTATAAAAAGTAGACAGCAGCATCCTCAGAAACTTCTTTGTGATGTGTGCATTCAAGTCACAGAGTTGAACATTCCCTTTCATACAGCAGTTTTGAAACACTCTTTCTGTAGTATCTGGAAGTGAACATTAGGACAGCTTTCAGCTCTATGGTGAGAAAGGAAATATCTTCAAATATAAACTAGACAGAAGCATTCTCATAAACTTGTTTGTGATGTGTGAACTCAGCTAACAGAGGTGGATCTTTCTTTTGATAGAGCAGTTCTGAAAAACACTTTTTGTTGAATCTGCAAGTGGACATTTGGATAGATTTGAAGATTTCGTTGGAATCGGGAATATCTTCATATCAAATCTAGACAGAAGCATTCTCAGAAACGTCTTTGTGATGTTTGCATTCAACTCATAGAGTTGAACATTCCCTTTCAGAGAGCAGCTTTGAAGCAGTCTTTTTGTAGTATGTGCAAGTGGATATTTGGAGCGCTCTGAGGCCTACGGTGAAAAAGCAAATATCTTCCCATAACCACTAGACAGAAACATTCTCAGAAACGCCTTTATGACGTATGCACTCACCGAACAGAAAAGAACCTTCCTTTTGACAGAGCAGTTTTGATACACTCTTTTTGTAGAATCTGCAAGTGGATATTTGGATAGCTGTGAAGATTTCGTTGGAAACGGGAATATCTTCCTATAAAATCTAGACAGAAGCATTCTCAGAAACTGCTCTGTGATGTCTGCATTCAAGTCACAGAGTTCAACATTGTCTTTCATAGAGCAGGTTTGAAACGCTCTTTTTGTAGTATATGGAAGTGGACGTTTCGGACGGTTTGAGGCCCATGGTGATAAAGGGAATATCTTCCCCTACAAGCTAGAAAGAAGCATTCTGTGAAACTTGTTTGTGATGTGTGTACTCAACTTACATAGTTGAACCTTTCTTTTTACAGAGCAGTTTTGAAACACTCTTTTTGTAGAATCTGCGAGGGGTTATTTGGATAGATTTCAGGATTTCGTTGGAAACGGGAATATCTTCATATAAAATCTCGACAGAAGCATTCTCAGAGACTTCCTTGTGATATGTGCATTCAAGTCACAGAGTTGAATATTCCCTTTCACAGAGTAGGTTTGAAACACTCTTTTTGTAGTATCTGGAAGTGGTCATTTGGAGCGCCTTGACGCCCACGGTGAAAAGGGAAATATCTTCCCATAAAAACTAGACAGAAGCAATCTCAGAATCTTCTTTGTGATATATGCACGCAGCTGACAGATTTGAACCTTTCTATTGACTGAGCAGATTTGAAACAGTCTTTCTGTGGAATCTGCAAGTGGATATTTGGATAGATTGGAGGATTTCGTTGGAAACGGGATTACGTATAAAAAGTAGACAGCAGTATCCTCAGAAACTTGCTTTGTGATGTGTGCATTCAAGTCACAGAGTTGAACATTCCCTTTCGTACAGCAGTTTTGAAACACTCTTTCTGTAGTATCTGGAAGTGAACATTAGGACAGCTTTCAGGTCTATAGTGAGAAAGGATATATCTTCAAATAAAAACTAGACAGAAGCATTCTCATAAACTTGTTTGTGATGTCTGAACTCAGCTAACAGAGGTGGATCTTTCTTTTGATAGAGCAGTTCTGAAAAACACTTTTTGTTGAATCTGCAAGTGGACATTTGGATAGATTTGAAGATTTCGTTGGAAACGTGAATATCTTCAAATCAAATCTAGACAGAAGCATTCTCAGAAACGTCTTTGTGATGTTTGCATTCAACTCATAGAGTTGAACATTCCGTTTCAGAGAGCAGCTTTGAAGCACTCTTTTTGTACTATGTGCAAGTGGATATTTGGAGCGCTCTGAGACCTACGGTGAAAAAGCAAATATCTTCCCATAACCACTAGACAGAAACATTCTCAGAAACTCCTTTATGACGTATGCACTCACCTAACAGAGAAGAACCTTCCCTTTTGACAGAGCAGCTTTGATACACTCTTTTTGTAGAATCTGCAAGTGGATATTTGGATAGCTGTGAAGATTTCGTTGGAAACGGGAATATCTTCCTATAAAATCTAGACAGAAGCATTCTCAGAAACTGCTCTGTGATGTCTGCATTCAAGTCACAGAGTTGAACATTGCCTTTCATAGAGCAGGTTTGAAACGCTCTTTTTGTAGTATATTGAAGTGGACGTTTCGGACGGTTTGAGGCCCATGGTGATAAAGGGAATATCTTCCCGTACAAGCTAGAAAGAAGCATTCTGTGAAACTTGTTGGTGATGTGTGTACTCAACTAACAGAGTTGAACCTTTCTTTTCACAGAGCAGTTTTGAAACACTCTTTTTGTAGAATCTGCGAGGGGATATTTGGATAGATTTCAGCATTTCGTTGGAAACGGGAATATCTTCATATAAAATCTCGACAGAAGCATTCTCAGAAACTTCCTTGTGATATGTGCATTCAAGTCACAGAGTTGAATATTCCCTTTCACAGAGTAGGTTTGAAACACTCTTTTTGTAGTATCTGGAAGTGGACATTTGGAGCGCCTTGACGCCCACGGTGAAAAGGGAAATATCTTCCCATCAAAACTAGACACAAGCAATCTCAGAATCTTCTTTGGGATGTATGCACCCAGCTAACAGAGTTGAAACTTTCTATTGACAGAGCAGTTTTGAAACAGTCTTTTAGTGGAATCTGCAAGTGGATATTTGGATAGCTTGGAGGATTTCTTTGGAAACGGGATTATGTATACAAAGTAGACAGCAGCATTCTCAGAAACTTCTTTGTGATGTGTGCATTCAAGTCAAAGAGTTGAACATTCCCTTTCGTATAGGAGGTTTGAAACACTCTTTCTCTAGTACCTGGAAGTGAACGGGGCGAGAGCTTTCAGGTCTATGGTGAGAAAGGAAATATCTTCAAATAAAAACTAGACAGAAGCATTCTCATAAACTTGTTTGTGATGTGTGAACTCAGCTAACAGAGGTGGATCTTTCTTTTGATAGAGCAGTTCTGAAAAACACTTTTTGTTGAATCTGCAAGTGGACATTTGGATAGATTTGAAGATTTCGTTGGAAAAGGGAATATCTTCATATCAAATCTAGACAGAAGCATTCTCAGAAACGTCTTTGTGATGTTTGCATTCAACTCATAGAGTTGAACATTCCGTTTCAGAGAGCAGCTTTGAGGCACTCTTTTTGTAGTATGTGCAAGTGGATATTTAGAGCGCTCTGAGGCCTACGTTGAAAAAGCAAATATCTTCCCATAACCACTAGACAGAAACATTCTCAGAAACTTCTTTGTGACGTACGTACTCAACTAACAGAGTTGAACCTTCCTTTTGACACAGCAATTTTGATACAATCTTTTTGTAGAATCTGCAAGTCTATATTTGGATAACTGTGAAGATTTCGTTGGAAACGGGAATTTCTTCCTATAAAATCTAGACAGCAGCATTCTCAGAAACTGCTCTGTGATGTCTGCATTCAAGTCACAGAGTTGAACATTGCCTTTCATAGAGCAGGTTTCAAACACTCTTTTTTTAGTTTATGGAAGTGGACGTTTCGGACGGTTTAAGGCCCATGGTGATAAAGGAAATATCTTCCCCTACAAGCTAGAAAGAAGCATTCTGTGAAACTTGTTTGTGATGTGTGTACTCAACTAACAGAGTTGAACCTTTCTTTTTACAGAGCAGTTTTGAAACACTCTTTTTGTAGAATCTGCGAGGGGAAATTTGGATAGATTTCAGGATTTCCTTGGAAACGGGAATATCTTCATACAAAATCTCGACAGAAGCATCCTCAGAAACTTCTTTGTGATGTGTGCATTCAAGTCACAGAGTTGAACATTCCCTTTCACAGAGTAGGTTTGAAACACTCTTTTTGTAGTATCTGGAAGTGGATATTTGGAGCGCCTTGACACCTACGGTGAAAAGGGAAATATCTTCCCATAAAAACTAGACAGAAGCAATCTCAGAATCTTCTTTGGGATATATGCACGCAGCTAACAGAGTTGAACCTTTCTATTGACAGAGCAGTTTTGAAACAGTCTTTCTGGGGAATCTGCAAGTGGATATTTGGATAGCTTGGAGGATTTCGTTGGAAACGGGATTACGTATAAAAAGTAGACAGCAGCATCCTCAGAAACTTCTTTGTGATGTGTGCATTCAAGTCACAGAGTTGAACATTCCCTTTCGTAGAGCAGTTTTGAAACACTCTTTCTGTAGTATCTGGAAGTGAACATTAGGACAGCTTTCAGCTCTATGGTGAGAAAGGAAATATCTTCAACTAAAAACTAGACAGAAGCATTCTCATAAACTTGTTTGTGATGTGTGAACTCAGCTAACAGAGGTGGATCTTTCTTTTGATAGAGCAGTTCTGAAAAACACTTTTTGTTGAATCTGCAAGTGGATATTTGGATAGATTGAAGATTTCGTTGGAAACGGGAATATCTTCATATCAAATCTAGAGAGAAGCATTCTCAGAAACGTCTTTGCGATGTTTGCATTCAACTCATAGAGTTGAACATTCCGTTTCAGAGAGCAGCTTTGAGGCACTCTTTTTGTAGTATGTGCAAGTGGATATTTGGAGCGCTCTGAGGCCTACGGTGAAAAAGCAAATATCTTCCCATAACCACAAGACAGAAACATTCTCAGAAACTCCTTTATGACTTATGCACTTACCTATCAGAGAAGAATCTTCCTTTTGACAGAGCAGTTTTGATACACTCTTTTTGTAGAATCTGCAAGTGGATATTTGGATAGCTGTGAAGATTTCGCTGGAAACGGGAATATCTTCCTATAAAATCTAGACAGAAGCATTCTCAGAAACTGCTCTGTGATGTCTGCATTCAAGTCACAGAGTTGAACATTGCCTTTCCTATAACAGGTTTGAAACGCTCTTTTTGTAGTATATGGAAGTGGACGTTTCGGACGGTTTGAGGCCCATGGTGATAAAGGGAATATCTTCCCCTACAAGCTAGAAGGAAGCATTCTGTGAAACTTGTTTGTGATGTGTGTACTCAACTAACAGAGTTGAACCTTTCTTTTCACAGAGCAGTTTTGAAACACTCTTTTTGTAGAATCTGCGAGCGGATATTTGGATAGATTTCAGGATTTCGATGGAAACGGGAATATCTTCATATAAAATACTCGACAGAAGCATTCTCAGAAACTTCTTTGTGATATCTGCATTCAAGTCACAGAGTTGAATATTCCCTTTCACAGAGTAGGTTTGAAACACTCTTTTTGTAGTATCTGGAAGTTGACATTTGGAGCGCCTTGACGCCTACGGTGAAAAGGGAAATATCTTCTCATAAAAAGTAGACAGAAGCAATCTCAGAATCTTCTTTGGGATATATGCACGCAGCTAACAGAGTTGAACCTTTCTATTGACAGAGCAGTTTTGAAACAGTCTTTCTGTGGAATCTGCATGTGGATATTTGGATAGCTTGGAGGATTTCGTTGGAAACGGGATTACGCATAAAAAGTAGACAGCTGCATCCTCAGAAACTTCTTTGTGATGTGTGCATTCAAGTCACAGAGTTGAACATTCCCTTTCGTACAACAGTTTTGAAACACTCTTTCTGCAGTATCTGGAAGTGAACATTAGGACAGCTTTCAGGTCTATGGTGAGAAAGGAAATATCTTCAAATAAAAACTAGACAGAAGCATTCTCATAAACTTGTTTGTGATGTGTGAACTCAGCTAACAGAGGTGGATCTTTCTTTTGATAGAGCAGTTCTGAAAAACACTTTTTGTTGAATCTGCAAGTGGACTTTTGGATAGATTTGAAGATTTCGTTGGAAACGTTAATATCTTCATATCAAATCTAGACAGAAGCACTCTCGGAAACGTCTTTGTGATGTTTGCATTCAACTCATAGAGTTGAACATTCCGTTTCAGAGAGCAGCTTTGAAGCACTCTTTTTGTAGTATGTGCAAGTGGATATTTGGAGCGCTCTGAGGCCTACGGTGAAAAAGCAAATATCTTCCCATAACCACTAGACAGAAACATTCTCAGAAACTCCTTTATGACGTATGCACTCACCTAACAGAGAAGAACCTTCCTTTTGACAGAGCAGTTTTGATACACTCTTTTTGTAGAATCTGCAAGTGGATATTTGGATAGCTGTCAAGATTTCGTTGGAAACGGGAATATCTTCCTATAAAATCTAGACAGAAGCATTCTCAGAAACTGCTCTGTGATGCCTGCATTCAAGTCACAGAGTTGAACATTGCCTTTCATAGAGCAGGTTTGAAATGCTCTTTTTGTAGTATATGGAAGTGGACGTTTCAGACGGTTTGAGGCCCATTGTGATAAAGGGAATATCTTCCCCTACAAGCTAGAAAGAAGCATTCTGTGAAACTTGTTTGGGATGTGTGTACTCAACTAACAGAGTTGAACCTTTCTTTTTACAGAGCAGTTTTGAAACACTCTTTTTGTAGAATCTGCGAGGGGATATTTGGATACATTTCAGCATTTCGTTGGAAACGGGAATATCTTCATATAAAATCTCGACAGAAACATTCTCAGAAACTTCATTGTGATATCTGCATTCAAGTCACAGAGTTGAATATTCCCTTTCAGAGAGTAGGTTTGAAACACTCTTTTTGTAGTATCTGGAAGTGGACATTTGGAGCGCCTTGACACCTACGGTGAAAAGGGAAATATCTTCCCATGAAAACGAGACAGAAACAATCTCAGAATCTTCTTTGGGATATATGCACGCAGCTAACAGTGTTGAACCTTTCTATTGACAGAGCAGTTTTGAAACAGTCTTTCTGTGGAATCTGCAAGTGGATATTTGGATAGCTTGGAGGATTTCGTTGGAAACGGGATTAGGTATAAAAAGTAGACAGCAGCATCCTCAGAAACTTCTTTGTGATGTGTGCATTCAAGTCACAGAGTTGAACATTCCCTTTCGTACAGCAGTTTTGAAACACTCTTTCTGCAGTATCTGGAAGTGAACATTAGGACAGCTTTCAGCTCTATGGTGAGAAAGGAAATATCTTCAAATAAAAACTAGACAGAAGCATTCTCATAAACTTGTTTGTGATGTGTGAACTCAGCTAACAGAGGTGGATCTTTCTTTTGATAGAGCAGTTCTTAAAAACACGTTTTGTTGAATCTGCAAGTGGACATTTGGATAGATTTGAAGATTTCGTTGGAAACGGGAATATCTTCATATCAAATCTAGACAGAAGCATTCTCAGAAACGTCTTTGTGATGTTTGCATTCAACTCATGGAGTTGAACATTCCCTTTCAGAGAGCAGCTTTGAAGCACTCTTTTTGTAGTATGTGCAAGTGGACATTTGGAGCGCTTTGAGGCCTACGGGGAAAAAGCAAATATCTTCCCATATCCACTAGACAAAAACATTCTCAGAAACTCCTTTATGACGTATGCACTCACCTAACAGAGAAGAACCTTCCTTTTGACAGAGCAGTTTTGATACACTCTTTTTGTAGAATCTGCAAGTGGATATTTGGATAGCTGTGAAGATTTCCTTGGAAACGGGAATATCTTCCTATAAAATCTAGACAGAAAGCATTCTCAGAAACTGCTCTGTGATGTCTGCATTCAAGTCACAGAGTTGAACATTGCCTTTCATAGAGCAGGTTTGAAACGCTCTTTTTGTACTATATGGAAGTGGATGTTTCGGACGGTTTGAGGCCCATGGTGATAAAGGGAATATCTTCCCCTACAAGCTAGAAAGAAGCATTCTGTGAAACTTGTTTGCGATGTGTGTACTCAACTAATAGATTTGAACCTTTCTTTTTACAGAGCAGTTTTGAAACACTCTTTTTGTAGAATCTGCGAGGGGATATTTGGATAGATTTCAGGATTTCGTTGGAAACGGGAATATCTTCATATAAAATCTCGACAGAAGCATTCTCTGAAACTTCTTTGTGATATGTGCATTCAAGTCACAGAGTTCAATATTCCCTTTCACAGAGTAGGTTTGAGACACTCTTTTTGTAGTATCTGGAAGTGGACATTTGGAGCGCCTTGACGACTACGGTGAAAAGGGAAATATCTTCTCATAAAAAGTAGACAGAAGTAATCTCAGAATCTTCTTTGGGATATATGCACCCAGCTAACAGAGTTGAACCTTTCTATTGACAGAGCAGTTTTGAAACAGTCTTTCTGTGGAATCTGCAAGTGGATATTTGGATAGCTTGGAGGATTTCGTAGGAAACGGGATTACGTATAAAAAGTAGACAGCAGCATCCTCAGAAACTTGTTTGTGATGTGTGCATTCAAGTCACAGAGTTGAACATTCCCTTTCGTACAGCAGTTTTGAAACACTCTTTCTGTAGTATCTGGAAGTGAACATTAGGACAGCTTTCAGGTCTATGGTGAGAAAGGAAATATCTTCAAATAAAAACTAGACAGAAGCATTCTCATAAACTTGTTTGTGATGTGTGAACTCAGCTAACAGAGGTGGATCTTTCTTTTGATAGAGCAGTTCTGAAAAACACGTTTTCTTGAATCTGCAAGTGGACATTTGGATAGATTTGAAGATTTCGTTGGAAACGGGAATATCGTCATATCAAATCTAGACAGAAAGCATTCTCAGCAAACGTCTTTGGGATGTTTGCATTCAACTCATAGAGTTGAACATTCCCTTTCAGAGAGCAGCTTTGAAGCACTCTTTTTGTAGTATGTGCAAGTGGATATTTGGAGCGCTCTGAGGCCTAAGGTGAAAAAGCAAATATCTTCCCATAACCACTAGACAGAAACATTCTCAGAAAGTTCTTTATGACGTATGAACTCAACTAGCAGAGAAGAACTTTCCTTTTGACAGAGCATTTCTGATACACTCTTTTTTTACTATCTGCAAGTGGATATTTGGATAGCTGTGAAGATTTCGTTGGAAACGGGAATATCTTCCTATAAAGTCTGGACAGAAGCATTCTCAGAAACTGCTCTGTGATGTCTGCATTCAAGTCACAGAGTTGAACATTGCCTTTCATAGAGCAGGTTTGAAACGCTCTTTTTGTAGTATATGGAAGTGGACTTTTCAGACGGTTTGAGGCCCATGGTGATAAAGGGAATATCTTCCCCTACAAGCTAGAAAGAAGCATTCTGTGAAACATGTTTGTGATGTGTGTTCTCAACTAACAGAGTTGAACCTTTCTTTTTACAGAGCAGTTTTGAAACACTCTTTTTGTAGAATCTGCGAGGGGATATTTGGATAGATTTCAGGATTTCGTTGGAAACGGGAATATCTTCATATAAAATCTCGACAGAAGCATTCTCAGAAACTTCTTTGTGATATCTGCCTTCAAGTCACAGAGTTGAATATTCCCTTTCACAGAGTAGGTTTGAAACACTCTTTTTGTAGTATCTGGAAGTGGACATTTGGAACGCCTTGGCGCCTATGGTGAAAAGGTAAATATCTTCCCATAAAAACTAGACAGAAGCAATCTCAGAATCTTCTTTGGGATATATGCACGCAGCTAACAGAGTTGAACCTTTCTATTGACAGAGCAGTTTTGAAACAGTCTTTCTGTGGAATCTGCAAGTGGATATTTGGATAGCTTGGAGGATTTCATTGGAAACGGGATTAAGTATAAAAAGTAGACAGCAGCATCCTCAGAAACTTCTTTGTGATGTGTACATTCAAGTCACAGAGTTCAACATTCCCTTTCGTACAGCAGTTTTGAAACACTCTTTCTGTAGTATCTGGAAGTGAACATTAGGACAGCTTTCAGCTCTATGGTGAGAAAGGAAATATCTTCAAATAAAAACTAGACAGAAGCATTCTCATAAACTTGTTTGTGATGTGTGAACTCAGCTAACAGAGGTGGATCTTTCTTTTGATAGAGCAGTTCTGAAAAACACTTTTTTTTGAATCTGCAAGTGGACATTTGGATAGATTTGAAGATTTCTTTGGAAACGGGAATATCTTCATATCAAATCTAGACAGAAGCATTCTCAGAAACGTCTTTGTGATGTTTGCATTCAACTCATAGAGTTGAACATTCCGTTTCAGAGAGTAGCTTTGAAGCACTCATTTTGTAGCATGTGCAAGTGGACATTTGGAGCGCCCTGAGGCCTACGGGGAAAAAGCAAATATATTCCCATAACCACTAGACAGAAACATTCTCAGAAACTCCTTTATGACGTATGTACTCAACTAACAGAGAAGAACCTTCCTTTTGACAGAGCAGTTTTGATACACTCTTTTTGTAGAATCTCCAAGTGGATATTTGGATAGCTGTGAAGATTTCGTTGGAATCGGGAATATCTTCCTATAAAATCTAGACAGAAGCATTCTCAGAAACTGCTCTGTGATGTCTGCATTCAAGTCACAGAGTTGAACATTGCCTTTCATAGAGCAGGTTTGAAACGCTCTTTTTGTAGTGTATGGAAGTGGACTTTTCGGACGGTTGGAGGCCCATGGTGATAAAGGGAATATCTTCCCCTACAAGCTAGAAAGAAAGCATTCTGTGAAACTTGTTTGTGATGTGTGTACTCAACTAACAGAGTTGAACCTTTCTTTTTACAGAGCAGTTTTGAAACACTCTTTTTGTAGAATCTGCGAGGGGATATTTGGATACATTTCAGGATTTCGTTGGAAACGGGAATATCTTCATATAAAATCTCGACAGAAGCATTCTCAGAAACTTCTTTGTGATATGTGCATTCAAGTCACAGAGTTGAATATTCCCTTTCACAGAGTAGGTTTGAAACACTCTTTTTGTAGTATCTGGAAGTGGACATTTGGAGCGCCTTGACACCTACGGTGAGAAGGGAAATATCTTCCCATAAAAACTAGACAGAAGCAATCTCAGAATCTTCTTTGGGATATATGCACGCAGCTAACGGAGTTGAACCTTTCTATTGACAGAGCAGTTTTGAAACAGTCTTTCTGTGGAATCTGCAAGTGGATATTTGGATAGCTTGGAGGATTTCGTTGGCAACGGGATTACGTATAAAAATTAGACAGCAGCATTCTCAGAAACTTCTTTGTGATGTGTGCATTCAAGTCAAAGAGTTGAACATTCCCTTTCGTACAGCAGGTTTGAAACACTCTTTCTCTAGTACCTGGAAGTGAACGTTTCGAGACCTTTCAGGTCTATGGTGAGAAAGGAAATATCTTCAAATAAAAACTAGACAGAAGCATTCTCATAAACTTGTTTGTGATGTGTGAACTCAACTAACAGAGGTGGGTCTTTCTTTTGATACACCAGTTATGAAAAACCCTTTTAATTGAATCTGCAAGTGGACATTTGGATAGATTTGAAGATTTCGTTGGAAACGGGAATATCTTCATATCAAATCTAGACAGAAGCATTCTCAGAAACGTCTTTGCGATGTTTGCATTCAACTCATAGAGTTGAACATTCCGTTTCAGAGAGCAGCTGTGAGGCACTCTTTTTGTAGTATGTGCAAGTGGATATTTGGAGCGCTCTGAGGCCTACGGTGAAAAAGCAAATATCTTCCCATAACCACTAGCAGAAAACATTCTCAGAAACTCCTTTATGACGTATGTACTCAACTAACAGAGAAGAACCTTCCTTTTGACAGAGCAGTTTTGATCCACTCTTTTTGTAGAATCTGCAAGTGGATATTTGGATAGCTGTGAAGGTTTCGTTAGAAACGGAAATATCTTCCTATAAAATGCTAGACAGAAGCATTCTCAGAAACGGCTCTGTGATGTCTGCATTCAAGTCACAGAGTTGAACATTGCATTTCATAGAGCAGGTTTCAAACACTCTTTTTTTAGTATATGGAAGTGGACCTTTCAGACGGCTTGAGGACCATGGTGATAAAGGAAATATCTTCCCCTACAAGCTAGAAAGAAGCATTCTGTGAAACTTGTTTGTGATGTGTGTACTCAACTAACAGAGTTGAACCTTTCTTTTTACAGAGCAGTTTTGAAACACTCTTTTTGTAGAATCTGCGAGGGGATATTTGGATAGATTTCAGGATTTCGTTGGAAACGTGAATATATTCATATAAAATCCCGACAGAAGCATTCTCAGAAACTTCATTGTGATATCTGCATTGAAGTCACAGACTTGAATACTCCCTTTCACAGAGTAGGTTTGAAACACTCTTTTTGTAGTATCTGGAAGTGGACATTTGGATCGCTTTGACGCCTATTGTGAAAAAGGAAATATCTTCCCCTAAAAACTAGACAGAAACGTTCTCAGAAACTCCTTTATGACGTATGCACTCACCTAACAGAGAAGAACCTTCCTTTTGACAGAGCAGTTTTGATACACTCTTTTTGTAGAATCTGCAAGTGGATATTTGGATAGCTGTGAAGATTTCGTTGGAAACGGGAATATCTTCCTATAAAATCTAGACAGAAGCATTCTCAGAAACTGCTCTGTGATGTCTGCATTCAAGTCACAGAGTTGAACATTCCCTTTCATACAGCAGTTTTGAAACACTCTTTCTGTAGTATCTGGAAGTCAACATTAGGACAGCTTTCAGGTCTATGGTGAGAAAGGAAATATCTTCAAATAAAAACTAGACAGAAGCATTCTCATAAACTTGTTTGTGATGTCTGAACTCAGCTAACAGAGGTGGATCTTTCTTTTGATAGAGCAGTTCTGAAAAACACTTTTTGTTGAATCTGCAAGAGGACATTTGGATAGATTTGAAGATTTCGTTGGAAACGGGAATATCTTCATATCAAATCTAGACAGAAGCATTCTCAGAAACGTCTTTGTGATGTTTGCATTCAACTCATAGAGTTGAACATTCCCTTTCAGAGAGCAGCTTTGAAGCACTCTTTTTGTAGTATGTGCAAGTGGATATTTGGAGCTCTCTGAGGCCTACGGTGAAAAAGCAAATATCTTCCCATAACCACTAGACAGAAACATTCTCAGAAACTCCTTTATGACGTATGTACTCATCTAACAGAGAAGAACCTTCCTTTTGACAGAGCAGTTTTGATACACTCTTTTTGTAGAATCTGCAAGTGGATATTTGGATAGCTGGGAAGATTTCGTTGGAAACGGGAATATCTTCCTATAAAATCTAGACAGAAGCATTCTCAGAAACTGCTCTGTGATGTCTGCATTCAAGTCACAGAGTTGAACATTACCTTTCCTAGAGCAGGTTTGAAACGCTCTTTTTGTAGTATATGGAAGTAGACGTTTCGGACGGTTTGAGGCCCATGGTGATAAAGGGAATATCTTCCCCTACAAGCTAGAAAGAAGCATTGTGTGAAACTTGTTTGTGATGTGTGTACTCAACTAACAGAGTTGAACCTTTGTTTTTACAGAGCAGTTTTGAAACACTCTTTTTGTAGAATCTGCGAGGGGATATTTGGATACATTTCAGGATTTCGTTGGAAACGGGAATATCTTCATATAAAATCTCGACAGAAGCATTCTCAGAAACTTCTTTGTGATATGTGCATTCAAGTCACAGAGTTGAAAATTCCCTTTCACAGAGTAGGTTTGAAACACTCTTTTTGTAGTATCTGGAAGTGGACATTTGGAGCGCCTTGACGCCTACGGTGAAAAGGGAAATATCTTCCCATAAAAACTAGACAGAAGCAATCTCAGAATCTTCTTTGGGATGTATGCACGCAGCTAACAGAGTTGAACCTTTCTATTGACAGAGCAGTTTTGAAACAGTCTTTCTGTGGAATCTGCAAGTGGATATTTGGATAGCTTGGAGGATTTCGTTGGAAACGGGATTACGTATAAAAAGTAGACAGCAGCATCTTCAGAAACTTCTTTGTGATGTGTGCATTCAAGTCACAGAGTTGAACATTCCCTTTCGTACAGCAGTTTTGAAACACTCTTTCTGTAGTATCTGGAAGTGAACATTAGGACAGCTTTGAGGTCTACGGTGAGAAAGGCAATATCTTCAAATAAAAACTGGACAAAAGCATTCTCATAAACTTGTTTGTGATGTCTGAACTCAGCTAACAGTAGGTGGATCTTTCTTTTGATAGAGCAGTTCTGAAAAACACTTTTTGTTGAATCTGCAAGTGGACATTTGGATAGATTTGAAGATTTCGTTGGAAACGGGAATATCTTCATATCAAATCTAGACAGAAGCATTCCCAGAACCGTCTTTGTGATGTTTGCATTCAACTCATAGAGTTGAACATTCCCTTTCAGAGAGCAGCTTTGAAGCACTCTTTTTGTAGGATGTGCAAGGGGATATTTGGAGCGCTCTGAGGCCTAAGGTGAAAAAGCAAATATCTTCCCATAACCACTAGACAGAAACATTCTCAGAAACTCCTTTATGACGTATGTACTCAACTAACAGAGAAGAACCTTCCTTTTGACAGAGCAGTTTTGATACACTCTTTTTGTAGAATCTGCAAGTGGATATTGGATAGCTGTGAAGATTTCCTTGGAAACGGGAATATCTTCCTATAAAATCTAGACAGAAGCATTCTCAGAAACTGCTCTGTGATGTCTGCATTCAAGTCACAGAGTTGAACATTGCCTTTCCTAGAGCAGGTTTGAAACGCTCTTTTTGTAGTATATGGAAGTGGACGTTTCGGACGGTTTGAGGCCCATGGTGATAAAGGGAATATCTTCCCCTACAAGCTAGAAGGAAGCATTCTGTGAAACTTGTTTGTGATGTGTGTACTCAACTAACAGAGTTGAACCTTTCTTTTAACAGAGCAGTTTTGAAACACTCTTTTTGTAGAATCTGCGAGGGGATATTTGGATAGATTTCAGGATTTCGTTGGAAACGGGAATATCTTCATATAAAATCTCGACAGAAGCATTCTCAGAAACTTCTTTGTGATATCTGCCTTTAAGTCACAGAGTTGAATATTCCCTTTCACAGAGTAGCTTTGAAACACTCTTTTTGTAGTATCTGGAAGTGGACATTTGGAGCGCCTTGACACCTACGGTGAAAAGGGAAATATCTTCCCATAAAAACTAGACAGAAGCAATCTCAGAATCTTCTTTGGGATATATGCACGCAGCTAACAGAGTTGAACCTTTCTATTGACAGAGAAGTTTTGAAACAGTCTTTCTGTGGAATCTGCAAGTGGATATTTGGATAGCTTGGAGGATTTCGTTGGAAACGGGATTACGTATAAAAATTAGACAGCAGCATCCTCAGAAACATCCTTGTGATGTGTGCATTCAAGTCACAGAGTTGAACATTCCCTTTCATACAGCAGTTTTGAAACACTCTTTCTGTAGTATCTGGAAGTGAACTTTAGGAGAGCTTTCAGGTCTATAGTGAGAAAGGATATATCTTCAAATAAAAACTAGACAGAAGCATTCTCATAAACTTGTTCGTGATGTGTGAACTCAGCTAACACACGTGGATCTTTCTTTTGATAGAGCAGTTCTGAAAAACACTTTTTGTTAAATCTGCAAGAGGACATTTGGATAGATTAGAAGATTTCGTTGGAAACGGGAATATCTTCATATCAAATCTAGACAGAAGCATTCTCAGAAACGTCTTTGTGATGTTTGCATTCAACTCATAGAGTTGAACATTCCCTTTCATAGAGCAGCTTTGAAGCACTCTTTTTGTAGTATGTGCAAGCGGATATTTGGAGCACTCTGAGGCCTAAAGTGAAAAAGAAAATATCTTCCCATAACCACTAGACAGAAACATTCTCAGAAACTCCTTTATGACGTATGCACTCACCTAACAGAGAAGAACCTTCCTTTTGACAGAGCAGTTTTGATACACTCTTTTTGTAGAATCTGCAAGTGGATATTTGGATAGCTGTGAAGATTTCGTTGGAAACGGTAATATCTTCCTATAAAATCTAGACAGAAGCATTCTCAGAAACTGCTCTGTGATGTCTGCATTCAAGTCACAGAGTTGAACATTGCCTTTCATAGAGCAGGTTTGAAACGCTCTTTTTGTAGTATATGGAAGTGGACGTTTCGGACGGTTTGAGGCCCATGATGATAAAGGGAATATCTTCCCCTACAAGCTAGAAAGAAAGCATTCTGTGAAACTTGTTTGTGATGTGTGTACTCAACTAACTGAGTTGAACCTTTCTTTTTACAGAGCAGTTTTGAAACACTCTTTTTGTAGAATCTGTGAGGGGATATTTGGATAGATTTCAGGATTTCGTTGGAAACGGGAATATCTTCATATAAAATCTCGACAGAAGCATTCTCAGAAACTTCTTTGTGATATGTGCATTCAAGTCACCGAGTTGAATATTCCCTTTCACAGAGTAGGTTTGAAACACTCTTTTTGTAGTATCTGGAAGTGGACATTTGGAGCGCCTTGACGCCTATGGTGAAAAGGGAAATATCTTCCCATAAAAACTAGACAGAAAGCAATCTCAGAATCTTCTTTGGGATATATGCACGCAGCTAACAGAGTTGAACCTTTCTATTGACTGAGCAGATTTGAAACAGTCTTTCTGTGGAATCTGCAAGTGGATATTTGGATAGATTGGAGGATTTCGTTGGAAACGGGATTACGTATCAAAAGTAGACAGCAGCATCCTCAGAAACTTCTTTGTGATGTGTGCATTCAAGTCACAGAGTTGAACATTCCCTTTCGTACAGCAGTTTTGAAGCACTCTTTCTGTATTATCTGGGAGTGAACATTAGGACAGCTTTCAGGTCTATGGTGAGAAAGGAAATATCTTCAAATAAAAACTAGACAGAAGCATTCTCATAAACTTGTTTGTGATGTGTGAAGTCAGCTAACAGAGGTGGATCTTTCTTTTGATAGAGCAGTTCTGAAAAACACTTTTTGTTGAATCTGCAAGTGGACATTTGGATAGATTTGAAGATTTCGTTGGAAACGGGAATATCTTCATATCAAATCTAGACAAAAGGATTCTCGGAAACGTCTTTGTAATGTTTGCATTCAACTCATAGAGTTGAACATTCCGTTTCAGAGAGCAGCTTTGAAGCACTCTTTTTGTAGTATGTGCAAGTGGATATTTGGAGCGCTCTGAGGCCTACGGGGAAAAAGCAAATATCTTCCCATAAACACTAGACTGAAACATTCTCAGAAACTCCTTTATGACGTATGCACTCACCTAACAGAGAAGAACCTTCTTTTTGACAGAGCAGTTTTGATACACTCTTTTTGTAGAATCTGCAAGTGGATATTTGGATAGCTGTGAAGATTTCGTTGGAAACGGGAATATCTTCCTATAAAATCTAGACAGAAGCATTCTCAGAAACTACTCTGTGATGTCTGCATTCACGTCACAGAGTTGAACATTGCCTTTCATAGAGCAGGTTTGAAACACTCTTTTTGTAGTATATGGAAGTGGACGTTTCGGACGGTTTGAGGCCCATGGTGATAAAGGGAATATCTTCCCCTACAAGCTAGAAAGAAGCATTCTGTGAAACTTGCTTGTGATGTGTGTACTCAACTAACAGAGTTGAACCTTTCTTTTCACAGAGCAGTTTTGAAACACTCTTTTTGTAGAATCTGCGAGGGGATATTTGGATAGATTTCAGGATTTCGTTGGAAACGGGAATATCTTCATATAAAATCTCGACAGAAGCATTCTCAGAAACTTCCTTGTGATATGTGCATTCCAGTCACAGAGTTGAATATTCCCTTTCACAGAGTAGGTTTGAAACACTCTTTTTGTAGTATCTGGAAGTGGACATTTGGAGCGCCTTGACGCCTACGGTGAAAAGGGAAATATCTTCCCATAAAAACTAGACAGAAGCAATCTCAGAATCTTCTTTGGGATATATGCACGCAGCTATTAGAGTTGAACCTTTCTATTGACAGAGCAGTTTTGAAACAGTCTTTCTGTGGAATCTGCAAGTGGATATTTGGATAGCTTGGGGGATTTCTTTGGAAACGGGATTACGTATAAAAAGTAGACAGCAGCATCCTCAGAAACTATTTTGTGATGTGTGCATTCAAGTCACAGAGTTGAACATTCCCTTTCGTACAGCAGTTTTGAAACACTCTTTCTGTAGTATCTGGAAGTGAACATTAGGACAGCTTTCAGGTCTATGGTGAGAAAGGAAATATCTTCAAATAAAAACTAGACAGAAGCATTCTCATAAACTTGTTTGTAATGTGTGAACTCAGCTAACAGAGATGGGTCTTTCTTTTGATAGAGCAGTTCTGAAAAACACTTTTTGTTGAATCTGCAAGTGGACATTTGGATAGATTTGAAGATTTCGTTGGAAACGGGAATATCTTCATATCAAATCTAGACAGAAGCATTCTCAGAGACGTCTTTGTGATGTTTGCATTCAACTCATAGAGTTGAACATTCCCTTTCAGAGAGCAGCTTTGAAGCACTCTTTTTGTAGCATGTGCAAGTGGACATTTGGAGCGCCCTGAGGCCTACGGTGAAAAAGCAAATATCTTCCCATAACCACTAGACAGAAACATTCTCAGAAACTTCTTTATGACGTATGTTCTCAACTAGCAGAGAAGAACTTTCCTTTTGACAGAGCTTTTTTGATACACTCTTTTTGTAGTATCTGCAAGTGGATATTTGGATAGCTGTGAAGATTTCGTTGGAATCGGGAATATCTTCCTATAAAGTCTGGACAGAAGCATTCTCAGAAACTGCTCTGTGATGCCTGCATTCAAGTCACAGAGTTGAACATTGCCTTTCATAGAGCAGGTTTGAAACGCTCTTTTTGTAGTATATGGAAGTGGATGTTTCGGACGGTTGGAGGCCCATGGTGATAAAGGGAATATCTTCCCCTACAAGCTAGAAAGAAGCATTCTGTGAAACTTGTTTGTGATGTGTGTACTCAACTAACAGAGTTGAACCTTTCTTTTTACAGAGCAGTTTTGAAACACTCTTTTTGTAGAATCTGCGAGGGGATATTTCGATAGATTTCAGGATTTTGTTGGAAACGGGAATATCTTCATATAAAATCTCGACGGAAGCATTCTCAGAAACTTCTTTGTGATATGCGCATTCAAGTCACAGAGTTGAATATTCCCTTTCACAGAGTAGGTTTGAAACACTCTTTTTGTAGTATCTGGAAGTGGACATTTGGAGCGCCTTGACGCCTACGGTGAAAAGGGAAATATCTTCCCATAAAAACTAGACAGAAGCAATCTCAGAATCTTCTTTGGGATATATGTACGCAGCTAACAGAGTTGAACCTTTCTATTGACAGAGCAGATTTGAAACAGTCTTTCTGTGGAATCTGCAAGTGGATATTTGGATAGCTTGGAGGATTTCGTTGGAAACGGGATTACGTATAAAAAGTAGACAGCAGCATCCTCAGAAACTTCTTTGTGATGTGTGCATTCAAGTCACAGAGTTGAACATTCGCTTTCGTACAGCAGTTTTGAAACACTCTTTCTGTAGTATCTGGAAGTGAACATTAGGACAGCTTTCAGGTCTATGGTGAGAAAGGAAATATCTTCAAATAAAAACTAGACAGATAAGCATTCTGATAAACTTGTTTGTGAAGTGTGATCTCAGCTAACAGAGGTGGATCTTTCTTTTGATAGAGCAGTTCTGAAAAACACTTTGTTGAATCTGCAAGTGGACATTTGGATAGATTTGAAGATTTCGTTGGAAACGGGAATATCTTCATATCAAATCTAGACAGAAGCATTCTCAGAAACGTATTTGTTATGTTTGCATTCAACTCATAGAATTGAACATTCCCTTTCAGAGAGCAGCTTTGAAGCACTCTTTTTGTAGTATGTGCAAGGGGATATTTTGAGCGCTCTGAGGCCTAAGGTGAAAAAGCAAATATCTTCCCATAACCACTAGACACAAACATTCTCAGAAACTCCTTTACGACGTATGTACTCAACTAACAGAGAAGAACCTTCCTTTTGACAGAGCAGTTTTGATACACTCTTTTTGTAGAATCTGCAAGTGGATATTTGGATAGCTGTGAAGATTTCGTTGGAAACGGGAATATCTTCCTATAAAATCTAGACAGAAGCATTCTCAGAAACTGCTCTGTGATGTCTGTATTCAAGTCACAGAGTTGAACATTGCCTTTCATAGAGCAGGTTTGAAGCGCTCTTTTTGTAGTATATGGAAGTGGATGTTTCGGACGGTTGGAGGCCCATGGTGATAAAGGGAATATCTTCCCCTACAAGCTAGAAAGAAGCATTCTGTGAAACTTGTTTGTGATGTGTGTACTCAACTAACAGAATTGAACTTTTCTTTTTACAGAGCAGTTTTGAAACACTCTTTTTGTAGAATCTGCGAGGGGTTATTTGGATAGATTTCAGGATTTCGTTGGAAACGGGAATTTCTTCCTATAAAATCTTGACAGAAGCATTCTCAGAAACTTCCTTGTGACATGGGCATTCAAGTCACAGAGTTGAATATTCCCTTTCACAGAGTAGGTTTGAAACACTCTTTTTGTAGTATCTGGAAGTGGACATTTGGAGCGCCTTGACGCCTACGGTGAAAAGGGAAATATCTTCCCATAAAAACTAGACAGAAGCAATCTCAGAATCTTCTTTGGGATATATGCACGCAGCTAACAGAGTTGAACCTTTCTATTGACAGAGCAGTTTTGAAACAGTCTTTCTGTGGAATCTGTAAGTGGATATTTGGATAGCTTGGAGGATTTCGTTGGAAACGGGATTACGTATAAAAAGTAGACAGCAGCATCCTCAGAAACTTCTTTCTGATGTGTGCATTCAAGTCACAGAGTTGAACATTCCCTTTCGTACAGCAGTTTTGAAACACTCTTTCTGTAGTATCTGGAAGTGAACATTAGGACAGCTTTCAGCTCTATGGTGAGAAAGGAAATATCTTCAAATAAAAACTAGACCGAAGCATTCTCATAAACTTGTTTGTGATGTGTGAACTCAGCTAACAGAGGTGGATCTTTCTTTTGATAGAGCAGTTCTGGAAAACACTTTTTGTTGAATCTGCAAGTGGACATTTGGATAGATTTGAAGATTTCGTTGGAAACGGGAATATCTTCATATCAAATCTAGACAGAAGCATTCTGAGAAACGTCTTTGTGATGTTTGCATTCAACTCATAGAGTGTAACATTCCCTTTCAGAGAGCAGCTTTGAAGCACTCTTTTTGTAGTATGTGCAAGTGGATATTTGGAGCGCTCTGAGGCCTACGGTGAAAAAGCAAATATCTTCCCATAACCACTAGACAGAAACATTCTCAGAAACTTCTTTATGACGTATGTACTCAACTAGCAGAGTAAGAACTTTCCTTTTGACAGAGCATTTCTGATACACTCTTTTTGTACTATCTGCAAGTGGATATTTGGATAGCTGTGAAGATTTCGTTGGAAACGGGAATATCTTCCTATAAAGTCTGGACAGAAGCATTCTCAGAAACTGCTCTGTGATGTCTGCATTCAAGTCACAGAGTTGAACATTGCCTTTCATAGAGCAGGTTTGAAACGCTCTTTTTGTAGTATATAAAAGTGGACGTTTCGGACGGTTTGAGGCCCATGGTGATAAAGGGAATATCTTCCCCTACAACCTAGAAAGAAGCATTCTGAGAAACTTGTTTGTGATGTGTGTACTCAACTAAGAGAAGTGAAACTTTCTTTTTACAGAGCAGTTTTGAAACACTCTTTTTCTAGAATCTGCGAGGGGATATTTGGATAGATTACAGAATTTCGTTGTAAACGGGAATATCTTCATAAAAAATCTCGACAGAAGCATTCTCAGAAACTTCTCTGTGATATGTGCATTGAAGTCACCGAGTTAAATATTCCCTTCCACACAGTAGGTTTGAAACACTCTTTTTTTTTAGTATCTGGAAGTGGAAATTTGGAGCGCTTTGATGCCTATGGTGAAAAAGGAAATATCTTCCAATAAAAACTAGTCAGAAGCAATCTCAGAATCTTCTTTGGGATATATGCACGCAGCTAACAGAGTTGAACCTTTCTATTGCCAGAGCAGTCTTGAAACAGTCTTTCTGTGGAATCTGCAAGTGGATATTTGGATAGCTTGGAGGATTTCGTTGGAAACGGGATTACGTATAAAAAGTAGACAGCAGCATCCTCAGAAACTTCTTTGTGATGTGTGCATTCAAGTCACACAGTTGAACATTCCCTTTCGTACAGCAGTTTTGAAACACTCTTTCTGTAGTATCTGGAAGTGAACATTAGGACAGCTTTCAGCTCTATGTTGAGAAAGGAAATATCTTCAAATAAAAACTAGACAGAAAGCATTCTCATAAACTTGTTTGTGATGTGTGAACTCAGCTAACAGAGGTGGATCTTTCTTTTGATAGAGCAGTTCTGAAAAACACTTTTTGTTGAATCTGCAAGTGGACATTTGGATAGATTTGAAGATTTCGTTGGTAACGGGAATATCTTCATATCAAATCTAGACAGAAGCATTCTCAGAAACGTCTTTGTGCTGTTGGCATTCAACTCATAGAGTTGAACATTCCGTTTCAGAGAGCAGCTTTGAGGCACTCTTTTTGTAGTATGTGCAAGTGGATATTTGGAGCGCTCTGAGGCCTACGGTGAAAAAGCAAATATCTTCCCATAACCACTAGACAGAAACATTCTCAGAAACTCCTTTATGACGTATGCACTCACCTAACAGAGAAGAACCTTCCTTTTGACAGAGCAGTTTTGATACACTCTTTTTGTAGAATCTCCAAGTGGATATTTGGATAGCTGTGAAGATTTCGTTGGAAACGGGAATATCTTCTTATGAAATCTAGACAGAAGCATTCTCAGAAACTGCTCTGTGATGTCTGCATTCAAGTCACAGAGTTGAACATTGCCTTTCATAGAGCAGGTTTGAAAGGCTCTTTTTGTACTATATGGAAGAGGACGTTTCGAACGGTTTGAGGACCATGGTGATAAAGGGAATATCTTCCCCTACAAGCTAGAAAGAAGCATTCTGTGAAACTTGTTTGTGATGTGTGTACTCAACTAACAGAGTTGAACCTTTGTTTTTACAGAGCAGTTTTGAAACACTCTTTTTGTAGAATCTGCGAGCGGATATTTGGATAGATTTCAGGATTTCGTTGGAAACGGGAATATCTTCATATAAAATCTCGACAGAAGCATTCTCAGAAACTTCTTTGTGATATCTGCATTCAACTCACAGAGTTGAATATTCCCTTTCACAGAGTAGGTTTGAAACACTCTTTTTGTAGTATCTGGAAGTGGACATTTGGAGCGCCTTGACGCCTACGGTGAAAAGGGAAATATCTTCCCATAAAAACTAGACAGAAGCAATCTCAGAATCTTCTTTGGGATATATGCATGCAGCTAACAGAGTTGAACCTTTGTATTGACAGAGCAGTTTTGAAACAGTCTTTCTGTGGAATCTGCAAGTGGATATTTGGATAGCTTGGAGGATTTCGTTGGAAACGGGATTACGTATAAAAAGTAGACAGCAGCATCCTCAGAAACTTCTTTGTGATGTGTGCATTCAAGTCACAGTAGTTGAACATTCTCTTTCGTACAGCAGTTTTGAAATGCTCTTTCTGTAGTATCTGGAAGTGAACATTAGGACAGCTTTCAGGTCTATGGTGAGAAAGGAAATATCTTCAAATAAAAACTAGACAGAAGCATTCTAATAAACTTGTTTGTGATGTGTGAACTCAGCTAACACAGGTGGATCTTTCTTTTGATAGAGCAGTTCTGAAAAACACTTTTTGTTGAATCTGCAAGTGGACATTTGGATAGATTTGAAGATTTCGTTGGAAACGGGAATATCGTCATATCAAATCTAGACAGAAGCATTGTCAGAAACGTCTTTGTCATGTTTGCATTCAACTCATAGAGTTGAACATTCCGTTTCAGAGAGCAGCTTTGAAGCACTCTTTTTGTAGTATGTGCAAGCGGATATTTGGAGCGCTCTGAGGCCTACGGTGAAAAAGCAAATATCTTCCCATAACCACTAGACAGAAACATTCTCAGAAACTGCTTTATGACGTATGCACTCACCTAACAGAGAAGAACCTTCCTTTTGACAGAGCAGTTTTGATACACTCTTTTTGTAGAATCTTCAAGTGGATATTGGGATAGCTGTGAAGATTTCGTTGGAAACGGGAATATCTTCCTATAAAATCTAGACAGAAGCATTCTCAGAAACTGCTCTGTGATGTCTGCATTCAAGTCACAGAGTTGAACATTGCCTTTCATAGAGCAGGTTTGAAATGCTCTTTTTGTAGTATATGGAAGTGGATGTTTCAGACGGTTGGAGGCCCATGGTGATAAAGGGAATATCTTCCCCTACAAGCTAGAAAGAAGCATTCTGTGAAACTAGTTTGTGATGTGTGTACTCAACTAACAGAGTTGAACCTTTCTTTTTACAGAGCAGTTTTGAAACACTCTTTTTGTAGAATCTGCGAGGGGTTATTTGGATACATTTCAGCATTTCGTTGGAAACGGGAATATCTTCATATAAAATCTCGACAGAAGCATTCTCAGAAACTTCCTTGTGTTATGTGCATTCAAGTCACAGAGTTGAATATTCCCTTTCACAGAGTAGGTTTGAAACACTCTTTTTGTAGTATCTGGAAGTGGACATTTGGAGCGCCTGGACGCCTACGGTGAAAAGGGAAATATCTTCCCATAAAAACTAGACAGAAGCAATCTCAGAATCTTCTTTGGGATATATGCACGCAGCTAACAGAGTTGAACCTTTCTATTGACAGAGCAGTTTTGAAACAGTCTTTCTGTGTAATCTGCAAGTGGATATTTGGTTAGATTGGAGGATTTCGTTGGAAACGGGATTACGTATAAATAGTAGACAGCAACATCCTCAGAAACTTCTTTGTGATGTGTGCATTCAAGTCACAGAGTTGAACATTCCCTTTCGTACAGCAGTTTTGAAACACTCTTTCTGTAGTATCTGGAAGTGAACATTAGGACAGCTTTCAGGTCTATGGTGAGAAAGGAAATACCTTCAAATAAAAACTAGACAGAAGCATTCTCATAAACTTGTTTGTGATGTGTGAACTCAGCTAACGGAGGTGGATCTTTCTTTTGATAGAGCAGTTCTGAAAAACACTTTTTGTTGAATCTGCAAGTGGACATTTGGATAGATTTGAAGATTTCTTTGGAAACGGGAATATCTTCATATCAAATCTAGACAGAAGCATTTTCAGAAACGTCTTTGTGATGTTTACATTCAACTCATAGAGTTGAACATTCCGTTTCAGAGAGCAGATTTGAGGCACTCTTTTTGTAGTATGTGCAAGTGGATATTTGGAGCGCTCTGAGGCCTACGGTGAAAAAGCAAATATCTTCCCATAACCACTAGACAGAAACATTCTCAGAAACTCCTTTATGACGTATGTACTCAACTAACAGAGAAGAACCTTCCTTTTGACAGAGCAGTTTTGATACACTCTTTTTGAAGAATCTGCAAGTGGATATTTGGATAGCTGTGAAGATTTCGTTGGAAACGGGAATATCTTCCTATAAAATCTAGACAGAAGCATTCTCAGAAACTGCTCTGTGATGTCTGCATTCAAGTCACAGAGTTGAACATTGCCTTTCATAGAGCAGGTTTGAAACGCTCTTTTTGTAGTATATGAAAGTGGATGTTTCGGACGGTTGGAGGCCCATGGTGATAAAGGGAATATCTTCCCCTACAAGCTAGAAAGAAGCATTCTGTGAAACTTGTTTGTGATGTGTGTACTCAACTAACAGAGTTGAACCTTTCTTTTTACAGAGCAGTTTTGAAACACTCTTTTTGTAGAATCTGCGAGGGGATATTTGGATAGATTTCACGATTTCGTTGGAAACGGGAATATCTTCATAGAAAATCTCGACAGAAGCATTCTCAGAAACTTCTTTGTGATATGTGCATTCAATTCACAGAGTTGAATATTCCCTTTCACAGAGTAGGTTTGAAACACTCTTTTTGTAGTATCTGGAAGTGGACATTTGGAGCGCCTTGACACCTACGGTGAAAAGGGAAATATCTTCCCATAAAAACTAGACAGAAGCAATCTCAGAATCTTCTTTGGGATATATGCACGCAGCTAACAGAGTTGAACCTTTCTATTGACAGAGCAGTTTTGAAACACTCTTTCTGTGGAATCTGCAAGTGGATATTTGCATAGATTGGAGGATTTCGTTGGAAACGGGATTACGTATAAAAAGTAGACAGCAGCATCCTCAGAAACTTCTTTGTGATGTGTGCATTCAAGTCACAGAGTTGAACATTCCCTTTCGTACAGCAGTTTTGAAACACTCTTTCTGTAGTATCTGGAAGTGAACATTAGGACAGCTTTCAGGTCTATGGTGAGAAAGCAAATATCTTCAAATAAAAACTAGACAGAAGCATTCTCATAAACTTGTTTGTGATGTGTGAACTCAGCTTACAGAGGTGGATCTTTCTTTTGATAGAGCAGTTCGGAAAAACACTTTTTGTTGAATCTGCAAGTGGACATTTGGATAGATTTGAAGATTTCTTTGGAAACGGGAATATCTTCATATCAAATCTAGAGAGAAGCATTCTCAGAAACGTCTTTGTGATGTTTGCATTCAACTCATAGAGTTGAACATTCCCTTTCAGAGAGCAGCTTGGAAACACTCTTTTTGTAGTATGTGCAAGTGGATATTTGGAGCGCTCTGAGGCCTACGGTGAAAAAGCAAATATCTTCCCATAAACACTAGACAGAAACATTCTCAGAAACTTCTTTATGACGTATGTACTCAACTAGCAGAGAAGAACTTTCCTTTTGACAGAGCATTTTTCATACACTCTTTTGTAGTATCTGCAAGTGGATATTTCGATAGCTGTGAAGATTTCGTTGGAAACGGGAATATCTTCCTATAAAGTCTGGACAGAAGCATTCTCAGAAACTGCTCTGTGATGTCTGCATTCAAGTCACAGAGTTGAACATTGCCTTTCATAGAGCAGGTTTGAAACGCTCTTTTTGTAGTATATGGAAGTGGACTTATCGGACGGTTTGAGGCCCATGGTGATAAAGGGAATATCTTCCTCTACAAGCTAGAAAGAAGCATTCTGTGAAACTTGTTTGTGATGTGTGTACTCAGCTAACAGAGTTGAACCTTTCTTTTTACAGAGCGGTTTTGAAACACTCTTTTTGTAGAATCTGCAAGGGGATATTTGGATAGATTTCAGGATTTCGTTGGAAACGGGAATATCTTCATATAAAATCTCGACAGAAGCATTCTCAGAAACTTCTTTGTAATATGTGCATTCTAGTCACAGAGTTGAATATTCCCTTTCACAGAGTAGGTTTGAAACACTCTTTTTGTAGTATCTGGAAGTGGACATTTGGAGCGCCTTGACACCTACGGTGAAAAGGGAAATATCTTCCCATAAAAACTAGACAGAGGCAATCTCAGAATCTTCTTTGGGATATATGCACGCAGCTAACAGAGTTGAACCTTTCTATTGACAGAGCAGTTTTGAAACAGTCTTTCTGTGGAATCTGCAAGTGGATATTTGGATAGCTTGGAGGATTTCGTTGGAAACGGGATTACGTATAAAAAGTAGACAGCAGCATCCTCAGAAACTTCTTTGTGATGTGTGCATTCAAGTCACAGAGTTGAACATTCCCTTTCGTACGGCAGTTTTGAAACACTCCTTCTGTAGTATCTGGAAGTGAACATTAGGACAGCTTTCAGGTCTATGGTGAGAAAGGAAATATCTTCAAATAAAAACTAGACAGAAAGCATTCTCATAAACTTGTTTGTGATGTGTGAACTCAGCTAACAGAGGTGGATCTTTCTTTTGATAGAGCAGTTCTGAAAAACACATTTTGTTGAATCTGCAAGTGGACATTTGGATAGATTTGAAGATTTCGTTGGAAACGGGAATATCTTCATATCAAATCTAGACAGAAGCATTCTCAGAAACGTCTTTGTGATGTTTGCATTCAACTCATAGAGTTGAACATTCGGTTTCAGAGAGCAGCTTTGAGGCACTCTTTTTGTAGTATGTGCAAGTGGATATTTGGAGCGCTCTGAGGCCTAGGGTGAAAAAGCAAATATCTTCCCATAACCACTAGACAGAAACATTCTCAGAAACTCCTTTATGACGTATGCACTCACCTAACAGAGAAGAACCTTCCTTTTGACAGAGCAGTTTTGATACACTCTTTTTGTGGAATCTGCAAGTGGATATTTGGATAGCTGTGAAGATTTCGTTGGAAACGGGAATATCTTCCTATAAAATCTAGACAGAAGCATTCTCAGAAACTGCTCTGTGATGTCTGCATTCAAGTCACAGAGTTGAACATTGCCTTTCATAGAGGAGGTTTGAAACGCTCTTTTTGTAGTATATGGAACTGGATGTTTCGGACGGTTGGAGGCCCATGGTGATAAAGGGAATATCTTCCCCTACAAGCTAGAAAGAAGCATTCTGTGAAACTTGTTTGTGATGTGTGTACTCAACTAACAGAGTTGAACCTTTCTTTTTACAGAGCAGTTTTGAAACACTCTTTTTGTAGAATCTGCGAGGGGATATTTGGATACATTTCAGCATTTCGTTGGAAACGGGAATATCTTCATATAAAATTTCGACAGAAGCATTCTCAGAAACTTCTTTGTGATATCTGCATTCAAGTCACAGAGTTGAATATTCCCTTTCACAGAGTAGGTTTGAAACACTCTTTTTGTAGTATCTGGAAGTGGACATTTGGAGCGCCTTGACACCTACGGTGAAAAGGGAAATATCTTCCCATAAAAAATAGACAGAAGCAATCTCAGAATCTTCTTTGGGATATATGCACGCAGCTAACAGAGTTGAACCTTTCTATTGACAGAGCAGTTTTGAAACAGTCTTTCTGTGGAATCTGCAAGTGGATATTTGGATAGCTTGGAGGATTTCGTTGGAAACGGGATTAAGTATAAAAAGTAGAGAGCAGCATCCTCAGAAACTTCTTTGTGATGTGTGCATTCAAGTCACAGAGTTGAACATTCCCTTTCGTACAGCAGTTTTGAAACACTCTTTCTGTTGTATCTGGAAGTGAACATTAGGACAGCTTTCAGGTCTATGGTGAGAAAGGAAATATCTTCAAATAAAAACTAGACAGATGCATTCTCATAAACTTGTTTGTGATGTCTGAACTCAGCTAACAGAGGTGGATCTTTCTTTTGATAGAGCAGTTCTGAAAAACACTTTTTGTTGAATCTGCAAGTGGACATTTGGATAGATTTGAAGATTTCGTTGGAAACGGGAATATCTTCATATCAAATCTAGACAGAAGCATTCTCAGAAACGTCTTTGTGATGTTTGCATTCAACTCATAGAGTTGAACATTCCGTTTCAGAGAGCAGCTTTGAAGCACTCTTTTTGTAATATGTGCAAGTGGATATTTGGAGCGCTCTGAGGCCTACGGGGAAAAAGCAAATATCTTCCCATAACCACTAGACAGAAACATTCTGAGAAACTCCTTTATGACGTATGCACTCACCTAACAGAGAAGAACCTTCCTTTTGCCAGAGCATTTTTGATACACTCTTTTTGTAGAATCTGAAAGTGGATATTTGGATAGCTGTGAAGATTTCGTTGGAAACGGGAATATCTTCCTATAAAATCTAGACAGAAGCATTCTCAGAAACTGCTCTGTGATGTCTACATTCAAGTCACAGAGTTGAACATTGCCTTTCATAGAGCAGGTTTGAAACGCTCTTTTTGTAGTATATGGAAGTGGACGTATCGGACGGTTTGAGGCCCATGGTGATAAAGGGAATATCTTCCCCTACAAGCTAGAAAGAAGCATTGTGTGAAACTTGTTTGTGATGTGTGTACTCAACTAACAGAGTTGAACCTTTCTTTTCACAGAGCAGTTTTGAAACACTCTTTTTGTAGAATCTGCGAGCGGATATTTGGATAGATTTCAGGATTTCGATGGAAACGGGAATATCTTCATATAAAATCTCGACAGAAGCATTCTCAGAAACTTCTTTGTGATATGTGCATTCAAGTCACAGAGTTGAATATTCCCTTTCACAGAGTAGGTTTGAAACACTCTTTTTGTAGTATCTGGAAGTGGACATTTGGAGCGCCTTGACACCTACTGTGAAAAGGGAAATATCTTCCCATAAAAACTAGACAGAAACAATCTCAGAATCTTCTTTGGGATATATGCACGCAGCTAACAGAGTTGAACCTTTCTATTGACAGAGCAGTTTTGAAACAGTCTTTCTGTGGAATCTGCAAGTGTATATTTGGATAGCTTGGAGGATTTCGTTGGAAACGGGATTACGTATAAAAAGTAGACAGCAGCATCCTCAGAAACTTCTTTGTGATGTGTGCATTCAAGTCACAGAGTTGAACATTCCCTTTCGTACAGCAGTTTTGAACCACTCTTTCTGTAGTAACTGGAAGTGAACATTAGGACAGCTTTCAGGTCTATGGTGAGAAAGGAAATATCTTCAAATAAAAACTAGACAGAAAGCATTCTCATAAACTTGTTTGTGATGTGTGAACTCAGCTAACAGAGGTGGATCTTTCTTTTGATAGAGCAGTTCTGAAAAACACTTTCTGTTGAATCTGCAAGTGGACATTTGGATAGATTTGAAGATTTCGTTGGAAACGGGAATATCTTCATATCAAATCTAGACAGAGCATTCTCAGAAACGTCTTTGTGATGTTTGCATTGAACTCATAGAGTTGAACATTCCCTTTCAGAGAGCAGCTTTGAAGCACTCTTTTTGTAGTATGTTCAAGTGGACATTTGGAGCGCTCTGAGGCCTATGGGGAAAAAGCAAATATCTTCCCATAACAACTAGACAGAAACATTCTCAGAAACTTCTTTATGACGTATGTACTCAACTAGCAGAAAAGAACTTTCCTTTTGACAGAGCTTTTTTGATACACTCTTTTTGTAGTATCTGCAAGTGGATATTTGGATAGATGTGAAGATTTCGTTGGAATCGGGAATATCTTCCTATAAAGTCTGGACAGAAGCATTCTCAGAAACTGCTCTGTGATGTCTGCATTCAAGTCACAGAGTTGAACATTGCCTTTCATAGAGCAGGTTTGAAACGCTCTTTTTGTAGTATATGGAAGTGGACTTATCGGACGGTTTGAGGCCCATGGTGATAAAGGGAATATCTTCCCCTACAACCTAGAAAGAAGCATTCTGTGAAACTTGTTTGTGATGTATGTACTCAACTAACAGAGTTGAACCTTTCTTTTTACAGAGCAGTTTTGAAACACTCTTTTTGTAGAATCTGCGAGGGGATATTTGGATACATTTCAGGATTTCGTTGGAAACGGGAATATCTTCATATAAAATCTCGACAGAAGCATTCTCAGAAACTTCTTTGTGATATCTGCATTCAAGTCACAGAGTTGAATATTCCCTTTCACTGAGTAGGTTTGAAACACTCTTTTTGTAGTATCTGGAAGTGGACATTTGGAGCGCCTTGACGCCTACGGTGAAAAGGGAAATATCTTCCCATAAAAACTAGGCAGAAGAAATCTCCGAATCTTCTTTGGGATATATGCACGCAGCTAACAGAGTTGAACCTTTCTATTGACAGAGCAGTTTTGAAACAGTCTTTCTGTGGAATCTGCAAGTGGATATTTGGATAGCTTGGAGGATTTCGTTGGAAAAGGGATTATGTATAAAAATTAGACAGCAGCATCCTCAGAAACTTCTTTGTGATGTGTGCATTCAAGTCACAGAGTTGAACATTCCCTTTCATACAGCAGTTTTGAAACGCTCTTTCTGTAGTATCTGGAAGTGAACTTTAGGACAGCTTTCAGGTCTATGGTGAGAAAGGAAATATCTTCAAATAAAAACTAGACAGAAGCATTCTCATAAACTTGTTTGTGATGTCTGAACTCAGCTAACAGGAGGTGGATCTTTCTTTTGATAGAGCAGTTCTGAAAAACACTTTTTTTTGAATCTGCAAGTGGACATTTGGATAGATTTGAAGATTTCGTTGGAAACGGGAATATCTTCATATCAAATCTAGACAGAAGCATTCTCAGAAACGTCTTTGTGATGTTTGCATTCAACTCATAGAGTTGAACATTCCCTTTCAGAGAGCAGCTTTGGAGCACTCTTTTTGTAGCATGTGCAAGTGGACATTTGGAGCGCCCTGAGGCCTACGGGGAAAAAGCAAATATCTTCCCATAACCACTAGACAGAAACAATCTCAGAAACTTCTTTATGGCGTATGTACTCAACTAGCAGAGAAGAACTTTCCTTTTGACAGAGCACTTTTGATACACTCTTTTTGTAGTATCTGCAAGTGGATATTTGGATAGCTGTGAAGATTTCGTTGGAATCGGGAATATATTCCTATAAAGTCCGGACAGAAGCATTCTCAGAAACTGCTCTGTGATGTCTGCATTCAAGTCACAGAGTTGAACATTGCCTTTCATACAGCAGGTTTGAAACGCTCTTTTTGTAGTATATGGAAGTGGATGTTTCCGACGGTTGGAGGCCCATGGTGATAAAGGGAATATCTTCCCCTACAAGCTAGAAAGAAGCATTCTGTGAAACTTGTTTGTGATGTGTGTACTCAACTAACAGAGTTGAACCTTTCTTTTCACAGAGCAGTTTTGAAACACTCTTTTTGTAGAATCTGCGAGGGGATATTTGGATAGATTTCAGGATTTCGTTGGAAACGGGAATATCTTCATTTAAAATCTCGACAGAAGCATTCTCAGAAACGTCTTTGTGATATGTGCATTCAAGTCACAGAGTTGAATATTCCCTTTCACAGAGTAGGTTTGAAACACTCTTTTTGTAGTATCTGGAAGTGGACATTTGGAGCGCCTTGACGCCTACGGTGAAAAGGGAAATATCTTCCCATAAAAACTAGACAGAAGCAATCTCAGAATCTTCTTTGGGATATATGCACGCAGCTAACAGAGTTGAACCTTTCTATTGACAGAGCAGTTTTGAAACAGTCTTTCTGTGGAATCTGCAAGTGGATATTTGGATAGCTTGGAGGATTTCGTTGGAAACGGGATTACGCATAAAAAGTAGACGGCACCATCCTCAGAAACTTCTTTGTGATGTGTGCATTCAAGTCACAGAGTTGAACATTCCCTTTCGTACAGCTGTTTTGAAACACTCTTTCTGTAGTAACTGGAAGTGAACATTAGGACAGCTTTCAGGTCTATGGTGAGAAAGGAAATATCTTCAAATAAAAACTAGACAGAAGCATTCTCATAAACTTGTTTGTGATGTGTGAACTCAGCTAACAGAGGTGGATCTTTCTTTTGATAGAGCAGTTCTGAAAAACACTTTTTGTTGAATCTGCAAGTGGACATTTGGATAGATTTGAAGATTTCGTTGGAAACGGGAATATCTTCATATTAAGTCTAGACAGAAGCATTCTCGGAAACGTCTTTGTGATGTTTGCATTCAACTCATAGAGTTGAACATTCCGTTTCAGAGAGCAGCTTTGAAGCACTCTTTTTGTAGTATGTGCAAGGGGATATTTGGAGCGCTCTGAGGCCTAAGGTGAAAAAGCAAATATCTTCCCATAACCACTAGACAGAAACATTCTCAGAAACTCCTTTATGACGGTATGCACTCACCTAACAGAAAATAACCTTCCTTTTGACAGAGCAGTTTAGATACACTCTTTTTGTAGAATCTGCAAGTGGATATTTGGATAGCTGTGAAGATTTCGTTGGAAACGGGAATATCTTCCTATAAAATCTAGACAGAAGCATTCTCAGAAACTGCTCTGTGATGTCTGCATTCAAGTCACAGAGTTGAACATTGCCTTTCATAGAGCAGGTTTGAAACGCTCTTTTTGTAGTATATAGAAGTGGACTTATCGGACGGTTTGAGGCCCATGGTGATAAAGGGAATATCTTCCCCTACAAGCTAGAAAGAAGCATTGTGTGAAACTTGTTTGTGATGTGTGTACTCAACTAACAGAGTTGAACTTTTCTTTTTACAGAGCAGTTTTGAAACACTCTTTTTGTAGAATCTGCGAGGGGATATTTGGATAGATTTCAGGATTTCGTTGGAAACGGGAATATCTTCATATAAAATCTCGACAGAAGCATTCTCAGAAACTTCTTTGTGATATGTGCATTCAAGTCACAGAGTTGAATATTCCCTTTCACAGAGTAGGTTTGAAACACTCTTTTTGTTGTATCTGGAAGTGGACATTTGGAGCGCCTTGACACCTACGGTGAAAAGGGAAATATCTTCTCATAAAAAGTAGACAGAAGTAATCTCAGAAACTTCTTTGGGATATATGCACGCAGCTAACAGAGTTGAACCTTTCTATTGACAGAGCAGTTTTGAAACAGTCTTTCTGTGGAATCTGCAAGTGAATATTTGGATAGCTTGGAGGATTTCGTTGGAAACGGGATTACGTATAAAAAGTAGACAGCAGCATCCTCAGAAACTTCTTTGTGATGTGTGCATTCAAGTCACAGAGTTGAACATTCCCTTTCGTACAGCAGTTTTGAAACACTCTTTCTGTAGTATCTGGAAGTGAACATTAGGACAGATTTCAGGTCTATGGTGAGAAAGGAAATATCTTCAAATAAAAACTAGACAGAAGCATTCTGATAAACTTGTTTGTGAAGTGTGATCTCAGCTAACAGAGGTGGATCTTTCTTTTTATAGAGCAGTTCTGAAAAACACTTTGTTGAATCTGCAAGTGGACATTTGGATAGATTTGAAGATTTCGTTGGAAACGGGAATATCTTCATATCAAATCTAGACAGAAGCATTCTCAGAAACGTCTTTGTGATGTTTGCATTCAACTCATAGAGTTGAACATTCCGCTTCAGAGAGCAGCTTTGAAGCACTCTTTTTGTAGCATGTGCAAGTTGACATTTGGAGCGCTCAGAGGCCTACGGGGAAAAAGCAAGTATCTTCCCATAACCACTAGACAGAAACATTCTCAGAAACTCCATTATGACGTATGCACTCAACTAACAGAGAACAACCTTCCTTTTGACAGAGCAGTTTTGATACACTCTTTTTGTAGAATCTGCAAGTGGATATTTGGATAGCTGTGAAGATTTCGTTGGAAACGGGAATATCTTCCTATAAAATCTAGACAGGCAGCATCCTCAGAAACTGCTTTGTGATATCTGCATTCAAGTCACAGAGTTGAACATTCCCTTTCATGGAGCAGGTTTGAAATGCTCTTTTTGTTACATGTGGAAGTGGACGTTTCGAACGGTTTGAGACCCATGGTGATAAAGGAAATATCTTCCCCCACAAGCTAAGAAGAGCATTCTGTGAAACTTGTTTGTGATATGTGTACTCAACTAACATAGTTGAACCTTTCTTTTTACAGAGCAGTTTTGAAACACTCTTTTTGTAGAATCTGCGAGGGGATATTTGGATAGATTTCAGGATTTCGTTGGAAACGGGAATATCTTCATATAAAATCTCGAAAGAAGCATTCTCAGAAACTTCTTTGTGATATGTGCATTCAAGTCACAGAGTTGAATATTCCCTTTCACAGAGTAGGTTTGAAACACTCTTTTTGTAGTATCTGGAAGTGGATATTTGGAGCGCCTTGACACCTACGGTGAAAAGGGAAGTATCTTCCCATCAAAACTAGACAGAAGCAATCTCAGAATCTCCTTTGGGATATATGCACGCAGCTAACAGAGTTGAACCTTTCTATTGACAGAGCAGTTTTGAAACAGTCTTTCTGTGGAATCTGCAAGTGGATATTTGGATAGCTTGGAGGATTTCGTTGGAAACGGGATTACGTATAAAAACTAGACAGCAGCATCCTCAGAAACTTCTTTGTGATGTGTGCATTCAAGTCACAGAGTTGAACATTCCCTTTCGTACAGCAGTTTTGAAACACTCTTTCTGTAGTATCTGGAAGTGAACATTAGGACAGCTTTCAGGTCTATGGTGATAAAGGAAATATCTTCAAATAAAAACTAGACAGAAGCATTCTCATAAACTTGTTTCTGATGTGTGAACTCAGCTAACAGAGGTGGATCTTTCTTTTGATAGAGCAGTTCTGAAAAACACTTTTTGTTGAATCTGCAAGTGGATATTTGGATAGATTTGAAGATTTCGTTGGAAACGGGCATATCTTCATATCAAATCTAGACAGAAGCATTCTCAGAAACGTCTTTGTGATGTTTGCATTCAACTCATAGAGTTGAACATTCCGTTTCAGAGAGCAGCTTTGAGGCACTCTTTTTGTAGTATGTGCAAGTGGATATTTGGAGCGCTCTGAGGCCTACGGTGAAAAAGCAAATATCTTCCCATAACCACTAGTCAGAAACATTCTCAGAAACTCCTTTATGACGTATGTACTCAACTAGCAGAGAAGAACTTTCCTTTTGACAGAGCATTTTTGATACACTCTTTTTGTACTATCTGCAAGTGGATATTTGGATAGCTGTGAAGATTTCGTTGGAAACGGGAATATCTTCCTATAAAGTCTGGACAGAAGCATTCTCAGAAACTGCTCTGTGATGTCTGCATTCAAGTCACAGAGTTGAACATTGCCTTTCATACAGCAGGTTTGAAACGCTCTTTTTGTAGTATAGGGAAGTGGACTTTTCGGACGGTTTGAGGACCACGATGATAAAGGGGAATCTTCCCCTACAAGCTAGAAAGAAGCATTCTGTGAAACTTGTTTGTGATGTGTGTACTCAACTAACAGAGTTGAACCTTTCTTTTTACAGAGCAGTTTTGAAACACTCTTTCTGTAGAATCTGTGAGGGGATATTTGGATAGATTTCAGGATTTCGGTGGAAACGGGAATATCTTCATATAAAATCTCGACAGAAGCATTCTCAGAAACTTCTTTGTGATATGTGCATTCAAATCACTGAGTTGAATATTCCCTTTCACAGAGTAGGTTTGAAACACTCTTTTTGTAGTATCTGGAAGTGGACATTTGGAGCGCCTTGACGCCTACGGTGAAAAGGGAAATATCTTCCCATAAAAACTAGACAGAAGCAATCTCAGAATCTTCTTTGGGATATATGCACGCAGCTAACAGAGTTGAACCTTTCTATTGACAGAGCAGTTTTGAAACAGTCTTTCTGTGGAATCTGCAAGTGGATATTTGGATAGCTTGGAGGATTTCGTTGGAAACGGGATTAAGTATAAAAAGTACACAGCAGCATCATCAGAAACTTCTTTGTGATGTGTGCATTCAAGTCACAGAGTTGAACATTCCCTTTCGTACAGCAGTTTTGAAACACTCTTTCTGTAGTATCTGGAAGTGAACATTAGGACAGCTTTCAGCTCTATGGTGAGAAAGGAAATATCTTCAAATAAAAACTAGACAGAAGCATTCTCATAAACTTGTTTGTGATGTGTGAACTCAGCTAACAGACGTGGATCTTTCTTTTGATACAGCAGTTTTGAAAAACACTTTTTGTTGAATCTGCAAGTGGACATTTGGATAGATATGAAGATTTCGTTGGAAACGGGAATATCTTCATATCAAATACTAGACAGAAGCATTCTCAGAAACGTCTTTGCGATGTTTGCATTCAACTCATAGAGTTGAACATTCCGTTTCAGAGAGCAGCTTTGAGGCACTCTTTTTGTAGTATGGGCAAGTGGATATTTGGAGCGCTCTGAGGCCTACGGTGAAAGAGCAAATATCTTCCCATAACCACTAGACAGAAACATTCTCAGAAACTCCTTTATGACGTATGCACTCACCTAACAGAGAAGAACCTTCCTTTTGACAGAGCAGTTTTGATACACTCTTTTTGTAGAATCTGCAAGTGGATATTCGGATAGCTGTGAAGATTTCGTTGGAAACGGGAATATCTTCCTATAAAATCTAGACAGAAGCATTCTCAGAAACTGCTCTGTGATGTCTGCATTCAAGTCACAGAGTTGAACATTGCCTTTCATAGAGCAGGTTTGAAACGCTCTTTTTGTAGTATATTGAAGTGGACGTTTCGGACGGTTTGAGGCCCATGGTGATAAAGGGAATATCTTCCCCTACAAGCTAGAAAGAAGCATTCTGTGAAACTTGTTTGAGATGTGTGTACTCAACTAACAGAGTTGAACCTTTCTTTTTACAGAGCAGTTTTGAAACACTCTTTTTGTAGAATCTGCGAGGGGATATTTGGATAGATTTCAGGATTTCGTTGGAAACGGGAATATCTTCATATAAAATCTCGACAGAAGCATTCTCAGAAACTTCTTTGTGATATGTGCATTCAAGTCACAGAGTTGAATATTCCCTTTCACAGAGTAGGTTTGAAACACTCTTTTTGTAGTATCTGGAAGTGGACATTTGGAGCGCCTTGACACCTACGGTGAAAAGCGAAATATCTTCCCATAAAAACTAGACAGAAGCAATCTCAGAATCTTCTTTGGGATATATGCACGCAGCTAACAGAAGTTGAACCTTTCTATTGACAGAGCAGTTTTGAAACAGTCT
Source organism: Homo sapiens (assembly GCF_000001405.40). Classification (NCBI taxonomy): domain Eukaryota; kingdom Metazoa; phylum Chordata; class Mammalia; order Primates; family Hominidae; genus Homo; species Homo sapiens. The sequence continues at coordinate 11,226,150 of NC_000021.9, forward strand.
TTCTGTGGAATCTGCAAGTGGATATTTGGATAGCTTGGAGGATTTCGTTGGAAACGGGATTACGTATAAAAAGTAGACAGCAGCATCCTCAGAAACTTCTTTGTGATGTGTGCATTCAAGTCACAGAGTTGAACATTCCCTTTCGTACAGCAGTTTTGAATCACTCTTTCTGTAGTAACTGGAAGTGAACATTAGGACAGCTTTCAGGTCTATGGTGAGAAAGGAAATATCTTCAAATAAAAACTAGACAGAAGCATTCTCATAAACTTGTTTGTGATGTGTGAACTCAGCTAACAGAGGTGGATCTTTCTTTTGATAGAACAGTTCTGAAAAACACTTTTTGTTGAATCTGCAAGTGGACATTTGGATAGATTAGAAGATTTCGTTGGAAACGGGAATATCTTCATATCAAATCTACACAGAAGCATTCTCAGAAAGGTCTTTGTGATGTTTGCATTCAACTCATAGAGTTGAACATTCCCTTTCAGAGAGCAGCTTTGAAGCACTCTTTTTGTAGTATGTGCAAGGGGATATTTGGAGCGCTCTGAGGCCTAAGGTGAAAAAGCAAATATCTTCCCATAACCACTAGACAGAAACATTCTCAGAAACTCCTTTATGACGTGTGCACTCACCTAACAGAGAAGAACCTTCCTTTTGACAGAGCATTTTTGATACACTCTTTTTGTAGAATCTGCAAGTGGATATTTGGATAGCTGTGAAGATTTCGTTGGAAACGGGAATACCTTCCAATAAAATCTAGACAGAAGCATTCTCAGAAACTGCTCTGTGATGTCTGCATTGAAGTCACAGAGTTGAACATTGCCTTTCATAGAGCAGGTTTGAAACGCTCTTTTTGTAGTATATGGAAGTGGACGTTTCGGACGGTTTGAGGCCCATGGTGATAAAGGGAATATCTTCCCCTACAAGCTAGAAAGAAGCATTCTGTGAAACTTGTTTGTGATGTGTGTACTCAGCTAACAGAGTTGAACCTTTCTTTTTACAGAGCAGTTTTGAAACACTCTTTTTGTAGAATCTGCGAGGGGATATTTGGATAGATTTCAGGATTTTGTTGGAAACGGGAATATCTTCATATAAAATCTCGACAGAAGCATTCTTAGAAACTTCTTTGTGATATCTGCATTCAAGTCACAGAGTTGAATATTCCCTTTCACAGAGTAGGTTTGAAACACTCTTTTTGTAGTATCTGGAAGTGGACATTTGGAGCGCCTTGACGCCTACGGTGAAAAGGGAAATATCTTCCCATAAAAACTAGACAGAAGCAATATCAGAATCTTCTTTGGGATATATGCACGCAGCTAACAGAGTTGAACCTTTCTATTGACAGAGCCGTTTTGAAACAGTCTTTCTGTGGAATCTGCAAGTGGATATTTGGATAGCTTGGAGGATTTCGTTGGAAACGGGATTACGTATAAAAAGTAGACAGCAGCATCCTCAGAAACTTCTTTGTGATGTGTGCATTCAAGTCACAGAGTTGAACATTCCCTTTCGTACAGCAGTTTTGAAACACTCTTTCTGTAGTATCTGGAACTGAACATTAGGACAGCTTTCAGGTCTATGGTGAGAAAGGAAATATCTTCAAATAAAAACTAGACAGAAAGCATTCTCATAAACTTGTTTGTGATGTGTGAACTCAGCTAACACACGTGGATCTTTCTTTTGATAGAGCAGTTCTGAAAAACACTTTTTGTTGAATCTGCAAGTGGACATTTGGATAGATTTGAAGATTTCGTTGGAAACGGGAATATCTTCATATCAAATCTAGACAGAAGCATTCTCAGAAACGTCTTTGTGATGTTAGCATTCAACTCATAGAGTTGAACATTCCCTTTCAGAGAGCAGCTTTGAAGCACTCTTTTTGTAGTATGTGCAAGTGGATATTTGGAGCGCTCTGAGGCCTATGGTGAAAAAGCAAATATCTTCCCATTACCACTAGACAGAAACATTCTCACAAACTCCTTTATGACGTATGCACTCACCTAACAGAGAAGAACCTTCCTTTTGACAGAGCACTTTTGATACACTCTTTTTGTAGAATCTGAAAGTGGATATTTGGATAGCTGTGAAGTTTTCGTTGGAAACGGGAATATCTTCCTATAAATTCTAGACAGAAGCATTCTCAGAAACTGCTCTGTGATGTCTGCATTCAAGTCACAGAGTTGAACATTGCCTTTCATAGAGCAGGTTTGAAACGCTCTTTTTGTAGTATATGGAAGTAGACGTTTCGGACGGTTTGAGGCCCATGGTGATAAAGGGAATATCTTCCCCTGCAAGATAGAAAGAAGCATTCTGTGAAACTTGTTTGTGATGTGTGTACTCAACTAACAGAGTTGAACCTTTCTTTTTACAGAGCAGTTTTGAAACACTCTTTTTGTAGAACCTGCGAGCGGATATTTGGATAGATTTCAGGATTTCGTTGGAAACGGGAATACCTTCATATAAAATCTCGACAGAAGCATTCTCAGCAAACTTCTTTGTGATATGTGTATTCAAGTCACAGAGTTGAATACTCCCTTTCACAGAGTAGGTTTGAAACACTCTTTTTGTAGTATCTGGAAGTGGACATTTGGAGCGCCTTGACGCCTACGGTGAAAAGGGAAATATCTTCCCATAAAAACTAGACAGAAGTAATCGCAGAATCTTCTTTGGGATATATGCACGCAGCTAACAGAGTTGAACCTTTCTATTGACAGAGCAGTTTTGAAACAGTCTTTCTGTGGAATCTGCAATTGGATATTTGGATAGCTTGGAGGATTTCGTTGGAAACGGGATTACGTATAAAAAGTAGACAGCAGCATCCTCAGAAACTTCTTTGTGATGTGTGCTTTCAAGTCACAGAGTTGAACATTCCCTTTCGTACAGCAGTTTTGAAAAACTCTTTCTGTAGTATCTGGAAGTGAACATTAGGACAGCTTTCAGCTCTATGGTGAGAAAGGAAATATCTTCAAATAAAAACTAGACAGAAGCATTCTCATAAACTTGTTTGTGATGTGTGAACTCAGCTAACAGAGGTGGATCTTTCTTTTGATATAGCAGTTTTGAAAAACACTTTTTGTTGAATCTGCAAGTGGACATTTGGATAGATTTGAAGATTTCGTTGGAAACGGGAATATCTTCATATCAAATCTAGACAGAAGCATTCTCAGAAACATCTTTGTGATGTTTGCATTCAACTCATAGAGTTGAACATTCCGTTTCAGAGAGCAGCTTTGAAGCACTCTTTTTGTAGCATGCGCAAGTGGACATTTGGAGCGCTCTGAGGCCTACGGGGAAAAAGCAAATATCTTCCCATAACCACTAGACAGAAACATTCTCAGAAACTCCTTTATGACGTATGCACTCACCTAACAGAGAAGAACCTTCCTTTTGACAGAGCAGTTTTGATACACTCTTTTTGTAGCATCTGCAAGTGGATATTTGGATAGCTGTGAAGATTTCGTTGGAAACGGGAATATCTTCCTATAAAATCTAGACAGAAGCATTCTCAGAAACTGCTCTCTGATGTCTGCATTCAAGTCACAGAGTTGAACATTGCCTTTCATAGAGCAGGTTTGAAATGCTCTTTTTGTAGTATATGGAAGTGGACGTTTCAGACGGTTTGAGTCCCATGGTGATAAAGGGAATATCTTCCCCTACAAGCTAGAAAGAAGCATTCTGTGAAACTTGTTTGTGATGTGTGTACTCAACTAACAGAGTTGAACCTTTCTTTTCACAGAGCAGTTTTGAAACACTCTTTTTGTAGAATCTGCGAGGGGATATTTGGGATAGATTTCAGCATTTCGTTGGAAACGGGAATATCTTCATATAAAATCTCGACAGAAGCATTCTCAGAAACTTCCTTGTGATATGTGCATTCAAGTCACAGAGTTGAATATTCCCTTTCGCAGAGTAGGTTTGAAACACTCTTTTTGTAGTATCTGGAAGTGGACATTTGGAGCGCCTTGACGCCCACGGTGAAAAGGGAAATATCTTCCCATCAAAACTAGACAGAAGCAATCTCAGAATCTTCTTTGGGATATATGCACGCAGCTAACAGAGTTGAACCTTTCTATTGACAGAGCATTTTTGAAACAGTCTTTCTGTGGAATCTGCAAGTGGATATTTGGATAGCTTGGAGGATTTCGTTGGAAACGGGATTACGTATAAAAAGTAGACAGCAGCATCCTCAGAAACTTCTTTGTGATGTGTGCATTCAAGTCACAGATTTGAACATTCCCTTTCGTACAGCAGTTTTGAAACACTCTTTCTGTAGTATCTGGAAGTGAACATTAGGACAGCTTTCAGGTCTATGGTGAGAAAGGAAATATCTTCAAATAAAAACTAGACAGAAGCATTCTCATAAACTTGTTTGTGATGTGTGAACTCAGCTAAGAGAGGTGGATCTTTCTTTTGATACAGCAGTTTTGAAAAACACTTTTTGTTGAATCTGCAAGTGGACATTTGGATAGATTTGAAGATTTCGTTGGAAACGGGAATATCTTCATATCAAATCTAGACAGAAGCATTCTCAGAAACGTCTTTTTGATGTTTGCATTCAACTCATAGAGTTGAACATTCCCTTTCAGAGAGCAGCTTTGAAGCACTCTTTTTGTAGCATGTGCAAGTGGACATTTGGAGCGCCCTGAGGCCTACGGGGAAAAAGCAAATATCTTCCCATAACCACTAGACAGAAACATTCTCAGAAACTTCTTTATGACGTATGTACTCAACTAGCAGAGAAGAACTTTCCTTTTGACAGAGCTTTTTTGATACACTCTTTTTGTAGTATCTGCAAGTGGATATTTGGATAGCTGTAAAGATTTCGTTGGAATCGGGAATATCTTCCTATAAAGTCAGGACAGAAGCATTCTCAGAAACTGCTCTGTGATGTCTGCATTCAAGTCACAGAGTTGAACATTGCCTTTCATAGAGCAGGTTTCAGACACTCTTTTGTTAGTATATGGAAGTGGACGTTTCGGACGGTTTGAGGCCCATGGTGATAAAGGAAATTTCTTCCCCTACAAGCTAGAAAGAAGCATTCTGTGAAACTTGTTTGTGATGTGTGTACTCAACTAACAGAGTTGAACCTTTCTTTTTACAGAGCAGTTTTGAAACACTCTTTTTGTAGAATCTGCGAGGGGATATTTGGATAGATTTCAGGATTTCGTTGGAAACGGGAATATATTCATATAAAATCTCGACAGAAGAATTCTCAGAAACTTCTTTGTGATATGTGCATTCAAGTCACAGAGTTGAATGTTCCCTTTCACAGAGTAGGTTTGAAACACTCTTTTTGTAGTATCTGGAAGTGGACATTTGGAGCGCCTTGACACCTACGGTGAAAAGGGAAATATCTTCTCATAAAAAGTAGACAGACGCAATCTCAGAATCTTCTTTGGGATATATGCACGCAGCTAACAGAGTTGAACCTTTCTATTGACAGAGCAGTTTTGAAACAGTCTTTCTGTGGAATCTGCAAGTGGATATTTGGATAGCTTGGAGGATTTCGTTGGAAACGGGATTACGTATAAAAAATAGACTGCAGCATCCTCAGAAACTTCTTTGTGATGTGTGCATTCAAGTCACAGAGTTGAACATTCCCTTTCGTACAGCAGTTTTGAAACACTCTTTCTGTAGTAACTGGAAGTGAACATTAGGACAGCTTTCAGCTCTATGGTGAGAAAGGAAATATCTTCAAATAAAAACTAGACAAAAGCATTCTCATAAACTTGTTTTTGATATGTGAACTCAGCTAACAGAGGTGGATCTTTCTTTTGATAGAGCAGTTCTGAAAAACACTTTTTGTTGAATCTGCAAGTGGACATTTGGATAGATTTGAAGATTTCGTTGGAAACGGGAATATCTTCATATCAAATCTAGACACAAGCATTCTCAGAAACGTCTTTGTGATGTTTGCATTCAACTCATAGAGCTGAACATTCCGTTTCAGAGAGCAGCTTTGAAGCACTCTTTTTGTAGTATGTGCAAGTGGATATTTGGAGCGCTCTGAGGCCTACGGTGAAAAAGCAAATATCTTCCCATAACCACTAGACAGAAACATTCTCAGAAACTTCTTTATGACGTATGTACTCAACTAGCAGAGAAGAACTTTCCTTTTGACAGAGCTTTTTTGATACACTCTTTTTGTAGTATCTGCAAGTGGATATTGGGATAGCTGTGAAGATTTCGTTGGAATCGGGAATATCTTCCTATAAAGTCTGGACAGAAAGCATTCTCAGAAACTGCTCTGTGATGTCTGCATTCAAGTCACAGAGTTGAACGTTGCCTTTCATAGAGCAGGTTTGAAACGCTCTTTTTGTAGTATATGGAAGTGGACTTATCGGACGGTTTGAGGCCCATGGTGATAAAGGGAATATCTTCCCCTACAAGCTAGAAAGAAGCATTCTGTGAAACTTGTTTGTGATGTGTGTACTCAACTAACAGAGTTGAACCTTTCTTTTCACAGAGCAGTTTTGAAACACTCTTTTTGTAGAATCTGCGAGGGGATATTTGGATAGATTTCAGGATTTCGTTGGAAACGGGATTATCTTCATATAAAATCTCGACAGAAGAATTCTCAGAAACTTCCTTGTGATATGTGCATTCAAGTCACAGAGTTGAATATTCCCTTTCACAGAGTAGGTTTGAAACACTGTTTTTGTAGTATCTGGAAGTGGACATTTGGAGCGCCTTGACGCCTACGGTGAAAAGGGAAATATCTTCCCATAAAAACTAGACAGAAGCAATCTCAGAATCTTCTTTGGGATATATGCACGCAGCTAACAGAGTTGAACCTTTCTATTGACAGAGCAGTTTTGAAACAGTCTTTCTGTGGAATCTGAAAGTGGATATTTGGATAGCTTGGAGGATTTCGTTGGAAACGGGATTACGTATAAAAAGTAGACAGCCAGCATCCTCAGAAACTTCTTTGTGATGTGTGCATTCAAGTCACAGAGTTGAACATTCCCTTTCGTACAGCAGTTTTGAAACACTCTTTCTGTAGTAACTGGAAGTGAACATTAGGACAGCTTTCAGGTCTATGGTGAGAAAGGAAATATCTTCAAATAAAAACTAGACAGAGCATTCTCATAAACTTGTTTGTGATGTGTGAACTCATCTAACAGACGTGGATCTTTCTTTTGATACAGCAGTTTTGAAAAACACTTTTTGTTGAATCTGCAAGTGGACATTTGGATAGATATGAAGATTTCGTTGGAAACGGGAATATCTTCATATCAAATCTAGACAGAAGCATTCTCAGAAACGTCTTTGCGATGTTTGCATTCAACTCATAGAGTTGAACATTCCGTTTCAGAGAGCAGCTTTGAGGCACTCTTTTTGTAGTATGTGCAAGTGGATATTTGGAGCGCTCTGAGGCCTACGGTGAAAAAGCAAATATCTTCCCATAACAACTAGATAGAAACATTCTCAGAAACTCCTTTATGACGTATGCACTCACCTAACAGAAAAGAACCTTCCTTTTGACAGAGCAGTTTTGATACACTCTTTTTGTAGAATCTGCAAGTGGATATTTGGATAGCTATGAAGATTTGGTTGGAAACGGGAATATCTTCCTATAAAATCTAGACAGAAGCATTCTCAGAAACTGCTCTGTGATGTCTGCATTCAAGTCACAGAGTTGAACATTGCCTTTCATAGAGCAGGTTTGAAACTCTCTTTTTGTAGTATATGGAAGTGGACTTATCGGACGGTTTGAGGCCCATGGTGATAAAGGGAATATCTTCCCCTACAAGCTAGAAAGAAGCATTCTGTGAAACTTGTTTGTGATGTGTGTACTCAACTAACAGAGTTGAACCTTTCTTTTTACAGAGCAGTTTTGAAACACTCTTTTGTAGAATCTGTGAGGGGATATTTGGATAGATTTCAGGATTTCGTTTTAAACGAGAATATCTTCATATAAAATCTCGACAGAAGCATTCTCAGAAACTTCTTTGTGATATCTGCATTCAAGTCACAGAGTTGAATATTCCCTTTCACAGAGTAGGTTTGAAACACTCTTTTTGTAGCATCTGCAAGTGGACATTTGGAGCACCTTGACACCTATGGTGAAAAGGGAAATATCTTCCGATAAAAACTAGACAGAAGCAATCTCAGAATCTTCTTTGGGATATATGCACGCAGCTAACAGAGTTGAACCTTTCTATTGAGAGAGCAGTTTTGAAACAGTCTTTCTGTGGAATCTGCAAGTGGATATTTGGATAGCTTGGAGGATTTCCTTGGAAACGGGATTACGTATAAAAAGTAGACAGCAGCATCCTCAGAAACTTCTTTGTGATGTGTGCATTCAAGTCACAGAGTTGAACATTCCCTTTCGTACAGCAGTTTTGAAACACTCTTTCTGTAGTATCTGGAAGTGAACATTAGGACAGCTTCCAGGTCTATGGTGAGAAAGGAAATATCTTCAAATAAAAACTAGACAGAAGCATTCTCATAAACTTGTTTGTGATGTGTGTACTCAGCTAACAGAGGTGGATCTTTCTTTTGATAGAGCAGTTTTGAAAAACACTTTTTGTTGAATCTGCAAGTGGACATTTGGATAGATTTAAAGATTTCGTTGGAAACGGGAATATCTTCATATCAAATCTAGACAGAAGCATTCTCAGAAACGTCTTTGTGATGTTTCCATTCAACTCATAGAGTTGAACATTCACTTTCAGAGAGCAGCTTTGAAGCACTCTTTTTGTAGTATGTGCAAGTGGATATTTTGATCGCTCTCTGGCCTACGGTGAAAAAGCAAATATCTTCCCATAACCACTAGACAGAAACATTCTCAGAAACTCCTTTATGACGTATGCACTCACCTAACAGAAAAGAACCTTCCTTTTGACAGAGCAGTTTTGATACACTCTTTTTGTAGAATCTGCAAGTGGATATTTGGATAGCTATGAAGATTTGGTTGGAAACGGGAATATCTTCCTATAAAATACTAGACAGAAGAATTCTCAGAAACTGCTCTGTGATGTCTGCATTCAAGTCACAGAGTTGAACATTGCCTTTCATAGAGCAGGTTTGAAACGCTCTTTTTGTAGTATATGGAAGTGGATGTTTCGGACGGTTGGAGGCCCATGGTGATAAAGGGAATATCTTCCCCTACAAGCTAGAAAGAAGCATTCTGTGAAACTTGTTTGTGATGTGTGTACTCAACTAACAGAGTTGAACCTTTCTTTTTACAGAGCAGTTTTGAAACACTCTTTTTGTAGAATCTGCGAGGGGATATTTGGATAGATTTCAGGATTTCGTTGGAAACGGGAATATCTTCATATAAACTCTCGACAGAAGCATTCTCAGAAACTTCTTTGTGATATCTGCATTCAACTCACAGAGTTGAATATTCCCTTTCGCAGAGTAGGTTTGAAACACTCTTTTTGTAGTATCTGGAAGTGGACATTTGGAGCGCCTTGACGCCTACGGTGAAAAGGGAAATATCTTCCCATAAAAACTAGACAGAAGCAATCTCAGAATCTTCTTTGGGATATATGCACGCAGCTAACAGAGTTGAACATTTCTATTGACAGAGCAGTTTTGAAACAATCTTTCTGTGGAATCTGCAAGTGGATATTTGGATAGCTTGGAGGATTTCGTTGGAAACGGGATTACGTATAAAAAGTAGACAGCAGCATCCTCAGAAACTACTTTGTGATGTGTGCATTCAAGTCACAGAGTTGAACATTCCCTTTCGTACAGCAGTTTTGAAACACTCTTTCTGTAGTATCTGGAAGTGAACATTAGGACAGCTTTCAGGTCTATAGTGAGAAAGGATATATCTTCAAATAAAAACTAGAGAGAAGCACTTTTAAAAACTTGTTTGTGATGTGTGAACTCAACTAACAGAGGTGGATCTTTCTTTCGATACAGCAGTTTTGAAAAACACTTTTTGTTGAATCTGCAAGTGGACATTTGGATAGATTGGAAGATTTCTTTGGAAACGGGAATATCTTCATATCAAATCTAGACAGAAGCATTCTCAGAAACGTCTTTGCGATGTTTGCATTCAACTCATAGAGTTGAACATTCCGTTTCAGAGAGCAGCTTTGAGGCACTCTTTTTGTAGTATGTGCAAGTGGATATTTGGAGCGCTCTGAGGCCTACGGTGAAAAAACAAATATCTTCCCATAACCACTAGACAGAAACATTCTCAGAAACTCCTTTATGACGTTTGTACTCAACTAACAGAGAAGAACCTTCCTTTTGACAGAGCAGTTTTGATACACTCTTTTTGTAGAATCTGCAAGTGGATATTTGGATAGCTGTGAAGATTTCGTTGGAAACGGGAATATCTTCCTATAAAGTCTGGACAGAAGCATTCTCAGAAACTGCTCTGTGATGTCTGCATTCAAGTCACAGAGTTGAACATTGCCTTTCATGGAGCAGGTTTGAAACGCTCTTTTTGTAGTATATGGAAGTGGACTTATCGGACGGTTTGAGGCCCACGGTGATAAAGGGAATATCTTCCCCTACAAGCTAGAAAGAAGCATTCTGTGAAACTTGTTTGTGATGTGTGTACTCAACTAACAGAGTTGAACCTTTCTTTTTACAGAGCAGTTTTGAAACACTCTTTTTGTAGAATCTGCGAGGGGATATTTGGATAGATTTCAGGATTTCGTTGGAAACGCGAATATCTTCATATAAAATCTCGACAGAAGCATTCTCAGAAACTTCTTTGTGATATCTGCCTTCAAGTCACAGAGTTGAATATTCCCTTTCACAGAGTAGGTTTGAAACACTCTTTTTGTAGTATCTGGAAGTGGACATTTGGAGTGCCTTGACGCCTACGGTGAAAAGGGAAATATCTTCCCATAAAGCTAGACAGAAGCAATCTCAGAATCTTCTTTGGGATATATGCACGCAGCTAACAGAGTTGAACCTTTCTATTGACAGAGCAGTTTTGAAACAGTGTTTCTGTGGAATCTGCAAGTGGATATTTGGATAGCTTGGAGGATTTCGTTGGAAACGGGATTAAGTATAAAAAGTAGACAGCAGCATCCTCAGAAACTTCTTTGTGATGTGTGCATTCAAGTCACAGAGTTGAACATTCCCTTTCGTACAGCAGTTTTGAAACACTCTTTCTGTAGTAACTGGAAGTGAACATTAGGACAGCTTTCAGGTCTATGGTGAGAAAGGAAATATGCTTCAAATAAAAACTAGACAGAAGCATTCTCATAAACTTGTTTGTGATGTGTGAACTCAGGTAACAGACGTGGATCTTTCTTTTGATAGAGCAGTTTTGAAAAACACTTTTTGTTGAATCTGCAAGTGGACATTTGGATAGATTTGAAGATTTCGTTGGAAACGGGAATATCTTCATATCAAATCTAGACAGAAGCATTCTCGGAAACGTCTTTGTCATGTTTGCATTCACCTCATAGAGTTGAACATTCCGTTTCAGAGAGCAGCTTTGAAGCACTCTTTTTGTAGTATGTGCAAGGGGATATTTGGAGCGCTCTGAGGCCTAAGGTGAAAAAGCAAATATCTTCCCATAACCACTAGACAGAAACATTCTCAGAAACTCCTTTATGACGTATGTACTCAACTAACAGAGAAGAACCTTCCTTTTGACAGAGCAGTTTTGATACACTCTTTTTGTAGAATCTGCAAGTGGATATTTGGATACCTGTGAAGATTTCGTTGGAAACGGGAATATCTTCCTATAAAATCTAGACAGAAGCATTCTCAGAAACTGCTCTGTGATGTCTGCATTCAAGTCACAGAGTTGAACATTGCCTTTCATAGAGCAGGTTTGAAATGCTCTTTTTGTAGTATATGGAAGTGGACGTTTCAGACGGTTTGAGGTCCATGGTGATAAAGGGAATATCTTCCCCTACAAGCTAGAAAGAAGCATTCTGTGAAACTTGTTTGTGATGTGTGTAGTCAACTAACAGAGTTGAACCTTTCTTTTTACAGAGCAGTTTTGAAACACTCTTTTTGTAGAATCTGCGAGGGGATATTTGGATAGATTTCAGGATTTCATTGGAAAGGGGAATATCTTCATATAAAATCTCGACAGAAGCATTCTCAGAAACTTCCTTGTGATATGTGCATTCAAGTCACAGAGTTGAATATTCCCTTTCACAGAGTAGGTTTGAAACACTCTTTTTGTAGTATCTGGAAGTGGACATTTGGAGCGCCTGGATGCCTACGGTGAAAAGGGAAATATCTTCCCATAAAAACTAGACAGAAGCAATCTCAGAATCTTCTTTGGGATATATGCACGCAGCTAACTGAGTTGAACCTTTCTATTGACAGAGCAGTTTTGAAACATTCTTTCTGTGGAATCTGCAAGTGGATATTTGGATAGCTTGGAGGATTTCGTTGGAAACAGGATTACGTATAAAAAGTAGACAGCAGCATCCTCAGAAACTTCTTTGTGATGTGTGCATTCAAGTCACAGAGTTGAACATTTCCTTTCGTACAGCAGTTTTGAAACACTCTTTCTGTAGTATCTGGAAGTGAACATTAGGACAGCTTTCAGCTCTATGGTGAGAAAGGAAATATCTTCAAATAAAAACTAGACAGAAAGCATTCTCATAAACTTGTTTGTGATGTGTGAACTCAGCTAACAACGGTGGATCTTTCTTTTGATAGAGCAGTTCTGAAAAACACTTTTTGTTGAATCTGCAAGTGGACATTTGGATAGTTTTGAAGATTTCCTTGGAAAAGGGAATATCTTCATATCAAATCTAGACAGAAGCATTCTCAGAAACGTCTTTGTGATGTTAGCATTCAACTCATAGAGTTGAACATTCCATTTCAGAGAGCAGCTTTGAGGCACTCTTTTTGTAGTATGTGCAAGTGGATATTTGGAGCGCTCTGAGGCCTACGGTGAAAAAGCAAATATCTTCCCATAACCACTAGACAGAAACATTCTCAGAAACTCCTTTATGACGTATGTACTCAACTAACAGAGAAGAACCTTCCTTTTGACAGAGAAGTTTTGATACACTCTTTTTGTAGAATCTGCAAGTGGATATTTGGATAGCTGTGAAGATTTCGTTGGAAACGGGAATATCTTCCTATAAAATCTAGACAGAAGCATTCTCAGAAACTGCTCTGTGATGTCTGCATTCATGTCACAGAGTTGAACATTGCCTTTCATAGAGCAGGTTTCAAACACTCTTTTTTTAGTATATGGAAGTGGACGTTTCGGACGGTTTGAGGCCCAAGGTGATACAGGGAATATCTTCCCCTACAAGCTAGAAAGAATCATTCTGTGAAACTTGTTTGTGATGTGTGTACTCAACTAACAGAGTTGAACCTTTCTTTTTACAGAGCAGTATTGAAACACTCTTTTTGAAGAATCTGCGAGGGGATATTTGAATAGATTTCAGGATTTCGTTGGAAACGGGAATATCTTCATATAAAATCTCGACAGAAGCATTCTCAGAAACTTCATTGTGATATCTGCATTCAAGTCACAGAGTTGAATATTCCCTTTCACAGAGTAGGTTTGAAACACTCTTTTTGTAGTATCTGTAAGTGGACATTTGGAGCGCCTTTACACCTACGGTGAAAAGGGAAATATCTTCCCATAAAAACTAGACAGAAGCAATCTCAGAATCTTCTTTGTGATATATGCACGCAGCTAACAGAGTTGAACCTTTCTATTGACAGAGCAGTTTTGAAACACTCTTTCTGTGGAATCTGCAAGTGGATATTTGCATAGATTGGAGGATTTCGTTGGAAACGGGATTACGTATAAAAAGTAGACAGCAGCATCCTCAGAAACTTCTTTGTGATGTGTGCATTCAAGTCACAGAGTTGAACATTCCCTTTCGTACAGCAGTTTTGAAACACTCTTTGTGTAGTATCTGGAAGTGAACATTAGGACAGCTTTCAGGTCTATGGTGAGAAAGGAAATATCTTCAAATAAAAACTAGACAGAAGCATTCTCATAAACTTGTTTGTGATGTGTGAACTCAGCTAACAGAGGTGGATCTTTCTTTTGATAGAGCAGTTCTGAAAAACACTTTTTGTTGAATCTGCAAGAGGACATTTGGATAGATTTGAAGATTTCGTTGGAAACGGGAATATCTTCATATCAAATCTAGACAGAAGCATTCTCAGAAACGTCTTTGTGATGTTTGCATTCAACACATAGAGTTGAACATTCCCTTTCAGAGAGCAGCTTTGAAGCACTCTTTTTGTAGCATGTGCAAGTGGACATTTGGAGCGCCCTGAGGCCTACGGGGAAAAAGCAAATATCTTCCCATAACCACTAGACAGAAACATTCTCAGAAACTCCTTTATGACGTATGCACTCACCTAACAGAAAAGAACCTTCCTTTTGACAGAGCTGTTTTGATACACTCTTTTTGTAGAATCTGCAAGTGGATATTTGGATAGCTGTGAAGATTTCGTTGGAAACGGGAATATCTTCCTATAAAATCTAGACAGAAGCATTCTCAGAAACTGCTCTGTGATGTCTGCATTCAAGTCACAGAGTTGAACATTGCTTTTCCTAGAGCAGGTTTGAAACGCTCTTTTTGTAGTATATGGAAGTGGACGTTTCGGACGGTTTGAGGCCCATGGTGATAAAGGGAATATCTTTCCCTACAAGCTAGAAAGAACCATTCTGTGAAACTTGTTTGTGATGTGTGTACTCAACTAACAGAGTTGAACCTTTCTTTTTACAGAGCAGTTTTGAAACACTCTTTTTGTAGAATCTGCGAGGGGATATTTGGATACATTTCAGGATTTCGTTGGAAACGGGAATATCTTCAGTATCAAAATCTCGATCAGAAGCATTCTCAGAAACTTCCTTGTGATATGTGCATTCAAGTCACAGTAGTTGAATATTCCCTTTCACAGAGTAGGTTTGAAACACTCTTTTTGTAGTATCTGGAAGTGGACATTTGGAGCGCCTTGACGCCTACGGTGAAAAGGGAAATATCTTCCCATAAAAACTAGACAGAAGCAATCTCAGAATCCTCTTTAGGATATATGCACGCAGCTAACAGAGTTGAACCTTTCTATTGACAGAGCAGTTTTGAAACAGTCTTTCTGTGGAATCTGCAAGTGGATATTTGGATAGCTTGGAGGATTTCGTTGGAAACGGGATTACGTATAAAAAGTAGACAGCAGCATCCTCAGAAACTACTTTGTGATGTGTGCATTCAAGTCACAGAGTTGAACATTCCCTTTCGTACAGCAGTTTTGAAACACTCTTTCTGTAGTATCTGGAAGTGAACATTAGGACAGCTTTCAGCTCTATGGTGAGAAAGGAAATATCTTCAAATAAAAACTAGACAGAAGCATTCTCATAAACTTGTTTGTGATGTGTGAACTCAGCTAACAGAGGTGAATCTTTCTTTTGATAGAGCAGTTCTGAAAAACACTTTTTGTTGAATCTGCAAGTGGACATTTGGATAGATTTGAAGATTTCGTTGGAAACGGGAATATCTTCATATCAAATACTAGACAGAAGCATTCTCAGAAACGTCTTTGTGATGTTTGCATTCAACTCATAGAGTTGAACATTCCGTTTCAGAGAGCAGCTTTGAGGCACCCTTTTTGTAGTATGTGCAAGTGGATATTTGGAGCGCTCTGAGGCCTACGGTGAAAAAGCAAATATCTTCCCATAACCACTAGACAGAAACATTCTCAGAAACTCCTTTATGACGTATGCACTCACCTAACAGAGGAGAACCTTCCTTTTGACAGAGCAGTTTTGATACACTCTTTTTGTAGAATCTGCAAGTGGATATTTGGATAGCTGTGAAGATTTCGTTGGAAACGGGAATATCTTCCTATAAAATCTAGACAGGAAGCATTCTCAGAAACTGCTCTGTGATGTCTGCATTCAGGTCACAGAGTTGAACATTGCCTTTCATAGAGCAGGTTTCAAACACTCTTTTTTTAGTATATGGAAGTGGACGATTCGGACGGTTTGAGGACCATGGTGATAAAGGAAATATCTTCCCCTACAAGCTAGAAAGAAGCATTCTGTGAAACTTGTTTGTGATGTGTGTACTCAACTAACAGAGTTGAACCTTTCTTTTTACAGAGCAGTTTCGAAACACTCTTTTTGTAGAATCTGCGAGGGGATATTTGGATAGATTTCAGGATTTCGTTGGAAACGGGAGTATCTTCATATAAAATCTCGACAGAAGCATTCTCAGAAGCTTCTTTGTGATATGTGCATTCAAGTCACAGAGTTGAATCTTCCCTTTCACAGAGTAGGTTTGAAACACTCTTTTTGTAGTATCTGGAAGTGGACATTTGGAGCGCCTTGACGCCTACGGTGAAAAGGGAAATATCTTCTCATAAAAAGTAGACACAAGCAATCTCAGAATCTTCTTTGGGATATATGCACGCAGCTAACAGAGTTGAACCTTTCTATTGACAGAGCAGTTTTGAAACAGTCTTTCTGTGGAATCTGCAAGTGGATACTTGGATAGCTTGGAGGATTTCGTTGGAAACGGGATTACGTATAAAAAGAAGACAGCAGCATCCTCAGAAACTTCTTTGTGATGTGTGCATTCAAGTCACAGAGTTGAACATTCCCTTTCGTACAGCAGTTTTGAAACACTCCTTCTGTAGTATCTGGAAGTGAACATTAGGACAGCTTTCAGGTCTATGGTGAGAAAGGAAATATCTTCAAATAAAAACTAGACAGAAGCATTCTCATAAACTTGTTTCTGATGTGTGAACTAAGCTAACAGAGGTGGATCTTTCTTTTGATAGAGCAGTTCTGAAAAACACTTTTTGTTGAATCTGCAAGTGGACATTTGGATAGATTTGAAGATTTCGTTGGAAACGGGAATATCTTCATATCAAATCTAGACAGAAGCATTCTCAGAAACGTCTTTGTGATGTTTGCATTCAACTCATAGAGTTGCACATTCCGTTTCAGAGAGCAGCTTTGAGGCACTCTTTTTGTAGTATGTGCAAGTGGATATTTGGAGCGCTCTGAGGCCTACGGTGAAAAAGCAAATATCTTCCCATAACCACTAGACTGAAACATTCTCAGAAACTCCTTTATGACGTATGTACTCAACTAACAGAGGAGAACATTCCTTTTGACAGAGCAGTTTTGATACACTCTTTTTGTAGAATCTGCAAGTGGATATTTGGATAGCTTGGAAGATTTCGTTGGAAAAGGGAATATCTTCCTATAAAACCTAGACAGAAGCATTCTCAGAAACTGCTCTGTGATGTCTGCATTCAAGTCACAGAGTTGAACATTGCCTTTCATAGAGCAGGTTTGAAACGCTCTTTTTGTAGTATATGGAAGTGGACGTTTCAGACGGTTTGAGGCCCATGGTGTTAAAGGGAATATCTTGCCCTACAAGCTAGAAAGAAGCATTCTGTGAAACTTGTTTGTGATGTGTGTACTCAACTAACAGAGTTGAACCTTTCTTTTTACAGAGCAGTTTTGAAACAATCTTTTTGTAGAATCTGCGAGGGGATATTTGGATAGATTTCAGGATTTCGTTGGAAAGGGGAATATCTTCATATAAAATCTCGACAGAAGCATTCTCAGAAACTTCCTTGTGATATGTGCATTCAAGTCACAGAGTTGAATATTCCCTTTCACAGAGTAGGTTTGAAACACTCTTTTTGTAGTATCTGGAAGTGGACATTTGGAGCGCCTTGACGCCTACGGTGAAAAGGGAAATATCTTCCCTTAAAAACTACACAGAAGCAATCTCAGAATCTTCTTTGGGATATATGCACGCAGCTAAGAGAGTTGAACCTTTCTATTGACAGTGCAGTTTTGAAATAGTCTTTCTGTGGAATCTGCAAGTAGATATTTGGATAGCTTGGAGGATTTCGTTGGAAACGGGATTACGTATAAAAAGTAGACAGCAGCATCCTCAGAAAACTTCTTTGTGATGTGTGCATTCAAGTCACAGAGTTGAACATTCCCTTTCGTACAGCAGTTTTGAAACACTCTTTCTGTAGTATCTGGAAGTGAACATTAGGACAGCTTTCAGGTCTATGGTGAGAAGGGAAATATCTTCAAATAAAAACTAGACAGAAGCATTCTCATAAACTTGCTTGTGATGTGTGAACTCAGCTAACAGAGGTGGATCTTTCTTTTGATAGAGCAGTTCTGAAAAACACTTTTTGTTGAATCTGCAAGTGGACATTTGGATAGATTTGAAGATTTCGTTGGAAACGGGAATATCTTCATATCAAATCTAGACAGAAGCATTCTCAGAAACGTCTTTGCGATGTTTGCATTCAACTCATAGAGTTGAACATTCCGTTTCAGAGAGCAGCTGTGAGGCACTCTTTTTGTAGTATGTGCAAGTGGATATTTGGAGCGCTCTGAGGCCTACGGTGAAAAGGCAAATATCTTCCCATAACCACTAGACAGAAACATTCTCAGAAACTCCTTTATGACGTATGCACTCACCTAAAAGAGAAGAACCTTCCTTTTGACAGAGCAGTTTTGATACACTCTTTTTGTAGAATCTGCAAGTGGATATTTGGATAGCTGTGAAGATTTTGCTGGAAACGGGAATATCTTCTTATAAAATCTAGACAGCAGCATTCTCAGAAACTGCTCTGTGATGTCTGCATTCAAGTCACAGAGTTGAACATTGCCTTTCATAGAGCAGGTTTGAAATGCTCTTTTTTTAGTATATGGAAGTGGACTTTTCGGACGGTTTGAGGCCCATGGTGATAAAGGGAATATCTTCCCCTACAAGCTAGAAAGAAGCATTCTGTGAAACTTGTTTGTGATGTGTGTACTCAACTAACAGAGTTGAACCTTTCTTTTTACAGAGCAGTTTTGCAACACTCTTTTTGTAGAATCTGCGAGGGGATATTTGGATAGATTTCAGGATTTCGTTGGAAACGGGAATATCTTCATATAAAATCTCGACAGAAGCATTCTCAGAATCTTCTTTGTGATATGTGCATTCAAGTCACAGAGTTGAATATTCCCTTTCACAGAGTAGGTTTGAAACACTCTTTTTGTAGTATCTGGAAGTGGACATTTGGAGCGCCTTGACACCTACGGTGAAAAGCAAAATATCTTCCCATAAAAACTAGACAGAAGCAATCTCAGAATCTTCTTTGGGATATATGCACGCAGCTAACAGAGTTGAACCTTTCTATTGACAGAGCAGTTTTGAAACAGTCTTTCTGTGGAATCTGCAAGTGGATACTTGGATAGCTTGGAGGATTTCGTTGGAAACGGGATTAAGTATAAAAAGTAGACAGCAGCATCCTCAGAAACTTCTTTGTGATGTCTGCATTCAAGTCACAGAGTTGAACATTCCCTTTCGTACAGCAGTTTTGAAACACTCTTTCTGTAGTATCTGCAAGTGAACATTAGGACAGTTTTCAGGTCTATGGTGAGAAAGGAAATATCTTCAAATAAAAACTAGACAGAAGCATTCTGATAAACTTGTTTGTGAAGTGTGAACTCAGCTAACAGAGGTGGATCTTTCTTTTGATAGAGCAGTTCTGAAAAACACTTTTTGTTGAATCTGCAAGTGGACATTTGGATAGATTTGAAGATTTCGTTAGAAACGGGAATATCTTCATATCAAATCTAGACAGAAGCATTCTCAGAAACGTCTTTGTGATGTTTGCATTCAACTCATAGAGTTGAACATTCCCTTTCAGAGAGCAGCTTTGAAGCACTCTTTTTGTAGTATGTTCAAGTGGACATTTGGAGCGCTTTGAGGCCTACGGGGAAAAAGCAAATATCTTCCCATAACCACTAGACAGAAACATTCTCAGAAACTCCTTTATGACGTATGCACTCACCTAACAGAAAAGAACCTTCCTTTTGACAGAGCAGTTTTGATACACTCTTTTTGTAGAATCTGCAAGTGGATATTTGGGATAGCTGTGAAGATTTCGTTGGAAACGGGAATATCTTCCTATAAAATCTAGACAGAAGCATTCTCAGAAACTGCTCTGTGATGTCTGCATTCAAGTCACAGAGTTGAACATTCCCTTTCATACAGCAGTTTTGAAACACTCTTTCTGTAGTATCTGGAAGTGAACATTAGGACAGCTTTCAGGTCTATGGCGAGAAAGGAAATATCTTCAAATAAAAACTAGACAGAAGCA
Organism: Homo sapiens; assembly: GCF_000001405.40. NCBI lineage: Eukaryota > Metazoa > Chordata > Mammalia > Primates > Hominidae > Homo > Homo sapiens. Next base: position 11,246,199 of record NC_000021.9, read on the forward strand.
TTCTGTGAAACTTGTTTGTGATGTGTGTACTCAACTAACAGAGTTGAACCTTTCTTTTCACAGAGCAGTTTTGAAACACTCTTTTTGTAGAATCTGCGAGGGGATATTTGGATAGATTTCAGGATTTCGTTGGAAACAGGAATATCTTCATATAAAATCTCGACAGAAGCATTCTCAGAAACTTCTTTGTGATATGTGCATTCAAGTCACAGAGTTGAATATTCCCTTTCACAGAGTAGGTTTGAAACACTCTTTTTGTAGTATCTGGAAGTGGACATTTGGAGCGCCTTGACGCCTACGGTGAAAAGGGAAATATCTTCCCATAAAAAGTAGACAGAAGCAATCTCAGAATCTTCTTTGTGATATATGCACGCAGCTAACAGAGTTGAACCTTTCTATTGACAGAGCAGTTTTGTAACAGTCTTTCTGTGGAATCTACAAGTGGATATTTGGATAGCTTGGAGGATTTCGTTGGAAACGGGATTAGGTATAAAAAGTAGACAGCAGCATCCTCAGAAACTGCTTTGTGATGTGTGCATTCAAGTCACAGAGTTGAACATTCCCTTTCATACAGCAGTTTTGAAACACTCTTTCTGTAGTATCTGGAAGTGAACTTTAGGAGAGCTTTCAGGTCTATAGTGAGAAAGGATATATCTTCAAATAAAACTAGACAGAAGCATTCTCATAAACTTGTTTCTGATGTGTGAACTCAGCTAACAGAGGTGGATCTTTCTTTTGATAGAGAAGTTCTGAAAAACACTTTTTGTTGAATCTGCAAGTGGACATTTGGATAGATTTGAAGATTTCGTTGGAAACGGGAATATCTTCATATCAAATCTAGACAGAAGCATTCTCAGAGACGTCTTTGTGATGTTTGCATTCAACTCATAGAGTTGAACATTCCGTTTCAGAGAGCAGCTTTGAGGCACTCTTTTTGTAGTATGTGCAAGTGGATATTTGGACCGCTCTGTGGCCTACGGTGAAAAAGCAAATATCTTCCCATAACCACTAGACAGAAACATTCTCAGAAACTCCTTTATGACGTGTGCACTCACCTAACAGAGAAGAACCTTCCTTTTGACAGAGCAGTTTTGATACACTCTTTTTGTAGAATCCGCAAGTGGATATTTGGATAGCTGTGAAGATTTCGTTGGAAACGGGAATATCTTCCTATAAAATCTAGACAGAAAGCATTCTCAGAAACTGCTCTGTGATGTCTGCATTCAAGTCACAGAGTTGAACATTGCCTTTCATAGAGCAGGTTTGAAACGCTCTTTTTGTAGTATATGGAAGTGGACTTTTCGGAAGGTTTGAGGCCCATGGTGATAAAGGGAATATCTTCCCCTACAAGCTAGAAAGAAGCATTCTGTGAAACTTGTTTGTGATGTGTGTACTCAACTAACAGAGTTGAACCTTTCTTTTCACAGAGCAGTTTTGAAACACTCTTTTTGTAGAATCTGCGAGCGGATATTTGGATAGATTTCAGGATTTCGATGGAAACGGGAATATCTTCATATAAAATCTCGACAGAAGCATTCTCAGAAACTTCTTTGTGATATGTGCATTCAAGTCACAGAGTTGAATATTCCCTTTCACAGAGTAGGTTTGAAACACTCTTTTTGTAGTATCTGGAAGTGGACATTTGGAGCGCCTTGATGCCTACGGTGAAAAGGGAAATATCTTCCCATAAAAACTAGACAGAAGCAATCTCAGAATCTTCCTTGGGATATATGCACGCAGCTAACAGAGTTGAACCTTTCTATTGACAGAGCAGTTTTGAAACAGTCTTTCTGTGGAATCTGCAAGTGGACATTTGGATAGCTTGGAGGATTTCGTTGGAAACGGGATTACGTATAAAAAGTAGACAGCAGCATCGTCAGAAACTTCTTTGTGATGTGTGCATTCAAGTCACAGAGTTGAACATTCCCTTTCGTACAGCAGTTTTGAAACACTTTTTCTGTAGCATCTGGAAGAGAACATTAGGACAGCTTTCAGGTCTAGGGTGAGAAAGGCAATATCTTCAAATAAAAACTAGACAGAAGCATTCTCATAAACTTTTTTGTGATGTGTGAACTCAGCTAACAGAGGTGGATCTTTCTTTTGATAGAGCAGTTCTGAAAAACACTTTTTGTTGAATCTGCAAGTGGACATTTGGATAGATTTGAAGATTTCGTTGGAAACGGGAATATCTTCATAACAAATCTAGACAGAAGCATTCTCAGAAACGTCTTTGTGATGTTTGCATTCAACTCATAGAGTTGAACATTCCCTTTCAGAGAGCAGCTTTGAAGCACTCTTTTTGTAGTATGTGCAAGTGGATATTTGGAGCGCTACTGAGGCCTACGGTGAAAAAGCAAATATCTTCCCATAACCACTAGGCAGAATCATTCTCAGAAACTCCTTTATGACGTATGTACTCAACTAACAGAGAAGAACCTTCCTTTTGACAGAGCAGTTTTGATACACTCTTTTTGTAGAATCTGCAAGTGGATATTTGGATAGCTGTGAAGATTTCGTTGGAAACGGGAATATCTTCCTATAAAATCTAGACAGAAGCATTCTCAGAAACTGCTCTGTGATGTCTGTATTCAAGTCACAGAGTTGAACATTGCATTTCATAGAGCAGGTTTGAAACGCTCTTTTTGTAGTATATGGAAGTGGATGTTTCGGACGGTTGGAGGCCCATGGTGATAAAGGGAATATCTTCCCCTACAAGCTAGAAAGAAGCATTCTGTGAAACTTGTTTGTGATGTGTGTACTCAACTAAGAGAGTTGAACCTTTCTTTTCACAGAGCAGTTTTGAAACACTGTTTTTGTAGAATCTGCGAGGGGATATTTGGATAGATTTCAGGATTTCGTTGGAAACGGGAATATCTTCATACAAAATCTCGACAGGAGCATTCTCAGAAACTTCTTTGTGATATGTGCATTCAAGTCACAGAGTTGAATATTCCCTTTCACAGAGTAGGTTTGAAACACTCTTTTTGTAGTATCTGGAAGTGGACATTTGGAGCGCCTTGACACCTACGGTGAAAAGGGAAATATCTTCCAATAAAAACTAGACAGAAGCAATCTCAGAATCTTCTTAGGGATATATGTACGCAGCTAATAGAGTTGAACCTTTCTATTGACAGAGCAGTTTTGAAACAGTCTTTCTGTGGAATCTGCAAGTGGATATTTGGATAGCTTGGAGGATTTCGTTGGAAACGGGATTACGTATAAAAAGTAGACAGCAGCATCCTCAGAAACTTCTTTGTGATGTGTGCATTCAAGTCACAGAGTTGAACATTCCCTTTCATACAGCAGTTTTGAAACACTGTTTCTGTAGTATCTGGAAGTGAACATTAGGACAGCTTTCAGGTCTATGGTGAGAAAGGCAATATCTTCAAATAAAAACTAGACAGAAAGAATTCTCATCAACTTGTTTGTGATGTGTGAACTCAGCTAACACACGTGGATCTTTCTTTTGATAGAGCAGTTCTGAAAAACACTTTGTTGAATCTGCAAGTGGACATTTGGATAGATTTCAAGATTTCGTTGGAAACGGGAATATCTTCATATCAAATCTAGACAGAAGCATTCTCAGAAACGTCTTTGTGATGTTTGCATTCAACTCATAGAGTTGAACATTCCGTTTCAGAGAGCAGCTTTGAAGGACTCTTTTTGTAGTATGTGCAAGTGGATATTTGGAGCGCTCTGAGGCCTACGGTGAAAAAGCAAATATCTTCCCATAACCACTAGACAGAAACATTCTCAGAAACTTCTTTATGACGTATGTACTCAACTAACACAGAAGAACCTTCCTTTTGACAGAGCAGTTTTGATAAACTCTTTTTGTAGAATCTGCAAGTGGATATTTGGATATCTGTGAAGAATTCGTTGGAAACGGGAATATCTTCCTATAAAATCTAAACAAAAGCATTCTCAGAAACTGCTCTGTGATGTCTGCATTCAAGTCACAGAGTTGAACATTGCCTTTCATAGAGCAGGTTTGAAACGCTCTTTTTGTAGTATATGGAAGTGGAAGTTTCGGACGGTTGGAGGCCCATGGTGATAAAGGGAATATCTTCCCCTACAAGCTAGAAAGAAGCATTCTGTGAAACTTGTTTGTGATGTGTGTACTCAACTAACAGAGTTGAACCTTTCTTTTTACAGAGTAGTTTTGAAACACTCTTTTTGTAGAATCTGCGAGGGGATATTTGGATAGGTTTCAGGATTTCGTTGGAAACGGGAATATCTTCATATAAAATCTCGACAGAAGCATTCTCAGAAACTTCTTTGTGATATCTGCATTCAAGTCACAGAAGTGAATATTCCCTTTCACAGAGTAGGTTTGAAACACTCTTTTTGTAGTATCTGGAAGTGGACATTTGGAGCGCCTTGACGCCTATGGTTAAAAGGGAAATATCTTCCCATAAAAACTAGACAGAAGCAATCTCAGAATCCGCTTTGGGATATATGCACGCAGCTAACAGAGTTGAACCTTTCTATTGACAGAGCAGTTTTGAAACAGTCTTTCTGTGGAATCTGCAAGTGGATATTTGGATAGCTTGGAGGATTTCGTTGGAAACGGGATTACGTATAAATAGTAGACAGCAGCATCCTCAGAAACTTTTTTGTGATATGTGCATTCAAGCCACAGATTTGAACATTCCCTTTCGTACAGCAGTTTTGAAACACTCTTTCTGTAGTATCTGGAAGTGAACATTAGGACAGCTTTCAGGTCTATGGTGAGAAAGGAAATATCTTCAAATAAAAACTAGACAGAAGCATTCTGATAAACTTGTTTGTGAAGTGTGATCTCAGCTAACAGAGGTGGATCTTTCTTTTGATAGAGTAGTTCTGAAAAACACTTTGTTGAATCTGCAAGTGGACATTTGGATAGATTTGAAGATTTCGTTGGAAACGGGAATATCGTCATAAATCTAGACAGAATCATTCTCAGAAACGTCTTTGTCATGTTTGCATTCAACTCATAGAGTTGAACATTCCGTTTCAGAGAGCAGCTTTGAAGCACTCTTTTTGTAGTATGTGCAAGTGGATATTTGGAGCGCTCTGAGGCCTAAGGTGAAAAAGCAAATATCTTCCCGTAACCACTAGACAGAAACATTCTCAGAAACTCCTTTATGACGTATGCACTCACCTAACAGAGAAGAACCTTCCTTTTGACAGAGCAGTTTTGATACACTCTTTTTGTAGAATCTGCAAGTGGATATTTGGATAGCTGTGAAGATTTCGTTGGAAAGGGGAATATCTTCCTATAAAATCTAGACGGAAGCATTCTCAGAAACTGCTCTGTGATGTCTGCATTCAAGTCACAGAGTTGAACATTGCATTTCATAGAGCAGGTTTGAAATGCTCTTTTTGTAGTATATGGAAGTGGACGTTTCAGACGGTTTGAGGCCCATGGTGATAAAGGGAATATCTTCCCCTACAAGCTAGAAAGAAGCATTCTGTGAAACTTGTTTGTGATGTGTGTACTCAACTAACAGAGTGGAACCTTTCTTTTTACAGAGCAGTTTTGAAACACTCTTTTTGTAGAATCTGCGAGGGGATATTTGGATAGATTTCAGGATTTCGTTGGAAACGGGAATATCTTAATATAAAATCTCGGCAAAAGCATTCTCAGAAACTTCTTTGTGATATGTGCATTCAAGTCACAGAGTTGAATATTCCCTTTCACAGAGTAGGTTTGAAACACTCTTTTTGTAGCATCTGGAAGTGGACATTTGGAGTGCCTTGACTCCTACGGTGAAAAGGGAAATATCTTCCCATAAAAACTAGACAGAAGCAATCTCAGAATCTTCTTTGGGATATATGCACGCAGCTAATAGAGTTGAACCTTTCTATTGACAGAGCAGTTTTGAAACAGTCTTTCTGTGGAATCTGCAAGTGGATATTTGGATAGCTTGGAGGATTTCGTTGGAAACGGGATTACGTAGAAAAAGTAGACAGCAGCATCCTCAGAATCTTCTTTGTGATGTGTGCATTCAAGTCACAGAGTTGAACATTCCCTTTCGTACAGCAGTTTTTAAACACTCTTTCTGTAGTATCTGGAAGTGAACATTAGGACAGCTTTCAGGTCTATGGTGAGAAAGGAAATATCTTCAAATAAAAACTAGACAGAAGCATTCTCATAAACTTGTTTGTGATGTGTGAACTCAGCTAACAGAGGTGGATCTTTCTTTTGATAGAGCAGTTCTGAAAAACACTTTTTGTTGAATCTGCAAGTGGACATTTGGATAGATTTGAAGATTTCGTTGGAAACGGGAATATCTTCATATCAAATCTAGACAGCAGCATTCTCAGAAACGTCTTTGCGATGTTTGCATTCAACTCACAGAGTTGAACATTCCGTTTCAGAGAGCAGCTTTGAGGCACTCTTTTTGTAGTATGTGCAACTGGATATTTGGAGCGCTCTGAGGCCTACGGTGAAAAAGAAAATATCTTCCCATAACCACTAGACAGAAACATTCTCAGAAACTTCTTTATGACGTATGTACTCAACTAGCAGAGAAGAACTTTCCTTTTGACAGAGCATTTTTGATACATTCTTTTTGTAGTATCTGCAAGTGGATATTTGGATAGCTGTGAAGATTTCGTTGGAAACGGGAATATCTTCCTATAAAGTCTGGACAGAAGCATTCTCAGAAACTGCTCTGTGATGTCTGCATTCAAGTCACAGAGTTGAACATTGCCTTTCATAGAGCAGGTTTGAAACGCTCTTTGTGTAGTATATGGAAGTGGATGTTTCGGACGGTTGGAGGCCCATGGTGATAAAGGGAATATCTTCCCCTACAAGCTAGAAAGAAGCATTCTGTGAAAGTTGTTTGTGATGTCTGTACTCAACTAACAGAGTTGAACCTTTCTTTTTACAGAGCAGTTTTGAAACACTCTTTTTGTAGAATCTGCGAGGGGATATTTGGATAGATTTCAGGATTTCGTTGGAAACGGGAATATCTTCATAAAAAATCTCGACAGAAGCATTCTCAGAAACTTCTTTGTGATATGTGCATTCAAGTCACAGAGTTGAATATTCCCTTTCACACAGTAGGTTTGAAACACTCTTTTTGTAGTATCTGGAAGTGGACATTTGGAGCGCCTTGACGCCTACGGTGAAAAGGGAAATATCTTCCCACAAAAACTAGACAGAAGCAATCTCAGAATCTTCTTTGGGATATATGCACGCAGCTAACAGAGTTGAACCTTTCTATTGACAGAGCAGTTTTGAAACATTCTTTCTGTGGAATCTGCAAGTGGATATTTGGATAGCTTGGAGGATTTCGTTGGAAACAGGATTACGTATAAAAAGTAGACAGCAGCATCCTCAGAAACATCCTTGTGATGTGTGCATTCAAGTCACAGAGTTGAACATTCCCTTTCGTACAGCAGTTTTGAAACACTCTTTCTGTAGTATCTGGAAGTGAACTTTAGGACACCTTTCAGGTCTATAGTGAGAAAGGATATATCTTCAAATAAAAACTAGACAGAAGCATTCTCATAAACTTGTTTGTGATGTGTGAACTCAGCTAACAGAGGTGGATCTTTCTTTTGATAGAGCAGTTCTGATAAACACTTTTTGTTGAATCTGCAAGTGGACATTTGGATAGATTTGAAGATTTCGTTGGAAACGGGAATATCTTCATATCAAATCTAGACAGAAGCATTCTCGGAAACGTCTTTGTGATGTTTGCATTCAACTCATAGAGTTGAACATTCCGTTTCAGAGAGCAGCTTTGAAGCACTCTTTTTGTAGTATGTGCAAGTGGATATTTGGAGCGCTGTGAGGCCTACGGTGAAAAAGCAAATATCTTCCCATAACCACTAGACAGAAACATTCTCAGAAACTCCTTTATGACGTATGCACTCACCTAACAGAGAAGAACCTTCCTTTTGACAGAGCAGTTTTGATACACTCTTTTTGTAGAATCTGAAAGTGGATATTTGGATAGCTGTGAAGAGTTCGTTGGAAACGGGAATATCTTCCTATAAAATCTAGACAGAAGCATTCTCAGAAACTGCTCTGTGATGTCTGCATTCAAGTCACAGAGTTGAACATTGCCTTTCATAGAGCAGGTTTGAAACGCTCTTTTTGTAGTATATGGAAGTGGACGTTTCGGACGGTTTGAGGCCCATGGTGATAAAGGGAATATCTTCCCCTACAAGCTAGAAAGCAGCATTCTGTGAAACTTGTTTGTGATGTGTGCACTCAACTAACAGAGTTGAACCTTTCTCTTTACAGAGCAGTTTTGAAACACTCTTTTTGTAGAATCTACGAGGGGATATTTGGATACATTTCAGGATTTCGCTGGAAACGGGAATATCTTCATATAAAATCTCGACAGAAGCACTCTCAGAAACTTCTTTGTGATATGTGCATTCAAGTCACAGAGTTGAATATTCCCTTTCACAGAGTAGGTTTGAAACACTCTTTTTGTAGTGTCTGGAAGTGGACATTTGGAGCGCCTTGACACCTACGGTGAAAAGGGAAATATCTTCCCATAAAAACTAGACAGAAGCAATCTCAGAATCTTCTTTGGGATATATGCACGCAGCTAACAGAGTTGAACCTTTCTATTGACAGAGCAGTTTTGAAACAGTCTTTCTGAGGAATCTGCAAGTGGATATTTGGATAGCTTGGAGGATTTCGTTGGAAACGGGATTACGTATAAAAAGTAGACAGCAGCATCCTCAGAAACTTCTTTGTGATGTGTGCATTCAAGTCACAGGGTTGAACATTCCCTTTCGTACAGCAGTTTTGAAACACTCTTTCTATAGTATCTGGAAGTGAACATTAGGACAGCTTTCACGTCTATGGTGAGAAAGGAAATATCTTCAAATAAAAACTAGACAGAAGCATTCTCATAAACTTGTTTGTGATGTGTGAACTCAGCTAACAGAGGTGGATCTTTCTTTTGATAGAGCAGTTCTGAAAAACACTTTTTGTTGAATCTGCAAGCGGACATTTGGATATATTTGAAGATTTCGTTGGAAACGGGAATATCTTCATATCAAATCTAGACAGAAGCATTCTCAGAAACGTCTTTGTGATGTTTGCATTCAACTCATAGAGTTGAACGTTCCGTTTCAGAGAGCAGCTTTGAAGCACTCTTTTTGTAGTATGTGCAAGTGGATATTTGGAGCGCTCTGAGGCCTACGGTGAAAAAGCAAATATCTTCCCATAACCACTAGACAGAAACATTCTCAGAAACTCCTTTATGACGTATGCACTCACCTAACAGAGAAGAACCTTCCTTTTGACAGAGCAGTTTTGATACACTCTTTTTGTAGAACCTGCAAGTGGATATTTGGATAGCTGTGAAGATTTCGTTGGAAACGGTAATATCTTCCTATAAAATCTAGACAGAAGCATTCTCAGAAACTGCTCTGTGATGTCTGCATTCAAGTCACAGAGTTGAACATTGCCTTTCATAGAGCAGGTTTGAAACGCTCTTTTTGTAGTATATGGAAGTGGACGTTTCGGACGGTTTGAGTCCCATGGTGATAAAGGGAATATCTTCCACCACAAGCTAGAAAGAAGCATTCTGTGAAACTTGTTTGTGATGTGTGTACTCAACTAACAGAGTTGAACCTTTCTTTTTAAAGAGCAGTTTTGAAACACTCTTTTTGTAGAATCTGCGAGGGGATATTTGGATAGATTTCAGGATTTCGTTGGAAACGGGAATATCTTCATATGAAATCTCGACAGAAGCATTCTCAGAAACTTCCTTGTGATATGTGCATTCAAGTCACAGAGTTGAATATTCCCTTTCACAGAGTAGGTTTGAAACACTCTTTTTGTAGTATCTGGAAGTGGACATTTGGAGCGCCTTGACGCCTACGGTGAAAAGGGAAGTATCTTCCCATCAAAACTAGACAGAAGCAATCTCAGAATCTTCTTTGGGATATACGCACGCAGCTAACAGAGTTGAACCTTTCTATTGACAGAGCAGTTTTGAAACAGTCTTTCTGTGGAATCTGCAAGTGGATATTTGGATAGCTTGGAGGATTTCGTTGGAAACGGGATTACGTATAAAAAGTAGACAGCAGCATCCTCAGAAACTTCTTTGTGATGTGTGCATTCAAGTCACAGAGTTGAACATTCCCTTTCGTACAGCAGCTTTGAAACACTCTTTCTGTAGTATCTGGAAGTGAACATTAGGACAGCTTTCAGGTCTGTGGTGAAAAAGGGAATATCTTCAAATAAAAACTAGACAGAAGCATTCTCATAAACTTGTTTGTGATGTGTGAACTCAGCTAACAGAGGTGGATCTTTCTTTTGATAGAGCAGTTCTGAAAAACACTTTTTGTTGAATCTGCAAGTGGACATTTGGATAGATTTGAAGATTTCGTTGGAAACGGGAATATCTTCATATCAAATCTAGACAGAAGCATTCTCAGAAACGTCTTTGCGATGTTTGCATTCAACTCATAGAGTTGAACATTCCGTTTCAGAGAGCAGCTTTGAGGCACTCTTTTTGTAGTATGTGCAAGTGGATATTTGGAGCGCTCTGAGGCTTACGGTGAAAAAGCAAATATCTTCCCATAACCACTAGTCAGAAACATTCTCAGAAACTCCTTTATGACGTATGCACTCACCTAACAGAGAAGAACCTTCCTTTTGACAGAGCAGTTTTGATACACTCTTTTTGTAGAATCTGCAAGTGGATATTTGGATAGCTGTGAAGATTTCGTTGGAATCGGGAATATCTTCCTACAAAATCTAGACAGAAGCATTCTCAGAAACTGCTCTGTGATGTCTGCATTCAAGTCATAGAGTTGAACATTGCCTTTCATAGAGCAGGTTTGAAACGCTCTTTTTGTAGTATATGGAAGTGGACGTTTCGGACGGTTTGAGGCCCATGGTGATAAAGGGAATATGTTCCCCTACAAGCTAGAAAGAAGCATTCTATGAAACTTGTTTGTGATGTGTGTACTCAACTAACAGAGTTGAACCTTTCTTTTTAAAGAGCAGTTTTGAAACACTCTTTTTGTAGAATCTGTGAGGGGATATTTGGATAGATTTGAGGATTTCGTTGGGAACGGGAATATCTTCATATAAAATCTCGACAGAAACATTCTCAGAAACCTCTTTGTGATATGTGCATTCAAGTCACAGAGTTGAATATTCCCTTTGACAGAGTAGGTTTGAAACACTCCTTTTGTAGTATCTGGAAGTGGACATTTGGAGCACCTTGACGCCTACGGTGAAAAGGGAAATATCTTCCCATAAAAACTAGACAGAAGCAATCTCAGAATCTTCTTTGGGATATATGCACGCAGCTAACAGAGTTGAACCTTTCTATTGACAGAGCAGTTTTGAAAGAGTCTTTCTGTGGAATCTGCAAGTGGATATTTGGATAGCTTGGAGGATTTCGTTGGAAACGGGATTACGTATAAAAAGTAGACAGCAGCATCCTCAGAAACTCCTTTGTGATGTGTGCATTCAAGTCACAGAGTTGAACATTCCCTTTCGTACAGCAGTTTTGAAACACTCTTTCTGTAGTATATGGAAGTGAACATTAGGACAGCTTTCAGCTCTATGGTGAGAAAGGAAATATCTTCAAATAAAAACTAGACAGAAGCATTCTCATAAACTTGTTTGTGATGTGTGAACTCAGCTAACAGAGGTGGATCTTTCTTTTGATAGAGCAGTTCTGAAAAACACTTTTTGTTGAATCTGCAAGTGGACATTTGGATAGATATGAAGATTTCGTTGGAAACGGGAATATCTTCATATCAAATCTAGACAGAAGCATTCTCAGAAACGTCTTTGTGATGTTTGCATTCAACTCATAGAGTTGAACATTCCGTTTCAGAGAGCAGCTTTGAGGCACTCTTTTTGTAGTATGTGCAAGTGGATATTTGGAGCGCTCTGAGGCCTACGGTGAAAAAGCAAATATCTTCCCATGACCACTAGACAGAAACATTCTCAGAAACTCCTTTATGACGTATGCACTCACCTAACAGAAAAGAACCTTCCTTTTGACAGAGCAGTTTTGATACACTCTTTTTGTAGAATCTGCAAGTGGATATTTGGATAGCTGTGAAGATTTCGTTGGAAACTTGAATATCTTCCTATAAAATCTAGACAGAAGCATTCTCAGTAAACTGCTCTGTGATGTCTGCATTCAAGTCACAGAGTTGAACATTGCCTTTCATGGAGCAGGTTTGAAACGCTCTTTTTGTAGTATATGGAAGTGGACTTATCGGACGGTTTGAGGCCCACGGTGATAAAGGGAATATCTTCCCCTACAAGCTAGAAAGAAGCATTCTGTGAAACTTGTTTGTGATGTGTGTACTCAACTAACAGAGTTGAACCTTTCTTTTTACAGCGCAGTTTTGAAACACTCTTTTTGTAGAATCTGCGAGGGGATATTTGGATAGATTTCAGGATTTCGTTGGAAACGGGAATATCTTCATATAAAATCTCGACAGAAGAATTCTCAGAAACTTCTTTGTGATATCTGCATTCAAGTGACAGAGTTGAATATTCCCTTTCACAGAGTAGGTTTGAAACACTCTTTTTGTAGTATCTGGAAGTGGACATTTTGAGCGCCTTGACACCTACGGTGAAAAGGGAAATATCTTCCCATAAAAACTAGACAGAAAGCAATCTCAGAATCTTCTTTGGGATATATGCACGCAGCTAACAGAGTTGAACCTTTCTATTGACAGAGCAGTTTTGTAACAGTTTTTCTGTGGAATCTGCAAGTGGATATTTGGATAGCTTGGAGGATTTCGTTGGAAACGGGTTTACGTATAAAAAGTAGACAGTAGCATCCTCAGAAACTTCTTTGTTATGTGTGCATTCAAGTCACAGAGTTGAACATTCCCTTTCGTACAGCAGTTTTGAAACACTCTTTCTGTAGTATCTGGAAGTGAACATTAGGACAGCTTTCAGCTCTATGGTGAGAAAGGAAATATCTTCAAATAAAAACTAGACAGAAGCATTCTCATAAACTTGTTTGTGATGTGTGAACTCAGCTAACAGAGGTGGATCTTTCTTTTGATAGAGCAGTTCTGAAAAACACTTTTTGTTGAATCTGCAAGTGGATATTTGGATAGATTGAAGATTTCGTTGGAAACGGGAATATCTTCATATCAAATCTAGACAGAAGCATTCTCAGAAACGTCTTTGTGATGTTTGCATTCAACTCATAGAGTTGAACATTCCCTTCCATAGAGCAGATATGAAGCACTCTTTTTGTAGCATGTGCAAGTGGACATTTGGAGCGCCCTGAGACCTACGGGGAAAAAGCAAATATCTTCCCATAACCACTAGACAGAAACATTCTCAGAAACTCCTTTATGAAGTATGCACTCACCTAACAGAGAAGAACCTTCCTTTTGACAGAGCAGTTTTGATAAACTCTTTTTGTAGAATCTGCAAGTGGATATTTGGATAGCTGTGAAGATTTCGTTGGAAACGGGAATATCTTCCTATAAAATACTAGACAGAAGCATTCTCAGAAACTGCTCTGTGATGTCTGCATTCAAGTCACAGAATTGAACATTGCCTTTCATAGAGCAGGTTTGAAACGCTCTTTTTGTACTATATGGAAGAGGACGTTTCGGACGGTTTGAGGACCATGGTGATAAAGGGAATATCTTCCCCTACAAGCTAGAAAGAAGCATTGTGTGAAACTAGTTTGGGATGTGTGTACTCAACTAACAGAGTTGAACCTTTCTTTTTACAGAGCAGTTTTGAAACACTCTTTTTGTAGAATCTGCGAGGGGATATTTGGATAGATTTCAGGATTTCGTTGGAAACGGGAATATCTTCATATAAAAGTCTCGACAGAAGCATTCTCAGAAACTTCTTTGTGATATCTGCATTCAAGTCACAGAGTTGAATATTCCCTTTCACCGAGTAGGTTTGAAACACTCTTTTTGTAGTATCTGGAAGTGGACATTTGGAGCGCCTTGACGCCTACGGTGAAAAGGGAAATATCTTCCCATAAAAACTAGACAGAAGCAATCTCAGAATCTTCTTTGTGATATATGCACGCAGCTAACAGAGTTGAACCTTTCTATTGACTGAGCAGATTTGAAACAGTCTTTCTGTGGAATCTGCAAGTGGATATTTGGATAGCTTGGAGGATTTCATTGGAAACGGGATTACGTATAAAAAGTAGACAGCAGCATCCTCAGAAACTTCTTTGTGATGTGTGCATTCAAGTCACAGAGTTGAACATTCCCTTTCGTACAGCAGTTTTGAAACACTCTTTCTGTAGTATCTGGAAGTGAACATTAGGACAGCTTTCAGGTCTATGGTGAGAAAGGAAATACCTTCCAATAAAAACTAGACAGAAGCATTCTCATAAACTTGTTTGTGATGTGTGAACTCAGCTAACAGAGGTGGATCTTTCTTTTGATAGAGCAGTTCTGAAAAACACTTTTTGTTGAATCTGCAAGTGGACATTTGGATAGAGTTGAAGATTTCGTTGGAAACGGGAATATCTTCATATCAAATCTAGACAGAAGCATTCTCAGAAACGTCTTTGTGATGTTTGCATTCAACTCATAGAGTTGAACATTCCCTTTCAGAGAGCAGCTTTGAAGTACTCTTTTTGTAGCATGTGCAAGTGGACATTTCGAGCGCCCTGAGGCCTACGGGGAAAAAGCAAATATCTTCCTATAACCACTAGACAGAAACATTCTCAGAAACTGCTTTAGGACGTATGCACTCACCTAACAGAGAAGAACCTTCCTTTTGACAGAGCAGTTTTGATACACTCTTTTTGTAGAATCTGCAAGTGGATATTTGGATAGCTGTGAAGATTTCGTTGGAAACGGGAATATCTTCCTATAAAATCTAGACAGAAGCATTCTCAGAAACTGCTCTGTGATGTCTGCATTCAAGTCACAGAGTTGAACATTGCCTTTCATAGAGCAGGTTTGAAACGCTCTTTTTGTAGTATAGGGAAGTGGATGTTTCGGACGGTTGGAGGCCCATGGTGATAAAGGGAATATCTTCCCCTACAAGCTAGAAAGAAGCATTCTGTGAAACTTGTTTGTGATGTGTGTACTCAACTAACAGAGTTGAACCTTTCTTTTTACAGAGCAGTTTTGAAACACTCTTTTTGTAGAATCTGTGAGGGGATATTTGGATAGATTTCAGGATTTCGTTGGAAACGAGAATATCTTCATATAAAATCTCGACAGAAGCATTCTCAGAAACTTCCTTGTGATATCTGCATTCAAGTCACAGAGTTGAATATTCCCTTTCACAGAGTAGGTTTCAAACACTCTTTTTATAGTATCTGGAAGTGGACATTTGGAGCGCCTTGACGCCTACGGTGAAAAGGGAAATATCTTCCCATAAAAACTAGACAGAAGCAATCTGAGAATCTTCTTTGGGATATATGCACGCAGCTAACAGAGTTGAACCTTTCTGTTGACAGAGCAGTTTTGAAACAGTCTTTCTGTGGAATCTGCAAGTGGATATTTGGATAGATTGGAGGATTTCGTTGGAAACGGGATTACGTATAAAAAGTAGACTGCAGCATCCTCAGAAACATCCTTGTGATGTGTGCATTCAAGTCACAGAGTTGAACATTCCCTTTCGTACAGCAGTTTTGAAACACTCTTTCTGTAGTATCTGGAAGTGAACTTTATGAGAGCTTTCAGGTCTATAGTGAGAAAGGATATATCTTCAAATAAAAACTAGACAGATAAGCATTCTCATAAACTTGTTTGTGATGTGTGAACTCAGCTAACAGAGGTGGATCTTTCTTTTGATAGAGCAGTTCTGAAAAACACTTTTTGTTGAATCTGCAAGTGGACATTAGGATAGATTTGAAGATTTCGTTGGAAACGGGAATATCTTCATATCAAATCTAGACAGAAGCATTCTCAGAAACGTCTTTGTGATGTTTGCATTCAACTCATAGAGTCGAACATTCCGTTTCAGAGAGCAGCTTTGAGGCACTCTTTTTGTAGTATGTGCAAGTGGATATTTGGAGCGCTCTGAGGCCTACGGTGAAAAAGCAAATATCTTCCCATAACCACTAGACAGAAACATTCTCAGAAACTCCTTTATGACGTATGCACTCACCTAACAGAGGAGAACCTTCCTTTCGACAGAACAGTTTTGATACACTCTTTTTGTAGAATCTGCAAGTGGATATTTGGATAGCTGTGAAGATTTCGTTGGAAACGGGAATATCTTCCTATAAAATCTAGACAGAAGCATTCTCAGAAACTGCTCTGTGATGTCTGCATTCAAGTCACAGAGTTGAACATTGCCTTTCATAGAGCAGGTTTGAAACGCTCTTTTTGTAGTATATGGAAGTGGACTTTTCGGACGGTTTGAGGCCCATGGTGATAAAGGGAATATCTTCCACTACAAGCTAGAAAGAAGCATTCTGTGAAACTTGTTTGTGATGTGTGTACTCAAGTAACAGAGTTGAACCTTTCTTTTTACAGAGCAGTTTTGAAACACTCTTTTTGTAGAATCTGCGAGGGGATATTTGGATAGATTTCAGGATTTCGTTGGAAAAGGTAATATCTTCATATAAAATCTCGACAGAAGCATTCTCAGAAACTTCTTTGTGATATGTGCATTCAAGTCACAGAGTTGAATATTCCCTTTCACAGAGTAGGTTTGAAACACTCTTTTTGTAGTATCTGGAAGTGGACATTTGGAGCACCTTGACACCTACGGTGAAAAGGGAAATATCTTCCCATAAAAACTAGACAGAAGCAATCTCAAAATCTTCTTTGGGATATATGCACGCAGCTAACAGAGTTGAACCTTTCTATTGACAGAGCAGTTTTGAAACAGTCTTTCTGTGGAATCTGCAAGTGGGTATTTGGATAGCTTGGAGGATTTCTTTGGAAACGGGATTACGTATAAAAAGTAGACAGCAGCATCCTCAGAAATTTCCTTGTGATGTGTGCATTCAAGTCACAGAGTTGAACATTCCCTTTCGTACAGCAGTTTTGAAACACTCTTTCTGTAGTATCTGGAAGTGAACTTTAGGAGAGCTTTCAGGTCTATAGTGAGAAAGGATATATCTTCAAATAAAAACTAGACAGAAGCATTCTCATAAACTTGTTTGTGATGTGTGAACTCAGCTAACAGAGGTGGATCTTTCTTTTGATAGAGCAGTTCTGAAAAACACTTTTTGTTGAATCTGCAAGTGGACATTTGGATAGATTTGAAGATTTCGTTGGAAAGGGGAATATCTTCATATCAAATCTAGACAGAAGCATTCTCAGAAACGTCTTTGTGATGTTTGCATTCAACTCATAGAGTTGAACATTCGGTTTCAGAGAGCAGCTTTGAGGCACTCTTTTTGTAGTATGTGCAAGTGGATATTTGGAGCGCTCTGAGGCCTACGGTGAAAAAGCAAATATCTTCCCATAACCACTAGACAGATAAACATTCTCAGAAACTCCTTTATGACGTATGCACTCACCTAACAGAAAAGAACCTTCCTTTTGACAGAGCAGTTTTGATACACTCTTTTTGTAGAATCTGCAAGTGGATATTTGGATAGCTGTGAAGGTTTCGTTGGAAACGGGAATATCTTCCTATAAAATCTAGACAGAAGCATTCTCAGAAACTGCTCTGTGATGTCTGCATTCAAGTCACAGAGTTGAACATTGCCTTTCATAGAGCCGGTTTGAAACGCTCTTTTTGTAGTATATGGAAGTGGATGTTTCGGACGGTTGGAGGCCCATGGTGATAAAGGGAATATCTTCCCCTACAAGATAGAAAGAAAGCATTGTGTGAAACTTGTTTGTGATGTGTGTACTCAACTAACAGAGTTGAACCTTTCTTTTCACAGAGCAGTTTTGAAACACTCTTTTTGTAGAATCTGCGAGGAGATATTTGGATAGATTTCAGCATTTGGTTGGAAACGGGAATATCTTCATGTAAAATCTCGACAGAAGCATTCTCAGAAACTTCTTTGTGATATCTGCATTCAAGTCACAGAGTTGAATATTGCCTTTCACATAGTAGGTTTGAAATACTCTTTTTGTAGTATCTGGAAGTGGACATTTGGAGCGCCTTGACACCTACGGTGAAAAGGGAAATATCTTCCCATAAAAACTAGACAGAAGCAATCTCAGAATTTTCTTTGGGATATATGCACGCAGCTAAAAGAGTTGAACCTTTCTATTGACAGAGCAGTTTTGAAACAGTCTTTCTGTGGAATCTGCAAGTGGATATTTGGATAGCTTGGAGGATTTCGTTGGAAACGGGATTACGTATAAAAAGTAGACAGCAGCATCCTCAGAAACTACTTTGTGATGTGTGCATTCAAGTCACAGAGTTGAACATTCCCTTTCGTACAGCAGTGTTGAAACACTCTTTCTGTAGTATCTGGAAGTGAACATTAGGACAGCTTTCAGGTCTATGGTGAGAAAGGAAATATCTTCAAATAAAAACTAGACAGAAGCATTCTCATAAACTTGTTTGTGATGTGTGAACTCAGCTAACAGACCTGGATCTTTCTTTTGATACAGCAGTTTTGAAAAACACTTTTTGTTGAATCTGCAAGTGGACATTTGGATAGATATGAAGATTTCGTTGGAAACGGGAATATCTTCATATCAAATCTAGACAGAAGCATTCTCAGAAACGTCTTTGTGATGTTTGCATTCAACTCATAGAGTTGAACATTCGGTTTCAGAGAGCAGCTTTGAAGCACTCTTTTTGTAGCATGTGCAAGTGGACATTTGGAGCGCCCTGAGGCCTACGGGGAAAAAGCAAATATCTTCCCATAACCACTAGACAGAAACATTCTCAGAAACTTCTTTATGACGTATGTACTCAACTAACCGAGAAGAACCTTCCTTTTGACAGAGCAGTTTTGATACACTCTTTTTGTAGACTCTGCAAGTGGATATTTGGATATCAGTGAAGAATTCGTTGGAAACGGGAATATCTTCCTATAAAATCTAAACAGAAGCATTCTCAGAAACTGCTCTGTGATGTCTGCATTCAAGTCACAGAGTTGAACATTGCCTTTCATAGAGCAGGTTTGAAACACTCTTTTTTTAGTATATGGAAGTGGACGTTTCGGACGGTTTGAGGCCCATGGTGATAAAGGAAATATCTTCACCTACAAGGTAGAAAGAAGCATTCTGTGAAACTTGTTTGTGATGTGTGTACTCAACTAACAGAGTTGAACCTTTCTTTTTACAGAGCAGTTTTGAAACACTCTTTTTGTAGAATCTGCGAGGGGATATTTGGATACATTTCAGGATTTCGTTGGAAAGGGGAATATCTTCATATAAAATCTCGACAGATGCATTCTCGGAAGCTTCTTTGTGATATGTGCATTCAAGTCACAAAGTTGAATATTCCCTTTCACAGAGTAGGTTTGAAACACTCTTTTTCTAGTATCTGGAAGTGGACATTTGGAGCGCCTTGATGCCTACGGTGAAAAGGGAAATATCTTCTCATAAAAAGTAGACAGAAGCAATCTGAGAATCTTCTTTGGGATATATGCACGCAGCTAACACAGTTGAACCTTTCTATTGAAAGAGCAGTTTAGAAACAGTCTTTCTGTGGAATCTGCAAGTGGATATTTGGATAGCTGTGAAGATTTCGTTGGAAACAGGAATATCTTCCTATAAAGGCTGGACAGAAGCATCCTCAGAAACTTCTTTGTGATGTGTGCATTCAAGTCACAGAGTTGAACATTCCCTTTCGTACAGCAGTTTTGAAACACTCTGTAGTATCTGGAAGTGAACATTAGGACAGCTTTCAGGTCTATGGTGAGAAAGGAAATATCTTCAAATAAAAACTAGACAGAAGCATTCTCATCAACTTGTTTGTGATGTGTGAACTCAGCTAACAGAGGTGGATCTTTCTTTTGATAGGGCAGTTCTGAAAAACACTTTTTGTTGAATCTGCAAGTGGACATTTGGATAGATTTGAAGATTTCGTTGGAAACGGGAATATCCTCATATCAAATCTAGACAGAAGCATTCTCAGAAACGTCTTTGTGATGTTAGCATTCAACTCATAGAGTTGAACATTCCCTTTCAGAGAGCAGCTTTGAAGCACTCTTTTTGTACTATGTGCAAGTGGATATTTGGAGCGCTCTGAGGCCTATGGTGAAAAAGCAAATATCTTCCCATAACCACTAGACAGAAACATTCTCAGAAACTCCTTTATGACGTATGCACTCACCTAACAGAGAAGAACCTTCCTTTTGACAGAGCAGTTTTGATACACTCTTTTTGTAGAATCTGCAAGTGGATATTTGGATAGCTGTGAAGATTTCGTTGGAAAGGGGAATATCTTCCTATAAAATTTAGACGGAAGCATTCTCAGAAACTGCTCTGTGATGTCTGCATTGAAGTCACAGGGTTGAACATTGCCTTTCATAGAGCAGGTTTGAAACGCTCTTTTTGTAGTATATGGAAGTGGACGTTTCGGACGGTTTGAGGCCCATGGTGATAAAGGGAATATCTTCCCCTACAAGCTAGAAAGAAGCATTCTGTGAAACTTGTTTTTGATGTGTGTACTCAACTAACAGAGTTGAACCTTTCTTTTTACAGAGCAGTTTTGAAACACTCTTTTTGTAGAATCTGCGAGGGGATATTTGGATACATTTCAGCATTTCGTTGGAAACGGGAATATCTTCATATAAAATCTCGACAGAAGCATTCTCAGAAACTTCTTTGTGATATGTACATTCAAGTCACAGAGTTGAATATTCCCTTTCACAGAGTAGGTTTGAAACACTCTTTTTGTAGTATCTGGAAGTGGACATTTGGAGCGCCTTGACACCTACGGTGAAAAGGGAAATATCTTCCCATAAAAACTAGACAGAAGCAATCTCAGAATCTTCTTTGGGATATATGCACGCAGCTAACAGAGTTGAACCTTTCTATTGACAGAGCAGTTTTGAAACAGTCTTTCTGTGGAATCTGCAAGTGGATATTTGGATAGAGTGGAGGATTTCGTTGGAAACGGGATTACGTATAAAAAGTAGACCGCAGCATCCTCAGAAACTTCTTTGTGATGTGTGCATTCAAGTCACAGAGTTGAACATTCCCTTTCGTACAGCAGTTTTGAAACACTCTTTCTGTAGTATCTGGAAGTGAACATTAGGACAGCTTTCAGGTCTATGGTGAGAAAGGAAGCATCTTCAAATAAAAACTAGACAGAAGCATTCTCATAAACTTGTTTGTGATGTGTGAACTCATCTAACAGAGGTGGATCTTTCTTTTGATAGAGCAGTTCTGAAAAACACTTTTTGTTGAATCTGCAAGTGGACATTTGGATAGATTTGAAGATTTCGTTGGAAACGGGAATATCTTCATATCAAATGCTAGACAGAAGCATTCTCAGAAACGTCTTTGTGATGTTTGCATTCAACTCATAGAGTTGAACATTCCGTTTCAGAGACCAGCTTTGAAGCACTCTTTTTGTAGTATGTGCACGTGGATATTTGGAGCGCTCTGAGGCCTACGGTGAAAAAGCAAATATCTTCCCATAACCACTAGACAGAAACATTCTCAGAAACTCCTTTATGACGTATGCACTCACCTAACAGAGAAGAACCTTCCTTTTGACAGAGCAGTTTTGATACACTCTTTTTGTAGAATCTGCAAGTGGATATTTTGATAGCTGTGAAGATTTCGTTGGAAACGGGAATATCTTCCTATAAAATCTAGACAGAAGCATTCTCAGAAACTGCTCTGTGATGTCTGCATTCAAGTCACAGAGTTGAACATTGCCTTTCATAGAGCAGGTTTGAAACGCTCTTTTTGTAGTATATGGAAGTGGATGTTTCGGACGGTTTGAGGCCCACGGTGATAAAGGGAATATCTTCCCCTACAAGCTAGAAAGAAGCATTCTGTGAATCTTGTTTGTGATGTGTGTACTCAACTAACAGGGTTGAACCTTTCTTTTTACAGAGCAGTTTTGAAACACTCTTTTTGTAGAATCTGCGAGGGGATATTTGGATAGATTTCAGGATTTCGTTGGAAACGGGAATATCTTCATATAAAATCTCGACAGAAGCATTCTCAGAAACTTCCTTGTGATATGTGCATTCAAGTCACAGAGTTGAATATTCCCTTTCACAGAGTAGGTTTGAAACACTCTTTTTGTAGTATCTGGAAGTGGACATTTGGAGCGCCTTGACGCCTACAGTGAAAAGGGAAATATCTTCCCATAAAAACTAGACAGAAGCTATCTCAGAATCTTCTTTGGGATATATGCACGCAGCTAACAGAGTTGAACCTTTCTATTGACAGAGCAGTTTTGAAACAGTCTTTCTGTGGAATCTGCAAGTGGATATTTGGATAGCTTGGAGGATTTCGTTGGAAACGGGATTACGTATAAAAAGTAGACAGCAGCATCCTCAGAAACTTCTTTGTGATGTGTGCATTCAAGTCACAGAGTTGAACATCACCTTTCGTACAGCAGTTTTGAAACACTCTTTCTGTAGTATCTGGAAGTGAACATTAGGATAGCTTTCAGGTCTATGGTGAGAAAGGAAATATCTTCAAATAAAAACTAGACAGAAGCATTCTCATAAACTTGTTTGTGAGGTGTGAACTCAGCTAACAGAGGTGGATCTTACTTTTGATAGAGCAGTTCTGAAAAACACTTTTTGTTGAATCTGCAAGTGGACATTTGGATAGATTTGAAGATTTCGTTGGAAACGGGAATATCTTCATATCAAATCTAGACAGAAGCATTCTCAGAAACGTCTTTGTGATGTTTGCATTCAACTCATAGAGTTGAACATTCCGTTTCAGAGAGCTGCTTTGAAGCACTCTTTTTGTAGCATGTGCAAGTGGATATTTGGAGCGCTCTGAGGCCTACGGTGAAAAAGCAAATATCTTCCCATAACCACTAGACAGAAACATTCTCAGAAACTTCTTTATGACGTATGTACTCAACTAGCAGAGAAGAACTTTCCTTTTGACAGAGCATTTTTGATACACTCTTTTTGCAGTATCTGCAAGTGTATATTTGGATAGCTGTGAAGATTTCTTTGGAAACGGGAATATCTTCCTATAAAGTCTGGACAGAAGCATTCTCAGAAACTGCTCTGTGATGTCTGCATTCAAGTCACAGAGTTGAACATTGCCTTTCATAGAGCAGGTTTGAAATGCTCTTTTTGTAGTATATGGAAGTGGACGTTTCAGACGGTTTGAGGCCCATGGTGATAAAGGGAATATCTTCCCCTTCAAGCTAGAAAGAAGCATTCTGTGAAACTTGTTTGTGATGTTTGTACTCAACTAACAGAGTTGAACCTTTCTTTTTACAGAGCAGTTTTGAAACACTCTTTTTGTAGAATCTGCGAGGGGATATTTGGATACATTTCAGGATTTCGTTGGAAACGGGAATATCTTCATAGAAAATCTCGACAAAAGCATTCTCAGAAACTTCCTTGTGATATGTGCATTCAAGTCACAGAGTTGAATATTCCCTTTCATAGAGTAGGTTTGAAACACTCTTTTTGTAGTATCTGGAAGTGGACATTTGGAGCGCCTTGACGCCTACGGTGAAAAGGGAAATATCTTCCCATAAAAACTAGACAGAAGCAATCTCAGAATCTGCTTTGGGATATATGCACGCAGCTAACAGAGTTGAACCTTTCTATTGACAGAGCAGTTTTGAAACAGTCTTTCTGTGGAATCTGCAAGTGGATATTTGGATAGCTTGGAGGATTTCGTTGGAAACGGGATTAAGTATAAAAAGTAGACAGCTGCATCCTCAGAAACTTCTTTGTGATGTGTGCATTCAAGTCACAGAGTTGAACATTCCCTTTCGTACAGCAGTTTTGAAACACTCTTTCTGTAGTATCTGGAAGTGAACATTAGGACAGCTTTCAGCTCTATGGTGAGAAAGGAAATATCTTCAAATAAAAACTAGACAGAAGCATTCTCATAAACTTGTTCGTGATGTGTGAACTCAGCTAACACACGTCGATCTTTCTTTTGATAGAGCAGTTCTGAAAAACACTTTTTGTTGAATCTGCAAGAGGACATTTGGATAGATTTGAAGATTTCGTTGGAAACGGGAATATCTTCATATCAAATCTAGACAGAAGCTTTCTCAGAAACGTCTTTGTGATGTTTGCATTCAACTCATAGAGTTGAACATTCCGTTTCAGAGAACAGCTTTGAGGCACTCTTTTTGTAGTATGTGCAAGTGGATATTTGGAGCGCTCTGAGGCCTACGGTGAAAAAGCAAATATCTTCCCATAACCACTAGACAGAAACTTTCTCAGAAACTCCTTTATGACGGTATGCACTCACCTAACAGAGAAGAACCTTCCTTTTGACAGAGCAGTTTTGATACACTCTTTTTGTAGAATCTGCAAGTGGATATTTGGATACCTGTGAAGATTTCGTTGGAAACGGGAATATCTTCCTATAAAATCTAGACAGAAGCATTCTCAGCAAACTGCTCTGTGATGTCTGCATTCAAGTCACAGAGTTGAACATTGCCTTTCATAGAGCAGGTTTGAAACGCTCTTTTTGTAGTATATGGAAGTGGACTTATCGGACGGTTTGAGGCCCATGGTGATAAAGGGAATATCTTCCCCTACAAGCTAGAAAGAAGCATTCTGTGAAACTTGTTTGTGATGTGTGTACTCAACTAACAGAGTTGAACCTTTCTTTTTACAGAGCAGTTTTGAAACACTCTTTTTGTAGAATCTGCGAGGGGATATTTGAATAGATTTCAGGATTTCGTTGGAAACGGGAATATCTTCATATAAAATCTCGACAGAAGCATTCTCAGAAACTTCTTTGTGATATGTGCATTGAATTCACAGAGTTGAATATTCCCTTTCACAGAGTAGGTTTGAAACACTCTTTTTGTAGTATCTGGAAGTGGACATTTGGAGCGCCTTGACACCTACGGTGAAAAGGGAAATATCTTCCCATAAAAACTAGACAGAAGCAATCTCAGAATCTTCTTTGGGATATATGCACGCAGCTAACAGAGTTGAACCTTTCTATTGACAGAGCAGTTTTGAAACAGTCTTTCTGTGGAATCTGCAAGTGGATATTTGGATAGCATGGAGGATTTCGTTGGAAACGGGATTACGTATAAAAGTAGACAGCAGCATCCTCAGAAACATCCTTGTGATGTGTGCATTCAAGTCACAGAGTTGAACATTCCCTTTCGTACAGCAGTTTTGAAACACTCTTTCTGTAGTATCTGGAAGTGAACATTAGGACAGCTTTCAGGTCTATGGTGAGAAAGGAAATATCTTCTAATAAAAACAAGACAGAAGCATTCTCATAAACTTGTTTGTTATGTGTGAACTCAGCTAACACACGTGGATCTTTCTTTTGATAGAGCAGTTCTGAAAAACAATTTTTGTTGAATCTGCAAGTGGACATTTGGGTAGATTTGAAGATTTCGTTGGAAACGAGAATATCTTCATATCAAATCTAGACAGAAGCATTCTCGGAAACGTCTTTGCGATGTTTGCATTCAACTCATAGTGTTGAACATTCCGTTTCAGAGAGCAGCTTTGAGGCACTCATTTTGTAGTATGTGCAAGTGGATATTTGGAGCGCTCTGAGGCCTTCGGTGAAAAAGCAAATATCTTCCCATAACCACTAGACAGAAACATTCTCAGAAACTCCTTTATGACGTATGCACTCACCTAACAGAGAAGAACCTTCCTTTTGACAGAGCAGTTTTCATACACTCTTTTGGTAGAATCTGCAAGTGGATATTTGGATAGCTGTGAAGATTTCGTTGGAAACGGGAATATCTTCCTATAAAATCTAGACAGAAGCATTCTCAGAAACTGCTCTGTGATGTCTGCATTCAAGTCACAGTAGTTGAACATTGCCTTTCATAGAGCAGGTTTGAAACGCTCTTTTTGTAGTATATGGAAGTGGACTTATCGGACGGTTTGAGGCCCATGGTGATAAAGGGAATATCTTCCCCTACAAGCTAGAAAGAAGCATTGTGTGAAACTTGTTTGTGATGTGTGTACTCAACTAACAGAGTTGAACCTTTCTTTTTACAGAGCAGTTTTGAAACACTCTTTTTGTAGAATCTGCAAGGGGATATTTGGATACATTTCAGGATTTCGTTGGAAACGGGAATATCTTCATATAAAATCTCGACAGAAGCATTCTCAGAAACTTCCTTGAGATATGTGCATTCAAGTCACAGAGTTGAATATTCCCTTTCACAGAGTAGGTTTGAAACACTCTTTTTGTAGTATCTGGAAGTGGACATTTGGAGCGCCTTGACGCCTACGGTGAAAAGGGAAATATCTTCCCATAAAAACTAGACAGAAGCAATCTCAGAATCTTCTTTGGGATATATGCACGCAGCTAACAGAGTTGAACCTTTCTATTGACAGAGCAGTTTTGAAACAGTCTTTCTGTGGAATCTGCAAGTGGATATTTGGATAGCCTGGAGGATTTCGTTGGAAACGGGATTACGTATAAAAAGTAGACAGCAGCATCCTCAGAAACTTCTTTGTGATGTGTGCATTCAAGTCACATAGTTGAACATTCCCTTTCGTACAGCAGTTTTGAAACACTCTTTCTGTAGTATCTGGAAGTGAACATTAGGACAGCTTTCAGGTCTATGGTGAGAAAGGAAATATCTTCAAATAAAAACTAGACAGACAAGCATTCTCATAAACTTGTTTGTTATGTGTGAACTCAGCTAACACACGTGGATCTTTCTTTTGATAGAGCAGTTCTGAAAAACAATTTTTGTTGAATCTGCAAGTGGACATTTGGATAGATTTGAAGATTTCGTTGGAAACGGGA
Organism: Homo sapiens; assembly: GCF_000001405.40. NCBI lineage: Eukaryota > Metazoa > Chordata > Mammalia > Primates > Hominidae > Homo > Homo sapiens. The sequence goes on from NC_000021.9 coordinate 11,272,944, forward strand.
ATATCTTCATATCAAATCTAGACAGACGCATTCTCAGAAACGTCTTTGTGATGTTTGCATTCAACTCATAGAGTTGAACATTCCGTTTCAGAGAGCAGCTTTGAAGCACTCTTTTTGTAGTATGTGCAAGTGGATATTTGGTGCGCTCTGAGGCCTACGGTGAAAAAGCAAATATCTTCCCATAACCACTAGACAGAAACATTCTCAGAAACTCCTTTATGACGTATGCACTCACCTAACAGAAAATAACCTTCCTTTTGACAGAGCAGTTTAGATACACTCTTTTTGTAGAATCTGCAAGTGGATATTTGGATAGCTGTGAAGATTTCGTTGGAAACGGGAATATCTTCCTATAAAATCTAGACAGAAGCATTCTCAGAAACTGCTCTGTGATGTCTGCATTCAAGTCACAGAGTTGAACATTGCCTTTCATAGAGCAGGTTTGAAACGCTCCTTTTCTATTATATGGAAGTGGATGTTTCGGACGGTTGGAGGCCCATGGTGATAAAGGGAATATCTTCCCCTACAAGCTAGAAAGAAGCATTCTGTGAAACTTGTTTGTGATGTGTGTACTCAACTAACAGAGTTGAACCTTTCTTTTTACAGAGCAGTTTTGAAACACTCTTTTTGTAGAATCTGCGAGGGGATATTTGGATAGATTTCAGGATTTCGTTGGAAACTGGAATATCTTCATATAAAATTTCGACAGAAGCATTCTCAGAAACTTCTTTGTGATATCTGCATTCAAGTAACAGAGTTGAATATTCCCTTTCACAGAGTAGGTTTGAAACACTCTTTTTGTAGTATCTGGAAGTGGACATTTGGAGCGCCTTGACGCCTACGGTGAAAAGGGAAATATCTTCCCATAAAAACTAGACAGAATCAATCTCAGAATCTTCTTTGGGATATATGCACGCAGCTAACAGAGTTGAACCTTTCTATTGACAGAGCAGTTTTGAAACAGTCTTTCTGTGGAATCTGCAAGTGGATATTTGGATAGCCTGGAGGATTTCGTTGGAAACGGGATTACGTATAAAAAGTAGACAGCAGCATCCTCAGAAACTTCTTTGTGATGTGTGCATTCAAGTCACAGAGTTGAACATTCCCTTTCGTACAGCAGCTTTGAAACACTCTTTCTGTAGTATCTGGAAGTGAACATTAGGACAGCTTTCAGGTCTATGGTGAGAAAGGAAATATCTTCAAATAAAAACTAGACAGAAGCATTCTCATAAACTTGTTTGTGATGTGTGAACTCAGCTAACAGAGGTGGATCTTTCTTTTGATAGAGCAGTTCTGAAAAACACTTTTTGTTGAAACTGCAAGTGGACATTTGGATAGATTTGAAGATTTCGTTGGAAACGGGAATATCTTCATATCAAATCTAGACAGAAGCATTCTCAGAAACGTCTTTGTGATGTTTGCATTCAACTCATAGAGTTGAACATTCCCTTTCAGAGAGCAGCTTTGAAGCACTCTTTTTGTAGCATTTGCAAGTGGACATTTGGAGCGCCCTGAGGCCTACGGGGAAAAAGCAAATATCTTCCCATAACCACTAGACAGAAACATTCTCAGAAACTCCTTTGTGACGTATGCACTCACCTAACAGAGAAGAACCTTCCTTTTGACAGAGCAGTTTTGATACACTCTTTTTGTAGAATCTGCAAGTGGATATTTGGATAGCTGTGAAGATTTCGTTGGAAACGGGAATATCTTCCTATAAAATCTAGACAGAAGCATTCTCAGAAACTGCTCTGTGATGTCTGCATTCAAGTCACAGAGTTGAACATTGCCTTTCATAGAGCAGGTTTGAAACCCTCTTTTTGTAGTATATGGAAGTGGACGTTTCGGACGGTCTGAGGCCCATGGTGATAAAGGGAATATCTTCCCCTACAAGCTAGAAAGAAGCATTCTGTGAAACTTGTTTGTGATGTGTGTACTCAACTAACAAAGTTGAACCTTTCTTTTTACAGAGCAGTTTTGAAACACTCTTTTTGTAGAATCTGCGAGGGGATATTTGGATACATTTCAGGATTTCGTTGGAAACGGGAATATCTTCATATAAAATCTCGACAGAAGCATTCTCAGAAACTTCTTTGTGATATGTGCATTCAAGTCACAGAGTTGAATATTCCCTTTCACAGAGTAGGTTTGAAACACTCTTTTTGTAGTATCTGGAAGTGGACATTTAGAGCGCCTTGACACCTACGGTGAAAAGGGAAATATCTTCCCATAAAAACTAGACAGAAGCAATCTCAGAATCTTCTTTGGGATATATGCACGCAGCTAACAGAGTTGAACCTTTCTATTGAGAGAGCACTTTTGAAACAGTCTTTCTGTGGAATCTGCAAGTGGATATTTGGATAGCTTGGAGGATTTCGTTGGAAACGGGATTACGTATAAAAAGTAGACAGCAGCATCCTCAGAAACTTCTTTGTGATGTGTGCATTCAAGTCACAGAGTTGAACTTTCCCTTTCGTACAGCAGTTTTGAAACACTCTTTCTGTAGTATCTGGAAGTGAACACTAGGACAGCTTTCAGGTCTATGGTGAGAAAGGAAATATCTTCAAATAAAAACTAGACAGAAACATTCTCATAAACCTGTTTGTGATGTGTGAACTCAGCTAACAGACGTGGATCTTTCTTTTGATACAGCAGTTTTGAAAAACACTTTTTGTTGAATCTGCAAGTGGACATTTGGATAGATTTGAAGATTTCGTTGGAAACGGGAATATCTTCATATCAAATCTAGACAGATAAGCATTGTCAGAAACGTCTTTGTGATGTTTGCATTCAACTCATAGAGTTGAACATTCCGTTTCAGAGAGCAGCTTTGAAGCACTCTTTTTGTAGTATGTGCAAGTGGATATTTGGAGCGCTCTGAGGCCTAAGGTGAAAAAGCAAATATCTTCCCATAACCACTAGACAGAAACATTCTCAGAAACTCCTTTATGACGTATGCACTCACCTAACAGAAAAGAACCTTCCTTTTGACAGAGCAGTTTTGATACACTCTTTTTGTAGAATCTGCAAGTGGATATTTGGATAGCTGTGAAGATTTCTTTGGAAACCGGAATATCTTCCTATAAAATCTAGACAGAAGCATTCTCAGAAACTGCTCTGTGATGTCTGCATTCAAGTCACAGAGTTGAACATTGCCTTTCATAGAGCAGGTTTGAAACGCTCTTTTTGTAGTATATGGAAGTGGACTTATTGGACGGTTGGAGGCCCATGGTGATAAAGGGAATATCTTCCCCTACAAGCTAGAAAGAAGCATTCTGTGAAACTTGTTTGTGATGTGTGTACTCAACTAACAGAGTTGAACCTTTCTTTTTACAGAGCAGTTTTGAAACACTCTTTTTGTAGAATCTGCGAGGGGATATTTGGATAGATTTCAGGATTTCGTTGGAAACGGGAATATCTTCATATAAAATATCGACAGAAGCATTCTCAGAAACTTCTTTGTGATATCTGCATTCAAGTCACAGAGTTGAATATTCCCTTTCACAGAGAAGGTTTGAAGCACTCTTTTTGTAATATCTGGAAGTGGACATTTGGAGCGCCTTGACGCCTACGGTGAAAAGGGAAATATCTTCCCATAAAAACTAGACAGAAGCAATCTCAGAATCTTCTTTGGGATATATGTACGCAGCTAATAGAGTTGAACCTTTCTATTGACAGAGCAGTTTTGAAACAGTCTTTCTGTGGAATCTGCAAGTGGATATTTGGATAGCTTGGAGGATTTCGTTGGAAACGGGATTATGTATAAAAAGTAGACAGCAGCATCCTCAGAAACTTCTTTGTGATGTGTTCATTCAAGTCACAGAGTTGAACATTCCCTTTCGTACAGCAGTTTTGAAACACTCTTTCTGTAGTATCTGGAAGTGAACATTAGGACAGCTTTCAGGTCTATGGTGAGAAAGGCAATATCTTCAAATAAAAACTAGACAGAAGGTTTCTCATAAACCTGTTTGTGATGTGTGAACTCAGCTAACAGACGTGGATCTTTCTTTTGATACAGCAGTTTTGAAAAACACTTTTTGTTGAATCTGCAAGAGGACATTTGGATAGATTTGAAGATTTCGTTGGAAACGGGAATATCTTCCTATCAAATCTAGACAGAAGCATTCTCAGAAACGTCTTTGTCATGTTTGCATTCAACTCATAGAGTTGAACATTCCCTTTCAGAGAGCAGCTTTGGAACACTCTTTTTGTAGTATGTGCAAGTGGATATTTGGAGCGCTCTGAGGCCTACGGTGAAAAAGCAAATATCTTCCCATAACCACTAGACAGAAACATTCTCAGAAACTCCTTTATGACGTATGCACTCACCTAACAGAGAAGAACCTTCCTTTTGACAGAGCAGTTTTGATACACTCTTTTTGTAGAATCTGCAAGTGGATCTTTGGATAGCTGTGAAGATTTCGTTGGAATCGGGAATATCTTCCTACAAAATCTAGACAGAAGCATTCTCAGAAACTGCTCTGTGATGTCTGCATTCAAGTCACAGAGTTGAACATTGCCTTTCATAGAGCAGGTTTGAAACGCTCTTTTTGTAGTATATGGAAGTGGACGTTTCGGACGGTTTGAGGCCCATGGTGATAAAGGGAATATCTTACCCTACAAGCTAGAAAGAGAGCATTCTGTGAAACTTGTTTGTGATGTGTGTACTCAACTAACAGAGTTGAACCTTTCTTTTTACAGAGCAGTTTTGAAACACTCTTTTTGTAGAATCTGCGAGGGGATATTTGGATAGATTTCAGGATTTCGTTGGAAACGGGAATATCTTTATATAAAATCTCGACAGAGCATTCTCAGAAACTTCTTTGTGATATCTGCATTCCAGTCACAGAGTTGAATATTCCCTTTCACAGAGTAGGTTTGAAACACTCTTTTTATAGTATCTGGAATTGGACATTTGGAGCGCCTTGACGCCTACGGTGAAAAGGGAAATATCTTCCCATAAAAACTAGACAGAAGCAATCTCAGAATCTTCTTTGGGATATACGCACGCAGCTAACAGAGTTGAACCTTTCTATTGACAGAGCAGTTTTGAAACAGTCTTTCTGTGGAATCTGCAAGTGGATATTTGGATAGATTGGAGGATTTCGTTGGAAACGGGATTACGTATAAAAAGTAGACAGCAGCATCCTCAGAAACTACTTTGTGATGTGTGCATTCAAGTCACAGAGTTGAAAATTCCCTTTCGTACAGCAGTTTTGAAACACTCTTTCTGTAGTATCTGGAAGTGAACTTTAGGACAGCTTTCAGGTCTATAGTGAGAAAGGATATATCTTCAAATAAAAACTAGACAGAAGCATTCTCATAAACGTGTTTGTGATGTGTGTACTCAGCTAACAGACGTGGATCTTTCTTTTGATACAGCAGTTTTGAAAAACACTTTTTGTTGAATCTGCAAGTGGACATTTGGATAGATATGAAGATTTCGTTGGAAACGGGAATATCTTCATATCAAATCTAGACAGAAGCATTCTCAGAAACGTCTTTGCGATGTTTGCATTCAACTCATAGAGTTGAACATTCCGTTTCAGAGAGCAGCTTTGAAGCACTCTTTTTGTAGTATGTGCAAGTGGATATTTGGAGGGCTCTGAGGCCTACGGTGAAAAAGCAAATATCTTCCCATAACCACTAGACAGAAACATTCTCAGAAACTCCTTTATGACGTGTGCACTTACCTAACAGAGAAGAACCTTCCTTTTGACAGAGCAGTTTTGATACACTCTTTTTGTAGAATCTGCAAGTGGATATTTGGATAGCTGTGAAGATTTCGTTGGAAACGGGAATATCTTCCTATAAAATCTAGACAGAAGCATTCTCAGAAACTGCTCTGTGATGTCTGCATTCAAGTCACAGAGTTGAACATTGCCTTTCCTAGAGCAGGTTTGAAACGCTCTTTTTGTAGTATATGGAAGTGGACTTATCGGACGGATTGAGGCCCATGGTGATAAAGGGAATATCTTCCCCTACAAGCTAGAAAGAAGCATTGTGTGAAACTTGTTTGTGATGTGTGTACTCAACTAACAGAGTTGAACCTTTCTTTTTACAGAGCAGTTTTAAAACACTCTTTTTGTAGAATCTGCGAGGGGATATTTGGATAGATTTCAGGATTTCGTTGGAAACGGGAACATCTTCATAGAAAATCTCGACAGAAGCATTCTCAGAAGCTTCTTTGTGATATGTGCATTCAAGTCACAGAGTTGAATATTCCCTTTCACAGAGTAGGTTTGAAACACTCTTTTTGTAGTATCTGAAGTGGACATTTGGAGCGCCTTGACGCCTACGGTGAAAAGGGAAATATCTTCTCATAAAAAGTAGACAGAAGCAATCTCAGAATCTTCCTTGGGATATATGTACGCAGCTAACAGAGTTGAAACTTGCTATTGACAGAGCAGTTTTGAAACAGTCTTTCTGTGGAATCTGCAAGTGGATATTTGGATAGCTTGGAGGATTTCGTTGGAAACGGGATTACGTATAAAAAGTAGACAGCAGCATCCTCAGAAACTTCTTTGTGATGTGTTCATTCAAGTCACAGAGTTGAACATTCCCTTTCGTACAGCAGTTTTGAAACACTCTTTCTGTAGTATCTGGAAGTGAACATTAGGACAGCTTTCAGGTCTATGGTGAGAAAGGAAATATCTTCAAATAAAAACTAGACAGAAGCATTCTCATAAACTTGTTTGTGATGTGTGAACTCAGCTAACAGAGGTGGATCTTTCTTTTGATAGAGCAGTTCTGAAAAACACTTTTTGTTGAATCTGCAAGTGGACATTTGGATAGATTTGAAGATTTCGTTGGAAACGGGAATATCTTCATATCAAATCCAGACAGAAGCATTCTCAGAAACGTCTTTGAGATGTTTGCATTCAACTCATAGAGTTGAACATTCCCTTTCAGAGAGCAGCTTTGAAGCACTCTTTTTGTAGTATGTGGAAGTGGATATTTGGAGCAGCTCTGAGGCCTACGGTGAAAAATCAAATATCTTCCCATAACCACTAGACAGAAGCATTCTGTGAAACTTGTTTGTGATGTGTGTACTCAACTAACAGAGTTGAACCTTTCTTTTTACAGAGCAGTTTTGAAACACTCTTTTTGTAGAATCTGCGAGGGGTTATTTGGATAGATTTCAGGATTTCGTTGGAAACGGGAATATCTTCCTATAAAATCTAGACAGAAGCATTCTCAGAAACTGCTCTGTGATGTCTGCATTCAAGTCACAGAGTTGAACATTGCCTTTCATAGAGCAGGTTTGACACGCTCTTTTTGTAGTATATGGAAGTGGACGTTTCGGACGGTTTGAGGCCCATGGTGATAAAGGGAATATGCTTCCCCTACTAGCTAGAAAGAAGCATTGTGTGAAACTTGTTTGTGATGTGTGTACTCAACTAACAGAGTTGAACCTTTCTTTTTACAGAGCAGTTTTGATACACTCTTTTTGTAGAATCTGCGAGGGGATATTTGGATAGATTTCAGGATTTCGTTGGAAACGGGAATATCTTCATATAAAATCTCGACAGAAGCATTCTCAGAAACTTCTTTGTGATATGTGCATTCAAGTCACAGAGTTGAATATTCGCTTTCACAGAGTAGGTTTGAAACACTCTTTTTGTAGTATCTGGAAGTGGACATTTGGAGCGCCTTGACACCTACGGTGAAAAGGAAAATATCTTCCCATAAAAACTAGACAGAAAGCAATCTCAGAATCTTCTTTGGGATATATGCACGCAGCTAACAGAGTTGAACCTTTCTATTGACAGAGCAGTTTTGAAACAGTCTTTCTGTGGAATCTGCAAGTGGATATTTGGAAAGCTTGGAGGATTTCGTTGGAAACGGGATTAAGTATAAAAAGTAGACAGCAGCATCCTCAGAAACTTCTTTGTGATGTGTGCATTCAAGTCACAGAGTTGAACATTCCCTTTCGTACAGCAGTTTTGAAACACTCTTTCTGTAGTATCTGGAAGTGAACATTAGTACAGCTTTCAGGTCTATGGTGAGAAAGGCAATATCTTCAAATAAAAACTAGACAGAAGCATTCTCAAAAACTTGTTTGGGAAGTGTGAACTCAGGTAACAGAGGTGGATCTTTATTTTGATAGAGCAGTTCTGAAAAACACTTTTTGTTGAATCTGCAAGTGGACATTTGGATAGATTTGAAGATTTCGTTGGAAACGGGAATATCTTCATATCAAATCTAGACAGAAGCATTCTCAGAAACGTCTTTGTGATGTTTGCATGCAACTCATAGAGTTGAACATTCCGTTTCAGAGAGCAGCTTTGAAGCACTCTTTTTGTAGTATGCGCAAGTGGATATTTGGAGCGCTCTGAGGCCTACGGTGAAAAAGCAAATATCTTCCCATAACCACTAGACAGAAACATTCTCAGAAACTTCTTTATGACGTATGTACTGAACTAGCAGAGAAGAACTGTCCTCTTGACAGAGCATTTTTGATACACTCTTTTTGTAGTATCAGCAAGTGGATATTTGGATAGATGTGAAGATTTCGTTGGAATCGGGAATATCTTCCTATAAAGTCCGGACAGAAGCATTCTCAGAAACTGCTCTGTGATGTCTGTATTCAAGTCACAGAGTTGAACATTGCCTTTCATAGAGCAGGTTTGAAATGCTCTTTTTGCAGTATATGGAAGTGGACGTTTCAGACGGTTTGAGGCCCATGGTGATAAAGGGAATATCTTCCCCTACAAGCTAGAAAGAAGCATTCTGTGAAACTTGTTGGTGATGTGTGTACTCAACTAACAGAGTTGAACCTTTCTTTTTACAGAGCAGTTTTGAAACACTCTTTTTGTAGAATCTGCGAGGGGATATTTGGATAGATTTCAGGATTTCGTTGGAAACGGGAATATCTTCATATAAAATCTCGACAGAAGCATTCTCAGAAACTTCCTTGTGATATGTGCATTCAAGTCACAGAGTTGAATATTCCCTTTCACAGAGTAGGTTTGAAACACTCTTTTTGTAGTATCTGGAAGTGGACATTTGGAGCGCCTTGACGCCCACGGTGAAAAGGGAAATATCTTCCCATAAAAACTAGACAAAAGCAATCTCAGAATCTTCTTTGGGATATATGCACGCAGCTAACAGAGTTGAACCTTTCTATTGACAGAGCAGTTTTGAAACAGTCTTTCTGAGGAATCTGCAAGTGGATATTTGGATAGCTTGGAGGATTTCGTTGGAAACGGTATTATGTATAAAAAGTAGACAGCAGCATCCTCAGAAACTTCTTTGTGATGTGTGCATTCAAGTAACAGAGTTGAACATTCCCTTTCGTACAGCAGTTTTGAAACACTCTTTCTGTAGTATCTGGAAGTGAACATTAGGACAGCTTTCAGCTCTATGGTGAGAAAGGAAATATCTTCAAATAAAAACTAGACAGAAGCATTCTCATAAACTTGTTTGTGATGTCTGAACTCAGCTAACAGAGGTGGATCTTTCTTTTGATAGAGCAGTTCTGAAAAACACTTTTTGTTGAATCTGCAAGTGGACATTTGGATAGATTTGAAGATTTCGTTGGAAACGGGAATATCTTCATATCAAATCTACACAGAAGCATTCTCAGAAACGTCTTTGTGATGTTTGCATTCAACTCATAGAGTTGAACATTCCGTTTCAGAGACCAGCTTTGAAGCACTCTTTTTGTAGGATGTGCAAGTGGATATTTGGAGCGCTCTGAGGCCTACGGTGTAAAAGCAAATATCTTCCCATAACCACTAGACAGAAACATTCTCAGAAACTCCTTTATGACGTATGCACTCACCTAACAGAGAAGAACCTTCCTTTTGACAGAGCAGTTTTGATACACACTTTTTGTAGAATCTGCAAGTGGATATTTGGATAGCTGTGAAGATTTCGTTGGAAACGGAAATATCTTCCTATAAAATCTAGACAGAAGCATTCTCAGCAAACTGCTCTGTGATGTCTGCATTCAAGTCACAGAGTTGAACATTGCTTTTCCTAGAGCAGGTTTGAAACGCTCTTTTTGTAGTATATGGAAGTGGACGTTTCGGACGGTTTGAGGCCCATGGTGATAAAGGGAATATCTTCCCCTACAAGCTAGAAAGAAGCATTCTGTGAAACTTGTTTGTGATGTGTGTACTCAACTAACAGAGTTGAACCTTTCTTTTACAGAGCAGTTTTGAAACACTCTTTTTGTAGAATCTGCGAGGGGATATTTGGATAGATTTCAAGATTTCGTTGGGAACGGGAATATCTTCATATAAAATCTCGACAGAAGCATTCTCAGAAACTTCTTTGTGATATCTGCATTCAAGTCACAGAGTTGAATATTCCCTTTCACAGAGAAGGTTTGAAACACTCTTTTTGTAGTATCTGGAAGTGGACATTTGGAGCGCCTTGACGCCTACGGTGGAAAGGGAAATATCTTCCCATAAAAACTAGACAGAAAGCATCTCAGAATCTTCTTTGGGATATATGCACGCAGCTAACAGAGTTGAACCTTTCTATTGACAGAGCAGTTTTGAAACAGTCTTTCTGTGGAATCTGCAAGTGGATATTTGGATAGCTTGGAGGATTTCGTTGGAAACGGGATTACGTATAAAAAGTAGACAGAGCATCCTCAGAAACTTCTTTGTGATGTGTGCATTCAAGTCACAGAGTTGAGCATTCCCTTTCGTACAGCAGTTTTGAAACACTCTTTCTGTAGTATCTGGAAGTGAACATTAGGACAGCTTTCATCTCTATGGTGAGAAAGGAAATATCTTCAAATAAAAACTAGACAGAAAGCATTCTCATAAACTTGTTTGTGATGTGTGAACTCAGCTAACACACGTGGATCTTTCTTTTGATACAGCAGTTTTGAAAAACACTTTTTGTTGAATCTGCAAGTGGACATTTGGATAGATATGAAGATTTCGTTGGAAACGGGAATATCTTCATATCAAATCTAGACAGAAGCATTCTCAGAAACGTCTTTGTGATGTTTGCATTCAACTCATAGAGTTGAACATTCCGTTTCAGAGAGCAGCTTTGAAGCACTCTTTTTGTAGTATGTGCAAGTGGACATTTGGAGCGCTTTGAGGCCTACGGTGAAAAAGCAAATATCTTCCCATAACCACTAGACAGAAAACATTCTCAGAAACTCCTGTATGACGTATGCACTCACCTAACAGAGAAGAACCTTCCTTTTGACAGAGCAGTTTTGATACACTCTTTTTGTAGAATCTGCAAGTGGATATTTGGATAGCTGTGAAGCTTTCGTTGGAAACGGGAATATCTCCCTATAAAATCTAGACAGAAGCATTCTCAGAAACTTCTCTGTGATGTCTGCATTCAAGTCACAGAGTTGAACATTGCCTTTCATAGAGCAGGTTTCAAACACTCTTTTTTTAGTATATGGAAGTGGACGTTTCGGACGGTTTGAGGCCCATGGTGATAAAGGAAATATCTTCCCCTACAAGCTAGAAAGAAAGCATTCTGTGAAACTTGTTTGTGATGTGTGTACTCAACTAACAGAGTTGAACCTTTCTTTTTACAGAGCAGTTTTGAAACACTCTTTTTGTAGAATCTGCGAGGGGATATTTGGATACATTTCAGGATTTCGTTGGAAAGGGGAATATCTTCATATAAAATCTCGACAGAAGCATTCTCAGAAACTTCTTTGTGATATCTGCATTCAAGTCACAGAGTTGAATATTCCCTTTCACAGAGTAGGTTTGAAACACTCTTTTTGTAGTATCTGGAAGTGGACATTTGGAGCGCCCTGACGCCTACGGTGAAAAGAGAAATATCTTCCCATAAAAACTAGACAGAAGCAATCTCAGAATCTTCTTTGGGATATATGCACGCAGCTAACAGAGTTGAACCTTTCTATTGACAGAGCAGTTTTGAAACAGTCTTTCTGTGGAATCTGCAAGTGGATATTTGGATAGCTTGGAGGATTTCGTTGGAAACGGGAATACGTATAAAAAGTAGACAGCAGCATCCTCAGAAACTTCTTTGTGATGTCTGCATTCAAGTCACAGAGTTGAACATTCCCTTTCGTACAGCAGTTTTGAAACACTCTTTCTGTAGTATCTGGAAGTGAACATTAGGAGAGCTTTCAGGTCTATGGTGAGAAAGGAAATATCTTCAAATAAAAACTAGACAGAAGCATTCTCATAAACTTGTTTGTGATGTGTGAACTCAGCTAACAGAGGTGGATCTTTCTTTTGATAGAGCAGTTCTGAAAAACACTTTTTGCTGAATCTGCAAGTGGACATTTGGATAGATTTGAAGATTTCGTTGGAAACGGGAATATCTTCATATCAAATCTAGACAGAAGCATTCTCAGAAACGGCTTTGTGATGTTTGCATTCAACTCATAGAGTTGAAAATTCCCTTTCAGAGAGCAGCTTTGAAGCACTCTTTTTGTAGTATGTGCAAGTGGATATTTGGAGCGCTCTGAGGCCTACGGTGAAAAAGCAAATATCTTCCCATAACCACTAGACAGAAACATTCTCAGAAACTCCTTTATGACGTATGCACTCACCTAACAGAAAAGAACCTTCCTTTTGACAGGGCAGTTTTGATACACTCTTTTTGTAGAATCTGCAAGTGGATATTTGGATAGCTGTGAAGATTTCGTTGGAAACGGGAATATCTTCCTATAAAATCTAGACAGAAGCATTCTCAGAAACTGCTCTGCGATGTCTGCATTCAAGTCACAGAGTTGAACATTGCCTTTCATAGAGCAGGTTTGAAACGCTCTTTTTGTAGTATATGGAAGTGGACTTATCGGACGGTTTGAGGCCCATGGTGATAAAGGGAATATCTTCCCCTACAAGCTAGAAAGAAGCATTCTGTGAAACTTGTTTGTGATGTGTGTACTCAACTAACAGAGTTGAACCTTTCTTTTTACAGAGCAGTTTTGAAACACTCTTTTTGTAGAATCTGCGAGGGGATATTTGGATACATTTCAGGATTTCGTTGGAAACGGGAATATCTTCATATAAAATCCTCGACAGAAGCATTCTCAGAAGCTTCTTTGTGATATGTGCATTCAAGTCACAGAGTTGAATATTCCCTTTCACAGAGTAGGTTTGAAACACCCTTTTTCTAGTATCTGGAAGTGGACATTTGGAGCGCCTTGACGCCTACAGTGAAAAGGGAAATATCTTCTCATAAAAAGTAGACAGAAGCAATCTCAGAATCTCCTTTGGGATATATGCACGCAGCTAACAGAGTTGAACCTTTCTATTGACAGACCAGTTTTGAAACAGTCTTTCTGTGGAATCTGCAAGTGGATATTTGGATAGCTTGGAGGATTTCGTTGGAAACGGGATTACGTATAAAAAGTAGACAGCAGCATCCTCAGAAACTTCTTTGTGATGTGTGCATTCAAGTCACAGAGTTGAACATTCCCTTTCATACATCAGTTTTGAAACACTCTTTCTGTAGTATCTGGAAGTGAATTTTAGGAGAGCTTTCATGTCTATAGTTGGAAAGGATATATCTTCAAATAAAAACTAGACAGAAGCATTCTCATAAACTTCTTTGTGATGTGTGAACTCAGCTAACCAAGGTGGATCTTTCTTTTGATAGAGCAGTTCTGAAAAACACTTTTTGTTGAATCTGCAAGTGGACATTTGGATAGATTTGAAGGTTTCGTTGGAAACGGGAATATCTTCATATCAAATCTAGACAGAAGCATTCTCAGAGACGTCTTTGTGATGTTTGCATTCAACTCATAGAGTTGAACATTCCCTTCCAGAGAGTAGCTTTGAAGCACTCTTTTTGTAGCATGTGCAAGTGGACATTTGGAGCGCCCTGAGGCCTACGGGGAAAAAGCAAATATCTTCCCATAACCACTAGACAGAAACATTCTCAGAAACTTCTTTCTGACGTATGTACTCAACTAACAGAGAAGAACCTACCTTTTGACAGAGCATTTTTGATACACTCTTTTTGTAGAATATGCAAGTGGATATTTGGATAGCTCTGAAGATTTCTTTGGAAACGGGAATATCTTCATATCAAATCTAGACAGAAGCATTCTCAGAAACTGCTCTGTGATGTCTGCATTCAAGTCACAGAGTTGAACATTGCCTTTCAGAGACCAGGTTTGAAACGCTCTTTTTGTAGTATATGGAAGTGGATGTTTCGGACGGTTGGAGGCCCATGGTGATAAAGGGAATATCTTCCCCTACAAGCTAGAAAGAAGCATTCTGTGAAACTTGTTTGTGATGTGTGTACTCAACTAAAAGAGTTGAACCTTTCTTTTCACAGAGCAGTTTTGAAACACTCTTTTTGTAGAATCTGCGAGCGGATATTTGGATAGATTTCAGGATTTCGTTGGAAACGGGAATATCTTCATATAAAATCTCGACAGAAGCATTCTCAGAAACTTCTTTGTGACATCTGCCTTTAAGTCACAGAGTTGAATATTCCCTTTCACAGAGTAGGTTTGAAGCACTCTTTTTGTAGTATCTGGAAGTGGACATTTGGAGCGCCTTGACACCTACGGTGAAAAGGGAAATATCTTCCCATAAAAACTAGACAGAAGCAATTTCAGAATCTTCTTTGGGATATATGCACGCAGCTAACAGAGTTGAACCTTTCTATTGACAGAGCAGTTTTGAAACAGTCTTTCTGTGGAATCTGCAAGTGGATATTTGGATAGTTGGAGGATTTCGTTGGAAACGGGATTACGTATAAAAAGTAGACAGCAGCATCCTCAGAAACATCCTTGTGATGTGTGCATTCAAGTCACAGAGTTGAACATTCCCTTTCGTACAGCAGTGTTGAAATACTCTTTCTGTAGTATCTGGAAGTGAACTTTAGGACAGCTTTCAGGTCTATAGTGAGAAAGGATATATCTTCAAATAAAAACTAGACAGAAGCATTCTCATAAACTTGTTTGTTATGTGTGAACTCAGCTAACACACGTGGATCTTTCTTTTGATAGAGCAGTTCTGAAAAACAATTTTTGTTGAATCTGCAAGTGGACATTTGGATAGATTTGAAGATTTCCTTGGAAACGGGAATATCTTCATATCAAATCTAGACAGAAGCATTCTCAGAAACGTCTTTGTCATGTTTGCATTCAACTCATAGAGTTGAACATTCCCTTTCAGAGAGCAGCTTTGAAAGACTCTTTTTGTAGTATGTGCAAGTGGATATTTGGAGCGCTCTGAGGCCAACGGTGAAAAAGCAAATATCTTCCCATAACCACTAGACAGAAACATTCTCAGAAACTCCTTTATGACGTATGCACTCACCTAACAGAGAAGAACCTTCCTTTTGACAGAGCAGTTTTGATACACTCTTTTTGTAGAATCTGCAAGTGGATATTTGAATAGCATTGAAGATTTCGTTGGAAACGGGAATATCTTCCTATAAAATCTAGACAGCAGCATTCTCAGAAACTGCTCTGTGATGTCTGCATTCAAGTCACAGAGTTGAACGTTGCCTTTCATAGAGTAGGTTTCAAACACTCTTTTTTTAGTATATGGAAGAGCACGTTTCGGACGGATTGAGGACCATGGTGATAAAGGAAATATCTTCCCCTACAAGCTAGAAAGAAGCATTCTGTGATACTTGTTTGTGATGTGTGTACTCAACTAACAGAGTTGAACCTTTCTTTTTACAGAGCAGTTTTGAAACACTCTTTTTGTAGAATCTGCGAGGGGATATTTGGATAGATTTCAGAATTTCGTTGGAAACGGGAATATCTTCATATAAAATCTCGACAGAAGCATTCTCAGAAACTTCTTTGTGATATGTGCATTCAAGTCACAGAGTTGAATATTCCCTTTCACAGAGTAGGTTTGAAACACTCTTTTTGTAGTATCTGGAAGTGGACATTTGGAGAGCCTTGACGCCTACGGTGAAAAGGGAAATATCTTCCCATAAAAACTAGACAGAAGCAATCTCAGAATCTTCTTTGGGATATATGCACGCAGCTAACAGAGTTGAACATTTCTATTGACAGAGCAGTTTTGAAACAGTCTTTCTGTGGAATCTGCAAGTGGATATTTGGATAGCTTGGAGGATTTTGTTGGAAACGGGATTACGTATAAAAAGTAGACAGCAGCATCCTCAGCAAACTTCTTTGTGATGTGTGCATTCAAGTCACAGAGTTGAACATTCCCTTTCGTACAGCAGTTTTGAAACACTCTTTCTGTAGTAACTGGAAGTGAACATTAGGACAGCTTTCAGGTCTATGGTGAGAAAGGAAATATCTTCAAATAAAAACTAGACAAAAGCATTCTCATAAACTTGTTTGTGATGTGTGAACTCAGCTAACAGAGATGGATCTTTCTTTTGATAGAGCAGTTCTGAAAAACACTTTTTGTTGAATCTGCAGGTGGACATTTGGATAGATTTGAAGATTTCGTTGGAAACGGGAATATCTTCATATCAAATCTAGGCAGAAGCATTCTCGGAAACGTCTTTGTGATGTTTGCATTCAACTCATAGAGTTGAACATTCCGTTTCAGAGAGCAGCTTTGAGGCACTCATTTTGTAGTATGTGCAAGTGGATATCTGGAGTGCTCTGAAGCCTTTGGTGAAAAAGCAAATATCTTCCCATAACCACCAGACAGAAACATTCTCAGAAACTCCTTTATGACGTATGCACTCACCTAACAGAGAAGGACCTTCCTTTTGACAGAGCACTTTTGATACACTCTTTTTGTAGAATCTGCAAGTGGATATTGGGATAGCTGTGAAGATTTCATTGGAAACGGGAATATCTTCCTATAAAATCTAGACAGAAGCATTCTCAGAAACTGCTCTGTGATGTCTGCATTCATGTCACGGAGTTGACCATTGCCTTTCATAGAGCAGGTTTGAAACGCTCTTTTTGTAGTATATGGAAGTGGACGTTTCGGACGGTTTGAGGCCCATGGTGATAAAGGGAATATCTTCCCCTACAAGCTAGAAAGAATCATTCTGTGAAACTTGTTTGTGATGTGTGTACTCAAGTAACAGAGTTGAACCTTTCTTTTTACAGAGCAGTTTTGAAACACTCTTTTTGTAGAATCTGCGAGGGGATATTTGGAGAGATTTCAGGATTTCGTGGGAAACGGGAATATCTTCATATAAAATCTCGACAGAAGCATTCTCAGAATCTTCTTTGTGATATCTGCATTCAAGTCACAGAGTTGAATATTCCCTTTCACAGAGTAGGTTTGAAACACTCTTTTTGTAGTATCTGGAAGTGGACATTTGGAGCGCCTTGACGCCTACGGTGAAAAGGGAAATATCTTCCCATAAAAACTAGACAGAAGCAATCTCAGAATCTTCTTTGGGATATATGCACGCAGTTTACAGAGTTGAACCTTTCTATTGACAGAGCAGTTTTGAAACAGTCTTTCTGTGGAATCTGCAAGTGGATATTTGGATAGCTTGGAGGATTTCGTTGGAAACGGGATTACGTATAAAAAGTAGACAGCAGCATTCTCAGAAACTTCGTTGTGATGTGTGCATTCATGTCACAGAGTTCAACATTCCCTTTCATACAGCAGGTTTCAAACACTCTTTCTGTAGTATCTGGAAGTGAACATTATGAGAGTTTTCAGGTCTGCGGTGAGAAAGGAAATATCTAAAAATAAAAACTAGACAGGAAGCATTCTCATAAACTTGTTTGTGATGTCTGAACTCAGCTAACAGAGGTGGATCTTTCTTTTGATAGAGCAGTTCTGAAAAACACTTTTTGTTGAGTCTGCAAGTGGACATTTGGATAGATTTGAAGATTTCGTTGGAAACGGGAATATCTTCATATCAAATCTAGACAGAAGCATTCTCAGAAACGTCTTTGTGATGTTTACATTCAACTCATAGAGTTGAACATTCCCTTTCAGAGAGCAGCTTTGAAGCACTCTTTTTGTAGCATGTGCAAGTGGACATTTGGAGCGCTCTGAGGCCTACGGGGAAAAAGCAAATATCTTCCCATAACCACTAGACAGAAAACATTCTCAGAAACTCCTTTATGACGTATGCACTCACCTAGCAGAGAAGAACCTTCCTTTTGACAGAGCAGTTTTGATACACTCTTTTTGTAGAATCTGCAAGTGGATATTTGGATAGCTGTGAAGATTTCGTCGGAAACGGGAATATCTTCCTATAAAATCTTGACAGAAGCATTCTCAGAAACTGCTCTGTGATGTCTGCATTCAAGTCACAGAGTTGAACATTGTCTTTCATAGAGCAGGTTTGAAACGCTCTTTTTGTAGTATATGGAAGTAGACGTTTCGGACGGTTTGAGGCCCATGGTGATAAAGGGAATATCTTCCCCTACAAGCTAGAAAGAAGCATTCTGTGAAACTTGTTTGTGAGGTGTGTACTCAACTAACAGAGTTGAACCTTTCTTTTTACAGAGCAGTTTTGAAACACTCTTTTTGTAGAATATGTGAGGGGATATTTGGATAGATTTCAGGATTTCGTTGGAAACGGGAATATCTTCATATAAAATCTCGACAGAAGCATTCGCAGAAACTTCTTCGTGATATGTGCATTCAAGTCACAGAGTTGAATATTCCCTTTCACAGAGTAGGTTTGAAACACTCTTTTTGTAGTATCTGGAAGTGGACATTTGGAGCGCCTTGATGCCTATGGTGAAAAGGGAAATATCTTCCCATAAAAACTAGACAGAAGCAACCTCAGAATCTTCTTTGGGATGTATGCACCCAGCTAACAGAGGTGAACCTTTCTATTGACAGAGCAGTTTTGAAACACTCTTTTTGTGGAATCTGCAAGTGGATATTTGGATAGCTTGGAGGATTTCGTTGGAAACGGGATTACGTATACAAAGTAGACAGCAGCATCCTCAGAAACATCCTTGTGATGTGTGCATTGAAGTCACAGAGTTGAACATTCCCTTTCGTACAGCAGTTTTGAAACACTCTTTCTGTAGTATCTGGAAGTGAACTTTAGGACAGCTTTCAGGTCTATAGTGAGAAAGGATATATCTTCAAATAAAAACTAGACAGATAAGCATTCTCATAAACTTGTTTGTGATGTGTGAACTCAGCTAACAGAGGTGGATCTTTCTTTTGATAGAGCAGTTCTGAAAAACACTTTTTGTTGAATCTGCAAGTGGACATTTGGATAGATTTGAATATTTCGTTGGAAACGGGAATATCGTCATATCAAATCTAGACAGAAGCATTCTCAGAAACGTCTTTGCGATGTTTGCATTCAACTCATAGAGTTGAACATTCCGTTTCAGAGAGCAGCTTTGAAGCACTCTTTTTGTAGTATGTGCAAGTGGATATTTGGAGCGCTCTGAGGCCTACGGTGAAAAAGCAAATATCTTCTCATAACCACTAGACAGAAACATTCTCAGAAACTCCTTTATGACGTATGTACTCAACTAACAGGAGAAGAACCTTCCTTTTGACAGAGCAGTTTTGATACACTCTTTTTGTGGAATCTGCAAGTGGATATTTGGATAGCTGTGAAGATTTCGTTGGAAACGGGAATATCTTCCTATAAAATCTAGACAGAAAGCATTCTCAGAAACTGCTCTGTGATGTCTGCATTCAAGTCACAGAGTTGAACATTGCCGTTCATAGAGCAGGTTTGAAACACTCTTTTTGTAGTATATGGAAGTGGACGTTTCGGACGGTTTGAGGCCCATGGTGATAAAGGGAATATCTTCCCCTACAAGCTAGAAAGAGCATTCTGTGAAACTTGTTTGTGATGTGTGTACTCAACTAACAGAGTTGAACCTTTCTTTTTACAGAGCAGTTTTGAAACACTCTTTTTGTAGAATCTGCGAGGGGATATTTGGATAGATTTCAGGATTTCGTTGGAAAGGGGAATATCTTCATATAAAATCTTGACAGAAGCATTCTCTGAAACTTCTTTGTGATATGTGCATTCAAGTCACAGAGTTCAATATTCCCTATCACAGAGTAGGTTTGAAACACTCTTTTTGTAGTATCTGAAGTGGACATTTGGAGCGCCTTGACGCCTACGGTGAAAAGGGAAATATCTTCTCATAAAAAGTAGACAGAAGCAATCTCAGAATCTTCTTTGGGATATATGTACGCAGCTAATAGAGTTGAACCTTTCTATTGACAGAGCAGTTTTGAAACAGTCTTTCTGTGGAATCTGTAAGTGGATATTTGGATAGCTTGGAGGATTTCGTTGGAAACGGGATTACGTATAAAAAGTAGACAGCAGCATCCTCAGAAACAACCTTGTGATGTGTGCATTCAAGTCACAGAGTTGAACATTCCCTTTCGTACAGCAGTTTTGAAACACTCTTTCTGTAGTATCTGGAAGTGAACTTTAGGAGAGCTTTCAGGTCTATAGTGAGAAAGGATATATCTTCAAATAAAAACTAGACAGAAGCATTCTGATAAACTTGTTTGTGAAGTGTGATCTCAGCTAACAGAGGTGGATCTTTCTTTTGATAGAGCAGTTCTGAAAAACATTTTGTTGAATCTGCAAGTGGACATTTGGATAGATTTGAAGATTTCGTTGGAAACGGGAATATCTTCATATCAAATCTAGACAGAAGCATTCTCAGAAACGTCTTTGTGATGTTTGCATTCAACCCATAGAGTTGAACATTCTGTTACAGAGAGCAGCTTTGAAGCGCTCTTTTTGTAGTATGTGCAAGTGGATATTTTGAGCGCTCTGAGGCCTAAGGTGAAAAAGCAAATATCTTCCCATAACCACTAGACAGAAACATTCTCAGAAACTCCTTTATGACGTATGCACTCACATAACAGAGAAGAACCTTCCTTTTGACAGAGCAGTTTTGATACACTCTTTTTGTAGAATCTGCAAGTGGATATTTGGATAGCTGTGAAGATTTCGTTGGAAACGGGAATATCTTCCTATAAAATCTAGACAGAAGCATTCTCAGAAACTGCTCTGTGATGTCTGCATTCAACTCACAGAGTTGAACATTGCCGTTCATAGAGCAGGTTTGAAACACTCTTTTTGTAGTATATGGAAGTGGACGTTTCGGACGGTTTGAGGCCCATGGTGATAAAGGGAATATCTTCCCATACAAGCTAGAAAGAAACATTCTCAGAAACTCCTTTATGACGTATGTACTCAACTAACAGAGAAGAACCTTCCTTTTGACAGAGCAGTTTTGAAACACTCTTTTTGTAGAATCTGCGAGGGGATATTTGGATAGCTTTCAGGATTTCATTGGAAACGGGAATATCTTCATATAAAATCTCGACAGAAGCATTCTCAGAAACTTCTTTGTGATATCTGCATTCAAGTCACAGAGTTGAATATTCCCTTTCAGAGAGTAGGTTTGAAACACTCTTTTTGTAGTATCTGGAAGTGGACATTTGGAGCGCCTTGACACCTACGGTGAAAAGGGAAATATCTTCCCATAAAAACTAGACAGAAGCAATCTCAGAATCTTCTTTGGGATATATGCACGCAGCTAAAAGAGTTGAACCTTTCTATTGACAGAGCAGTTTTGAAACAGTCTTTCTGTGGAATCTGCAAGTGGATATTTGGATAGCTTGGAGGATTTCGTTGGAAACGGGATTACGTATAAAAAGTAGACAGCAGCATCCTCAGAAACTTCTTTGTGATGTGTGCATTCAAGTCACAGAGTTGAACATTCCCTTTCGTACAGCAGTTTTGAAACACTCTTTCTGTAGTATCTGGAAGTGTACATTAGGACAGCTTTCAGGTCTATGGTGAGAAAGGAAATATCTTCAAATAAAAACTAGACAGAAGCATTCTCATAAACTTGTTTGTGATGTGTGAACTCAGCTAACAGACGTGGATCTTTCTTTTGATACAGCAGTTTTGAAAAACACTTTTTGTAGAATCTGCAAGTGGACATTTGGATAGATTTGAAGATTTCGTTGGAAACGGGAATATCTTCATATCAAATCTAGACAGAGGCATTCTCAGAAACGTCTTTGTGATGTTTGCATTCAACTCATAGAGTTGAACATTCCGTTTCAGAGAGCAGCTTTGAGGCACTCTTTTTGTAGTATGTGCAAGTGGATATTTGGAGCGCACTGAGGCCTACGGTGAAAAAGCAAATATCTTCCCATAACCACTAGACAGAAAACATTCTCAGAAACTCCTTTATGACGTATGCACTCACCTAACAGAGAAAAACCTTCCTTTTGACAGAGCAGTTTTGATACACTCTTTTTGTAGAATCTGCAAGTGGATATTTGGATAGCTGTGAAGATTTCGTTGGAAACGGGAATATCTTCCTATAAAATCTAGACAGAAGCATTCTCAGAAACTGCTCTGTGATGTCTGCATTCAAGTCACAGAGTTGAACATTGCCTTTCCTAGAGCAGGTTTGAAACGCTCTTTTTGTAGTATATGGAAGTGGACGTTTCAGACGGTTTGAGGCCGATGGTGATAAAGGGAATATCTTCCCCTACAAGCTAGAAAGAAGCATTCTGTGAAACTTGTTTGTGATGTGTGTACTCAACTAACAGAGTTGAACCTTTCTTTTTACAGAGCAGTTTTGATACACTCTTTTTGTAGAATCTGCGAGGGGATATTTGGATAGATTTCAGGATTTCGTTGGAAACGGGAATATCTTCATATAAAATCTCGACAGAAGCATTCTCAGAAACTTCTTTGTGATATGTGCATTCAAGTCACAGAGCTGAATATTCTGCCTTTCACAGAGTAGGTTTGAAACACTCTTTTTGTAGTATCTGGAAGTGGACATTTGGAGCGCCTTGACGCCTACGGTGAAAAGGGAAATATCTTCCCATAAAAACTAGACAGAAGCAATCCTCAGAATCTTCTTTGGGATATATGCACGCAGCTAACAGAGTTGAACCTTTCTATTGACAGAGCAGTTTTGAAACAGTCTTTCTGTGGAATCTGCAAGTGGATATTTGGATAGCTTGGAGGATTTCGTTGGAAACGGGATTACGTATAAAAAGTAAGACAGCAGCATCCTCAGAAACTTCTTTGTGATGTGTGCATTCAAGTCACAGAGTTGAACATTCCCTTTCGTACAGCAGTATTGAAACACTCTTTCTGTAGTATCTGGAAGTGAACATTAGGACAGCTTTCAGGTCTATGGTGAGAAAGTAAATATCTTCAAATAAAAACTAGACAGAAGCATTCTCATAAAGTTGTTTGTGATGTGTGAACTCAGCTAACAGAGGTGGATCTTTCTTTTGATAGAGCAGTTCTGAAAAACACTTTTTGTTGAATCTGCAAGTGGACATTTGGATAGATTTGAAGATTTCGTTGGAAACGGGAATATCTTCATATCAAATCTAGACAGAAGCATTCTCAGAAACGTCTTTGTGATGTTTGCATTCAACTCATAGAGTTGAACATTCCCTTTCAGAGAGCAGCTTTGATGCACTCTTTTTGTAGCATGTGCAAGTGGACATTTGGAGCGCCCTGAGGCCTACGGGGAAAAAGCAAATATCTTCCCATAACCACTAGACAGAAACATTCTCAGAAACTTCTTTATGACGTATGTACTCAACTAGCAGAGAAGAACTTTCCTTTTGACAGAGCACTTTTGATACACTCTTTTTGTAGAATCTGCAAGTGGATATTTGGATAGCTGTGAAGATTTCGTTGGAAACGGGAATATCTTCCTATGAAATCTAGACAGAAGCATTCTCAGAAACTGCTCTGTGATGTCTGCATTCACGTCACAGAGTTGAACATTGCCTTTCATAGAGCAGGTTTGAAACGCTCTTTTTGTAGTATATGGAAGTGGACGTTTCGGACGGTTTGAGGCCCATGGTGATAAAGGGAATATCTTCCCCTACAAGCTAGAAAGAAGAATTGTGTGAAACTTGTTTGTGATGTGTGTACTCAACTAACAGAGTTGAACCTTTCTTTTCACAGAGCAGTTTTGAAACACTCTTTTTGTAGAATCTGCGAGGGGATATTTGGATAGATTTCAGGATTTCGTTGGAAACGGGAATATCTTCATATAAAATCTCGACAGAAGCATTCTCAGAAACTTCTTTGTGATATGTGCATTCAAGTCACAGAGTTGAATATTCCCTTTCACAGAGTAGGTTTGAAACACTCTTTTTGTAGTATCTGGAAGTGGACATTTGGAGCGCCTTGACACCTACGGTGAAAAGGGAAATATTTCCCATGAAAACTAGACAGAAGCAATCTCAGAATCTTCTTTGGGGATATATGCACGCAGCTAACAGAGTTGAACCTTTCTATTGACAGAGCAGTTTTGAAACAGTCTTTCTGTGGAATCTGCAAGTGGATATTTGGATAGCTTGGAGGATTTCGTTGGAAACGGGATTACGCATAAAAAGTAGACAGCAGCATCCTCAGAAACTTCTTTGTGATGTGTGCATTCAAGTCACAGAGTTGAACATTCCCTTTCGTACAGCAGTTTTGAAACACTCTTCCTGTAGTATCTGGAAGTGAACATTAGAACAGCTTTCAGCTCTATGGTGAGAAAGGAAATATCTTCAAATAAAAACTAGACAGAAGCATTCTGATAAACTTGTTTGTGAAGTGTGAACTCAGCTAACAGAGGTGGATCTTTCTTTTGATAGAGCAGTTCTGAAAAACACTTTTTGTTGAATCTGCAAGTGGACATTTTGATAGAATTGAAGATTTCGTTGGAAACGGGAATATCTTCATATCAAATCTAGACAGAAGCATTCTCAGAAACGTCTTTGTGATGTTTGCATTCAACTCATAGAGTTGAACATTCCGTTTCAGAAAGCAGCTTTGAAGCACTCTTTTTGTAGTATGTGCAAGGGGATATTTGGAGCGCTCTGAGGCCTAAGGTGAAAAAGCAAATATCTTCCCATAACCACTAGACAGAAACATTCTCAGAAACTCCTTTATGACGTATGTACTCAACTAACAGAGAAGATCCTTCCTTTTGACAGAGCAGTTTTGATACACTCTTTTTGTAGAATCTGCAAGTGGATATTTGGATAGCTGTGAAGATTTCGTTGGAAACGGGAATATCTTCCTATAAAATCTAGACAGAAGCATTCTCAGAAACTGCTCTGTGATGTCTGCATTCAAGTCACAGAGTTGAACATTGCCTTTCATAGAGCAGGTTTGAAACGCTCTTTTTGTAGTATATGGAAGTGGATGTTTCGGACGGTTGGAGGCCCATGGTGATAAAGGGAATATCTTCCCGTACAAGCTAGAAAGAAGCATTCTGTGAAACTTGTTTGTGATGTGTGTACTCAACTAACAGAGTTGAACCTTTCTTTTTACAGAGCAGTTTTGAAACACTCTTTTTGTAGAATCTGCGAGGGGATATTTGGATAGATTTCAGGATTTCGTTGGTAACGGGAATATCTTCATATAAAATCTCGACAGAAGCATTCTCAGAAACTTCTTTGTTATATGTGCATTCGAGTCACAGAGTTGAATATTCCCTTTCACAGAGTAGGTTTGAAACACTCTTTTTGTAGTATCTGGAAGTGGACATTTGGAGCGCCTTGACACCTACGGTGAAAAGGGAAATATCTTCCCATAAAAACTAGACAGAAGCAATCTCAGAATCTTCTTTGCGATATATGCACGCAGCTAACAGAGTTGAACTTTTCTATTGACAGAGCAGTTTTGAAACAGTCTTTCTGTGGAATCTGCAAGTGGATATTTGGATAGATTGGAGGATTTCGTTGGAAACGGGATTACGTATAAAAAGTAGACAGCAGCGTCCTCAGAAACTTCTTTGTGATGTGTGCATTCAAGTCACAGAGTTGAACATTCCCTTTCGTACAGCAGTTTTGAAACACTCTTTCTGTAGTATCTGGAAGTGAACATTAGGACAGCTTTCAGGTCTATGGTGAGAAAGGAAATATCTTCAAATAAAAACTAGACAGAAGCATTCTCATAAACTTGTTTGTGATGTGTGAACTCAGCTAACACACGTGGATCTTTCTTTTGATACAGCAGTTTTGAAAAACACTTTTTGTTGAATCTGCAAGTGGACATTTGGATAGATATGAAGATTTCGTTGGAAACGGGAATATCTTCACATCAAATCTAGACAGAAGCATTCTCAGAAACGTCTTTGTGATGTTTGCATTCAACTCATAGAGTTGAACATTCCGTTTCAGAGACCAGCTTTGAAGCACTCTTTTTGTAGTATGTGCAAGTGGATATTTGGAGCGCTCTGAGGCCTACGGTGAAAAAGCAAATATCTTCCCATAACCACTAGACAGGAACATTCTCAGAAACTCCTTTATGACGTATGCACTCACCTAACAGAGAAGAACCTTCCTTTTGACAGAGCAGTTTTGATACAGTCTTTTTGTAGAATCTGCAAGTGGATATTGGGATAGCTGTGAAGATTTCGTTGGAAACGGGAATATCTTCCTATAAAATCTAGACAGAAGCATTCTCAGAAACTGCTCTGTGATGTCTGCATTCAAGTCACAGAGTTGAACATTGCCTTTCATAGAGCAGGTTTGAAACGCTCTTTTTGCAGTATATGGAAGTGGATGTTTCGGACGGTTTGAGGCCCATGGTGATAAAGGGAATATCTTCCCCTACAAGCTAGAAAGAAGCATTCTGTGAAACTTGTTTGTGATGTGTGTACTCAACTAACAGAGTTGAACCTTTCTTTTCACAGAGCAGTTTTGAAACACTCTTTTTGTACAATCTGCGAGCGGATATTTGGATAGATTTCAGGATTTCGTTGGAAACGGGAATATCTTCATATAAAATCTCGACAGAAGCATTCTCAGAAACTTCTTTGTGATATCGGCATTCAAGCCACAGAGTTGAATATTCCCTTTCACAGAGTAGGTTTGAAACACTCTTTTTGTAGTATCTGGAAGTGGACATTTGGAGCGCCTTGACACCTACGGTGAAAAGGGAAATATCTTCCCATAAAAACTAGACAGAAAGCAATCTCAGAATCTTCTTTGGGATATATGCACGCAGCTAACAGAGTTGAACCTTTCTATTGACAGAGCAGTTTTGAAACAGTCTTTCTGTGGAATCTGCAAGTGGATATTTGGATAGCTTGGAGGATTTCGTTGGAAACGGGATTACGCATAAAAAGTAGACAGAGCATCCTCAGAAACTTCTTTGTGATGTGTGCATTCAAGTCACAGAGTTGAACTTTCCCTTTCGTACAGCAGTTTTGAAACACTCTTTCTGTAGTACCTGGAAGTGAACATTAGGACAGCTTTCAGGTCTATGGTGAGAAAGGAAATATCTTCAAATAAAAACTAGACAGAAGCATTCTGATAAACTTGTTTGTGAAGTGTGAACTCAGCTAACAGAGGTGGATCTTTCTTTTGATACAGCAGTTCTGAAAAACACTTTTTGTTGAATCTGCAAGTGGACATTTGGATAGATTTGAAGATTTCGTTGGAAACGGGAATATCTTCATATCAAATCTAGACAGAAGCATTTCTCGGAAACGTCTTTGTGATGTTTGCATTCAACTCATAGAGTTGAACATTCCGTTTCAGAGAGCAGCTTTGAAGCACTCTTTTTGTAGTATGTGCAAGTGGATATTTGGAGCGCTGTGAGGCCTGCAGTGAAAAAGCAAATATCTTCCCATAACCACTAGACTGAAACATTCTCAGAAACTCCTTTATGACGTATGCACTCACCTAACAGAGAAGAACCTTCCTTTTGACAGAGCAGTTTTGATACACTCTTTTTGTAGAATCTGCAAGTGGATATTTGGATACCTGTGAATATTTCGTTGGAAACGGGAATATCTTCCTATAAAATCTAGACAGAAGCATTCTCAGAAACTGCTCTGTGATGTCTGCATTCAAGTCACAGAGTTGAACATTGCCTTTCATAGAGCAGGTTTGAAACGCTCTTTTTGTAGTATATGGAAGTGGACGTTTCGGACGGTTTGAGTCCCATGGTGATAAAGGGAATATCTTCCCCCACAAGCTAGAAAGAAGCATTCTGTGAAACTTGTTTGTGATGTGTGTACACAACCAACAGAGTTGAACCTTTCTTTTTACAGAGCAGTTTTGAAACACTCTTTTTGTAGAATCTGCGAGGGGATATTTGGATAGATTTCAGGATTTCATTGGAAACGGGAATATCTTCATATAAAATCTCGACAGAAGCATTCTCAGAAACTTCTTTGTGATATGTGCATTCAAGTCAGAGAGTTGAATATTCCCTTTCACAGAGTAGGTTTGAAACACTCTTTTTGTAGTATCTGGAAGTGGACATTTGGAGCGCCTTGACGCCTACGGTGAAAAGGGAAATATCTTCCCATAAAAACTAGACAGAAGTAATCTCAGAATCTTCTTTGGGATATATGCACGGAGCTAACAGAGTTGAACCTTTCTATTGACATAGCAGTTTTGAAACAGTCTTTCTGTGGAATCTGCAAGTGGATATTTGGATAGCTTGGAGGATTTCGTTGGAAACGGGATTACGTATAAAAAGTAGACAGCAGCATCCTCAGAAACTTCTTTGTGATGTGTGCATTCAAGTCACAGAGTTGAACATTCCCTTTCGTACAGCAGTTTTGAAACACTCTTTCTGTAGTATCTGGAAGTGAACATTAGGACAGCTTTCAGGTCTATGGTGAGAAGGGAAATATCTTCCAATAAAAACTAGACAGAAGCATTCTCATAAACTTGTTTGTGATGTGTGAACTCAGCTAACAGAGATGGGTCTTTCTTTTGATAGAGCAGTTCTGAAAAACACTTTTTGTTGAATCTGCAAGTGGACATTTGGATAGATTTGAAGATTTCGTTGGAAACGGGAATATCTTCATATCAAATCTAGACAGAAGCATTCTCAGAAACGTCTTTGGGATGTTTGCATTCAACTCATAGAGTTGAACATTCCGTTTCAGAGAGCAGTTTGAGGCACTCTTTTTGTAGTATGTGCAAGTGGATATTTGGAGCGCTCTGAGGCCTACGGTGAAAAAGCAAATATCTTCCCATAACCACTAGACAGAAACATTCTCAGAAACTTCTTTATGACGTATGTACTCAACTAGCAGATAAGAACTTTCCTTTTGACAGAGCATTTTTGATACACTCTTTTTGTAGTATCTGCAAGTGGATATTTGGATAGCTGTGAAGATTTCGTTGGAAACGGGAATATCTTCCTATAAAGTCTGGACAGAAGCATTCTCAGAAACTGCTCTGTGATGTCTGCATTCAAGTCACAGAGTTGAACATTGCCCTTCATAGAGCAGGTTTGAAACGCTCTTTTTGTAGTATATGGAAGTGGACTTATCGGACGGTTTGAGGCCCATGGTGATAAAGGGAATATCTTCCCCTACAAGCTAGAAAGAAGCATTCTGTGAAACTTGTTTGTGAGGTGTGTACTCAACTAACAGAGTTGAACCTTTCTTTTTACAGAGCAGTTTTGAAACACTCTTTTTGTAGAATCTGCGAGGGGATATTTGGATAGATTTCAGGATTTGGTTGGAAACGGGAATATCTTCATATAAAATCTCGACAGAAGCATTCTCAGAAACTTCCTTGTGATATGTGCATTCAAGTCACAGAGTTGAATATTCCCTTTCACAGAGTAGGTTTGAAACACTCTTTTTGTAGTATCTGGAAGTGGACATTTGGAGCGCCTTGACGCCTATGGTGAAAAGGGAAATATCTTCCCATAAAAACTAGACAGAAGCAATCTCAGAATCTTCTTTGGGATATATGCACGCAGCTAACAGAGTTGAACCTTTCTATTGACAGAGCAGTTTTGAAACAGTCTTTCTGTGGAATCTGCAAGTGGATATTTGGATAGCTTGGAGGATTTCGTTGGAAACGGGATTACGTATAAAAAGTAGACCGCAGCATCCTCAGAAACATCTTTGTGATGTGGGCATTCAAGTCACAGAGTTGAACATTCCCTTTCGTACAGCAGTTTTGAAACACTCTTTCTGTAGTATCTGGAAGTGAACATTAGGACAGCTTTCAGGTCTATGGTGAGAAAGGAAATATCTTCAAATAAAAACTAGACAGAAGCATTCTCATAAACTTGTTTGTGATGTGTGAACTCAGCTAACAGAGGTGGATCTTTCTTTTGATAGAGCAGTTCTGAAAAACACTTTTTGTTGAATCTGCAAGTGGACATTTGGAAAGATTTGAAGATTTCGTTGGAAACGGGAATATCTTCATATCAAATCTAGACAGACGCATTCTCAGAAACGTCTTTGTGATGTTTGCATTCAACTCATAGAGTTGAACATTCCGTTTCAGAGAGCAGCTTTGAAGCACTCCTTTTGTAGTATGTGCAAGTGGATATTTGGTGCGCTCTGAGGCCTACGGTGAAAAAGCAAATATCTTCCCATAACCACTAGACAGAAACATTCTCAGAAACTCCTTTATGACGTATGTACTCAACTAACAGAGAAGAACCTTCCTTTTGACAGAGCAGTTTTGATACACTCTTTTTGTAGAATCTGCAAGTGGATATTTGGATAGCTGTGAAGATTTCGTTGGAAGCGGGAATATCTTCCTATAAAATCTAGACAGAAGCATTCTCAGAAACTGCTCTGTGATGTCTGCATTCAAGTCACAGAGTTGAACATTGCCTTTCATAGAGCAGGTTTGAAACGCTCTTTTTGTAGTATATGGAAGTGGATGTTTCGGACGGTTGGAGGCCTATGGTGATAAAGGGAATATCTTCCCCTACAAGCTAGAAAGAAGCATTCTGTGAAACTTGTTTGTGATGTCTGTACTCAACTAACAGAGTTGAACCTTTCTTTTCACAGAGCAGTTTTGAAACACTCTTTTTGTAGAATCTGCGAGGGGATATTTGGATAGATTTCAGGATTTCGTTGGAAACGGGAATATCTTCATATAAAATCTCGACAGAAGCATTCTCAGAAACTTCATTGTGATATCTGCATTCAAGTCACAGAGTTGAATATTCCCTTTCAGAGAGTAGGTTTGAAACACTCTTTTTGTAGTATCTGGAAGTGGACATTTGAAGCGCCTTGACACCTACGGTGAAAAGGGAAATATCTTCCCATAAAAACTAGACAGAAGCAATCTCAGAATCTTCTTTGGGATATATGCACGCAGCTAACAGAGTTGAACCTTTCTATTGACAGAGCAGTTTTGAAACAGTCTTTCTGTGGAATCTGCAAGTGGATATTTGGATAGCTTGAAGGATTTCGTTGGAAACGGGATTAAGTATAAAAAGTAGACAGCAGCATCCTCAGAAACTTCTTTGTGATGTGTGCATTCAAGTCACAGAGTTGAACATTCCCTTTCGTACAGCAGTTTTGAAACACTCTTTCTGTAGTATCTGGAAGTGAACATTAGGACAGCTTTCAGGTCTACGGTGAGAAAGGAAATATCTTCAAATAAAAACTAGACAGAAGCATTCTCATAAACTTGTTTGTGATGTGTGAACTCAGCTAACACACGTGGATCTTTCTTTTGATAGAGCAGTTCTGAAAAACAATTTTTGTTGAATCTGCAAGGGGACATTTGGATAGATTTGAAGATTTCGTTGGAAACGGGAATATCTTCATATCAAATCTAGACAGAAGCATTCTCAGAAAGGTCTTTGTGATGTTTGCATTCAACTCATAGAGTTGAACATTCCCTTCCAGAGAGTAGCTTTGAAGCACTCTTTTTGTAGCATGTGCAAGTGGACATTTGGAGCGCCCTGAGGCCTACGGGGAAAAAGCAAATATCTTCCCATAACCACTAGACAGAAACATTCTCAGAAACTCCTTTATGACGTATGCACTCACCTAACAGAGGAGAACCTTCCTTTCGACAGAGCAGTTTTGATACACTCTTTTTGTAGAATCTGCAAGTGGATATTTGGATAGCTGTGAAGATTTCGTTGGAAACGGGAATATCTTCCTATAAAATCTAGACAGAAGCATTCTCAGAAACTGCTCTGTGATGTCTGCATTCAAGTCACAGAGTTGAACATTGCCTTTCCTAGAGCAGGTTTGAAACGCTCTTTTTGTAGTATATGGAAGTGGACGTTTCGGACGGTTTGAGGCGCATGGTGATAAAGGGAGTATCTTCCCCTACAAGCTAGAAAGAAGCATTCTGTGAAACTTGTTTGTGATGTGTGTACTCAACTAACAGAGTTGAACCTTTCTTTTTACAGAGCAGTTTTGAAACACTCTTTTTGTAGAATCTGTGAGGGGATATTTGGATAGATTTCAGGATTTCGTTGGAAACGGGAATATCCTCATATAAAATCTCGACAGAAGCATTCTCAGAAACTTCTTTGGGATATCTGCATTCAAGTCACATAGTTGAATATTCCCTTTCACAGAGTAGGTTTCAAACACTCTTTTTGTAGTATCTGGAAGTGGACATTTGGAGCGCCTTGATGCCTACGGTGAAAAGGGAAATATCTTCCCATAAAAACTAGACAGAAGGAATCTCAGAATCTTCTTTGGGATATATGCACGCAGCTAACAGAGTTGAACCTTTCTATTGACAGAGCGGTTTTGAAACAGTCTTTCTGTGGAATCTGCAAGTGGATATTTGGATAGCTTGGAGGATTTCGTTGGAAACGGGATTAAGTATAAAAAGTAGACAGCAGCATCCTCAGAAACTTCTTTGTGATGTGTGCATTCAAGTCACAGAGTTGAACGTTCCCTTTCGTACAGCAGTTTTGAAACACTCTTTCTGTAGTATCTGGAAGTGAACATTAGGACAGCTTTCAGGTCTATGGTGAGAAAGGAAATATCTTCAAATAGAAACTAGACAGAAAGCATTCTCATAAACTTGTTTGTGATGTGTGAACTCAGCTAACAGACGTGGATCTTTCTTTTGATACAGCAGTTTTGAAAAACACTTTTTGTTGAATCTGCAAGTGGACATTTGGATAGATATGAAGATTTCGTTGGAAACGGGAATATCTTCATATCAAATCTAGACAGAGCATTGTCAGAAACGTCCTTGTGATGTTTGCATTCAACTCATAGAGTTGAACATTCCCTTTCAGAGAGCAGCTTTGAAGCACTCTTTTTGTAGTATGTGCAAGTGGATATTTGGAGCGCTCTGAGGCCTAAGGTGAAAAAGCAAATATCTTCCCATAACCACTAGACAGAAACATTCTCAGAAACTTCTTTATGACGTATGTACTCAACTAACAGAGAAGAACCTTCCTTTTTACAGAGCAGTATTGATACACTCTTTTTGTAGACTCTGCAAGTGGATATTTGGATATCAGTGAAGAATTCGTTGGAAACGGGAATATCTTCCTATAAAATCTAAACAGAAGCATTCTCAGAAACTGCTCTGTGATGTCTGCATTCAAGTCAGAGAGTTGAACATTGCCTTTCACAGAGGAGGTATGAAACGCTCTTTTCGTAATATATGGAAGTGGACGTTTCGGACGGCTTGATGCCCATGGAGATAAAGGAAATATCTTCCCCTACAAGCTAGAAAGAAGCATTCTGTGAAACTTGTTTGTGATGTGTGTACTCAACTAACAGAGTTGAACTTTTCTTTTTACAGAGCAGTTTTGAAACACTCTTTTTGTAGAATCTGCGAGGGGATATTTGGATAGATTTCAGGATTTCGTTGGAAAGGGGAATATCTTCATATAAAATCTCGACAGAAGCATTCTCAGAAACTTCTTTGTGATATGTGCATTCAAGTCACAGAGTTGAATATTCCCTTTCACAGAGTAGGTTTGAAACAATCTTTTTGTAGTATCTGGAAGTGGACATTTGGAGCGCCTTGACGCCTACGGTGAAAAGGGAAATATCTTCCCATAAAAACTAGACAGAAGCAATCTCAGAATTATCTTTGGGATATATGCACACAGCTAACAGAGTTGAACTTTTCTATTGACATAGCAGTTTTGAAACAGTCTTTCTGTGGAATCTGCAAGTGGATATTTGGATAGCTTGGAGGATTTCGTTGGAAATGGGATTACGTATAAAAAGTAGACAGCAGCATCCTCAGCAAACTTCTTTGTGATGTGTGCATTCAAGTCACAGTGTTGAACATTCCCTTTCGTACAGCAGTTTTGAAACACTCTTTCTGTAGTATCTGGAAGTGAACATTAGGACAGCTTTCAGGTCTATGGTGAGAAAGGAAATATCTTCAAATAAAAACAAGACAGAAGCATTCTCATAAACTTGTTTGTGATGTGTGAACTCAGCTAACAGAGGTGGATCTTTCTTTTGATAGAGCAGTTCTGAAAAAAACTTTTTGTTGAATCTGCAAGTGGACATTTGGATAGATTTGAAGATTTCGTTGGAAACGGGAATATCTTCATATCAAATCTAGACAGAAGCATTCTCAGAAACGTCTTTGTGATGTTTGCATTCAACTCATAGAGTTGAACATTCCGTTTCAGAGAGCAGCTTTGAAGCACTCTTTTTGTAGTATGTGCAAGTGGATATTTGGAGCGCTCTGAGGCCTACGTTGAAAAAGCAAATATCTTCCCATAACCACTAGACAGAAACATTCTCAGAAACTCCTTTATGACGTATGCACTCACCTAACAGAGAAGAACCTTCCTTTTGACAGAGCACTTTTCATACACTCTTTTTGTAGAATCTGAAAGTGGATATTTGGATAGCTGTGAAGATTTCGTTGGAAACGGGAATATCTTCCTATAAAATCTAGACAGAAGCATTCTCAGAAACAGCTCTGTGATGTCTGCATTCAAGTCACAGAGTTGAACATTGCCTTTCATAGAGCAGGTTTGAAACGCTCTTTTTGAAGTATATGGAAGTGGACGTTTCGGACGGTTTGAGGCCCATGGTGATAAAGGGAATATCTTCCCCTACAAGCTAGAAAGAAGCATTGTGTGAAACTTGTTTGTGATGTGTGTACTCCACTAACAGAGTTGAACCTTTCTTTTTACAGAGCAGTTTTGAAACACTCTTTTTGTAGAATCTGCGAGGGGATATTTGGATAGATTTCAGGATTTCGTTGGAAACGGGAATATCTTCATATAAAATCTCGACAGAAGCATTCTCAGAAACTTCTTTGTGATATCTGCATTCAAGTCACAGAGTTGAATATTCCCTTTCACAGAGTAGGTTTGAAACACTCTTTTTGTAGTATCTGGAAGTGGACATTTGGAGCGCCTTGACACCTACGGTGAAAAGGGAAATATTTTCCCATAAAAAGTAGACAGAAGCAATCTCAGAATCTTCCTTTGGGATATATGCACGCAGCTAACAGAGTTGAACCTTTCTATTGACAGAGCAGTTTTGAAACAGTCTTTCTGTGGAATCTGCAAGTGGATATTTGGATAGCTTGGAGGATTTCGTTGGAAACGGGATTACGTATAAAAAGTAGACAGCAGCATTCTGTGAAACTTGTTTGTGATGTGTGTACTCAACTAACAGAGTTGAACCTTTCTTTTTACAGAGCAGTTTTGAAACACTCTTTCTGTAGTATCTGGAAGTGAACATTAGGACAGCTTTCAGGTCTATGGTGAGAAAGGAAATATCTTCAAATAAAAACTAGACAGAAGCATTCTCATAAACTTGTTTGTGATGTGTGAACTCAGCTAACAACGGTGGATCTTTCTTTTGATAGAGCAGTTCTGAAAAACACTTTTTGTTGAATCTGCAAGTGGACATTTGGATAGTTTTGAAGATTTCCTTGGAAAAAGGAATATCTTCATATCAAATCTAGACAGAAGCATTCTCAGAAACGTCTTTGTGATGTTTGCATTCAACTCATAGAGTTGAACATTCCCTTTCAGAGAGCAGCTTTGAAGCACTCTTTTTGTAGTATGTGCAAGGGGATATTTGGAGCGCTGTGAGGCCTACGGTGAAAAAGCAAATATCTTCCCATAACCACTAGACAGAAACATTCTCAGAAACTCCTTTATGACGTATGCACTCACCTAACAGAGAAGAACCTTCCTTTTGACAGAGCAGTTTTGATACACTCTTTTTGTAGAATCTGCAAGTGGATATTTGGATATCTGTGAAGATTTCGTTGGAAACGGGAATATCTTCCTATAAAATCTAGACAGAATCATTCTCAGAAACTGCTCTGTGATGTCTGCATTCAAGTCACAGAGTTGAACATTGCCTTTCCTAGAGCAGGTTTGAAACGCTCTTTTTGTAGTATATGGAAGTGGACGTTTCGGACGGTTTGAGGCCCTTGGTGATAAAGGGAATATCTTCCCCTACAAGCTAGAAAGAAGCATTCTGTGAAACTTGTTTGTGATGTGTGTACTCAACTAACAGAGTTGAACCTTTCTTTTTACAGAGCAGTTTTGAAACACTCTTTTTGTAGAATGTGCGAGGGGATATTTGGATAGATTTCAGGATTTCGTTGGAAACGGGAATATCTTCATATAAAATCTCGACAGAATCATTCTCAGAAACTTCTTTGTGATATGTGCATTCAAGTCACAGAGTTGAATATTCCCTTTCACAGAGTAGGTTTGAAACACTCTTTTTGTAGTATCTGGAAGTGGACATTTGGAGCGCCTTGACGCCTACGGTGAAAAGGGAAATATCTTCCCATAAAAACTAGACAGAAGCAATCTCAGAATCCTCTTTGGGATACATGCACGCAGCTAACAGAGTTGAACCTTTCTATTGACAGAGCAGTTTTGAAACAGTCTTTCTGTGGAATCTGCAAGTGGATATTTGGATAGCTTGGAGGATTTCGTTGGAAACAGGATTACGTATAAAAAGTAGACAGCAGCATCCTCAGAAACTTCTTTGTGATGTATGCATTCAAGTCCCAGAGTTGAACATTCCCTTTCGTACAGCAGTTTTGAAACACTCTTTCTGTAGTATCTGGAAGTGAACATTAGGACAGCTTTCAGGTCTAGGGTGAGAAAGGAAATACCTTCAAATAAAAACTAGACAGAAGCATTCTCATAAACTTGTTTATGATGTCTGAACTCAGCTAACAGAGGTGGATCTTTCTTTTGATAGAGCAGTTCTGAAAAACACTTTTTGTTGAATCTGCAAGTGGACATTTGGATAGATTTGAAGATTTCGTTGGAAACGTGAATATCTTCAAATCAAATCTAGACAGAAGCATTCTCAGAAAGGTCTTTGTGATGTTTGCATTCAACTCATAGTAGTTGAACATTCCCTTCCAGAGAGTAGCTTTGAAGCACTCTTTTTGTAGCATGTGCAAGTGGACATTTGGAGCGCCCTGAGGCCTACGGGGAAAAAGCAAATATCTTCCCATAACCACTAGACAGAAACATTCTCAGAAACTCCTTTATGACGTATGCACTCACCTAACAGAGAAGAACCTTCCTTTTGACAGAGCAGTTTTGATACACTCTTTTTGTAGAATCTGCAAGTTTATATTGGGATAGCTGTGAAGATTTCGTTGGAAACGGGAATATCTTCCTATAAAATCTAGACAGAAGCATTCTCAGAAACTGCTCTGTGATGTCTGCATTCAAGTCACAGAGTTCAACATTGCCTTTCCTAGAGCAGGTTTGAAACGCTCTTTTTGTAGTATATGGAAGTGGACGTTTCGGACGGTTTGAGGCCCATGGTGATAAAGGGAATATCTTCCCCTACAAGCTAGAAAGAAGCATTCTGTGAAACTTGTTTGTGATGTGTGTACTCAACTAACAGTGTTGAACCTTTCTTTATACAGAGCAGTTTTGAAACACTCTTTTTGTAGAATCTGCGAGGGGATATTTGGATAGATTTCAGGATTTCGTTGGAAACGGGAATATCTTCATATAAAATCTCGACAGAAGCATTCTCAGAAACTTCTTTGTGATATCTGCCTTCAAGTCACAGAGTTGAATATTCCCTTTCACAGAGTAGGTTTGAAACACTCTTTTTGTAGTATCTGGAAGTGGACATTTGGAGGGCCTTGACGCCTACGGTGAAAAGGGAAATATCTTCCCATAAAAACTAGACAGAGAAGCAATCTCAGAATCTTCTTTGGGATATATGCACGCAGCTAACATAGTTGAACCTTTCTATTGACAGAACAGTTTTGAAACAGTGTTTCTGTGGAATCTGCAAGTGGATATTTGGATAGCTTGGAGGATTTCGTTGGAAACGGGATTACGTATAAAAAGTAGACAGCAGCATCCTCAGAAACTTCTTTGTGATGTGTGCATTCAAGTCACAGAGTTGAACATTCCCTTTAGTACAGCAGTTTTGAAACACTCTTTCTGTAGTATCTGGAAGTGAACATTAGGACAGCTTTCAGGTCTATGGTGAGAAAGGAAATATCTTCAAATAAAAACTAGACAGAAGCATTCTGATAAACTTGTTTGTGAAGAGTGATCTCAGCTAACAGAGGTGGATCTTTCTTTTGATAGAGCAGTTCTGAAAAACACTTTGTTGAATCTGCAAGTGGACATTTGGATAGATTTGAAGATTTCGTTGGAAACGGGAATATCTTCATATCAAATCTAGACAGAAGCATTCTCAGAAACGTCTTTGTGATGTTGGCATTCAACTCATAGAGTTGAAGATTCCCTTTCAGAGAGCAGCTTTGAAGCACTCTTTTTGTAGTATGTGCAAGGGGATATTTGGAGCGCTCTGAGGCCTACGGTGAAAAAGCAAATATCTTCCCATAACCACTAGACAGAAACATTCTCAGAAACTCCTTTATGACGTATGCACTCACCTAACAGAAAAGAACCTTCCTTTTGACAGAGCAGTTTTGATACACTCTTTTTGTAGAATCTGCAAGTGGATATTTGGATAGCTGTGAAGATTTCGTTGGAAACGGGAATATCTTCCTATAAACTCTAGACAGAAGCATTCTCAGAAACTGCTCTGTGATGTCTGCATTCAAGTCACAGAGCTGAACATTGCCTTTCATAGAGCAGGTTTGAAACACTCTTTTTGTAGTATATGGAAGTGGACGTTTCGGACGGTTTGAGGCCCATGGTGATAAAGGGAATATCTTCCCCTACAAGCTAGAAAGAAGCATTCTGTGAAACTTGTTTGTGATGTGTGTACTCAACTAACAGAGTTGAACCTTTCGTTTTACAGAGCAGTGTTGAACCACTCTTTCTGTAGAATCTGCGAGGGGATATTTGGATAGATTTCAGGATTTCCTTGGAAACGGGAATATCTTCATATAAAATCTCGACAGAAGCATTCTCAGAAACTTCTTTGTGATATCTGCATTCAAGTCACAGAGTTGAATATTCCCTTTCACAGAGTAGGTTTGAAACACTCTTTTTGTAGTATCTTTAAGTGGACATTTGGAGCGCCTTGACACCTACGGTGAAAAGGGAAATATCTTCCCATAAAAACTAGACAGAAGCAATCTCAGAATCTTCTTTGGGATATATGCACGCAGCTAACAGAGTTGAACCTTTCTATTGACAGAGCAGTTTTGAAACAGTCTTTCTGTGGAATCTGCAAGTGGATATTTGGATAGCTTGGAGGATTTCGTTGGAAACGGGATTACATATAAAAAGTAGACAGCAGCATCCTCAGAAACTCCTTTGTGATGTGTGCATTCAAGTCACAGAGTTGAACATTCCCTTTCGTACAGCAGTTTTGAAACACTCTTTCTGTAGTATCTGGAAGTGAACATTAGGACAGCTTTCAGGTCTATGGTGAGAAAGGAAACATCTTCAAATAAAAACTAGACAGAAGCATTCTCATAAACTTGTTTGTGATGTGTGAACTCAGCTAACAGAGGTGGATCTTTCTTTTGATACAGCAGTTTTGAAAAACACTTTTTGTTGAATCTGCAAGTGGACATTTGGATAGATTTGAAGATTTCATTGGAAACGGGAATATCTTCATATCAAATCTAGACAGAAGCATTCTCAGAAACGTCTTTGCGTTGTTTGCATTCAACTCATAGAGTTGAACATTCCGTTTCAGAAAGCAGCTTTGAGGCACTCTTTTTGTAGTATGTGCAAGTGGATATTTGGAGCGCTCTGAGGCCTACGGTGAAAAAGCAAATATCTTCCCATAACCACTAGACAGAAACATTCTCAGAAACTCCTTTATGACGTATGCACTCA
The DNA here is from genome assembly GCF_000001405.40 of Homo sapiens. Taxonomy (NCBI): domain Eukaryota; kingdom Metazoa; phylum Chordata; class Mammalia; order Primates; family Hominidae; genus Homo; species Homo sapiens. Next base: position 11,312,751 of record NC_000021.9, read on the forward strand.
CCTAACAGAAAAGAACCTTCCTTTTGACAGAGCAGTTTTGATACACTCTTTTTGTAGAATCTGCAAGTGGATATTTGGATAGCTGTGAAGATTTCGTTGGAAACGGGAATATATTCCTATAAAATCTAGACAGAAGCATTCTCAGAAACTGCTACTGTGATGTCTGCATTCAAGTCACAGAGTTGAACATTGCCTTTCATAGAGCAGGTTTCAAGCACTCTTTTTTTAGTATATGGAAGTGGACGTTTCGGACGGTTTGAGGCCCATGGTGATAAAGGAAATATCTTCCCCTACAAGCTAGAAAGAAGCATTCTGTGAAACTTGTTTGTGATGTGTGTACTCAACTAACAGAGTTGAACCTTTCTTTTTACAGAGCAGTTTTGAAACACTCTTTTTGTAGAATCTGCGAGGGCATATTTGGATAGATTTCAGGATTTCGTTGGAAATGGGAATATCTTCATATAAAATCTCGACAGAAGCATTCTCAGAAGCTTCTTTGTGATATGTGCATTCAAGTCACAGAGTTGAATATTCCCTTTCACAGAGTAGGTTTGAAACACTCTTTTTGTAGTATCTGGAAGTGGACATTGGGAGTGCCTTGACGCCTACGGTGAAAAGGGAAATATCTTCTCATAAAAAGTAGACAGAAGCAATCTCAGAATCTGTTTTGGGATATATGCACGCAGCTAACAGAGTTGAACCTTTCTATTGACAGAGCAGTTTTGAAACAGTCTTTCTGTGGAATCTGCAAGTGGATATTTGGATAGCTTGGAGGATTTCGTTGGAAACGGGATTACGTATAAAAAGTAGACAGCAGCATCCTCAGAAACTTCTTTGTGATGTGTGCATTCAAGTCACAGAGTTGAACATTCCCTTTCGTACAGCAGTTTTGAAACACTCTTTCTGTAGTATCTGGAAGTGAACTTTAGGAGAGCTTTCAGGTCTATAGTGAGAAAGGATATATCTTCAAATAAAAGCTAGACAGAAGCATTCTCATAAACTTGTTTGTGATGTGTGAACTCAGCTAACAGAGGTGGATCTTTCTTTTGATAGAGCAGTTCTGAAAAACACTTTTTGTTGGATCTGCAAGTGGACATTTGGATAGATTTGAAGATTTCATTGGAAACGGGAATATCTTTATATCAAATCTAGACAGAAGCATTCTCAGAAACTTCTTTGTGATGTTTGCATTCAACTCATAGAGTTGAACATTCACTTTCAGAGAGCAGCTTTGAAGCACTCTTTTTGTAGTATGTGCAAGTGGATGTTTTGATCGCTCTGTGGCCTACGGTGAAAAAGCAAATATCTTCCCATAACCACTAGACAGAAACATTCTCAGAAACTCCTTTATGACGTATGCCCTCACCTAACAGAGAATAACCTTCCTTTTGACAGAGCATTTTTGATACACTCTTTTTGTAGCATCTGCAAGTGGATATTTGGATAGCTGTGAAGATTTCTTTGGAAACGGGAATATCTTCCTATAAAATCTAGACAGAAGCATTCTCAGAAACTGCTCTGTGATGTCTGCATTCAAGTCACAGAGTTGAACATTGCCTTTCATAGAGCAGGTTTGAAACGCTCTTTTTGTAGGATATGGAAGTGGACTTATCGGACGGTTGGAGGCCCATGGTGATAAAGGGAATATCTTCCCCTACAAGCTAGAAAGAAGCATTCTGTGAAACTTCTTTGTGATGTGTGTACTCAACTAACAGAGTTGAACCTTTCTTTTCACAGAGCTGTTTTGAAACACTCTTTTTATAAAATCTGCGAGGGGATATTTGGATAGATTTCAGGATTTCGTTGGAAACGGGAATATCTTCATATAAAATCTCGACAGAAGCATTCTCAGAAACTTCTTTGTGATATCTGCCTTTAAGTCACAGAGTTGAATATTCCCTTTCACAGAGTAGGTTTGAAACACTCTTTTTGTAGTATCTGGAAGTGGACATTTGGAGCGCCTTGTCACCTACGGTGAAAAGGGAAATATCTTCCCATAAAAACTAGACAGAAGCAATCTCAGAATCTTCTTTGGGATATATGCACGCAGCTAACAGAGTTGAACCTTTCTATTGACAGAGCAGTTTTGAAACAGTCTTTCTGTGGAATCTGCAAGTGGATATTTGGATAGATTGGAGGATTTCGTTGGAAACGGGATTACGTATAAAAAGTGGACAGCAGCATCCTGAGAAACTTCCTTGTGATGTGTGCATTCAAGTCACAGAGTTGAATATTCCCTTTCGTACAGCAGTTTTGAAACACTCTTTCTGTAGTATCTGGAAGTGAACTTTAGGAGAGCTTTCAGGTCTATAGTGAGAAAGGATATATCTTCAAATAAAAACTAGACAGAAGCATTCTCATAAACTTGTTTGTGATGTGTGAACTCAGCTAACAGAGGTGGATCTTTCTTTTGATAGAGCAGTTCTGAAAAACACTTTTTGTTGAATCTGCAAGTGGACATTTCGATAGATTTGAAGATTTCGCTGGAAACGGGAATATCTTCATATCAAATCTAGACAGAAGCATTCTCAGAAACGTCTTTGCGATGTTTGCATTCAACTCATAGAGTTGAACATTCCGTTTCAGAGAGCAGTATGAGGCACTCTTTTTGTAGTATGTGCAAGTGGATATTTGGAGCGCTCTGAGGCCTACGGTGAAAAAGCAAATATCTTCCCATAACCACTAGACAGAAACATTCTCAGAAACTGCTTTATGACGTATGCACTCACCTAACAGAGAAGAACCTTCCTTTTGACAGAGCAGTTTTGACACACTCTTTTTGTAGAATCTGCAAGTGGATATTTGGATAGCTGTGAAGATTTCGTTGGAAACGGGAATATCTTCCTATAAAATCTAGACAGAAGCATTCTCAGAAACTGCTCTGTGATGTCTGCATTCAAGTCACAGAGTTGAACATTGCCTTTCATAGAGCAGGTTGGAAATGCTCTTTTTGTAGTATATGGAAGTGGACGTTTCAGACGGTTTGAGGCCCATGGTGATAAAGGGAATATCTTCCACTACAAGCTAGAAAGAAGCATTCTGTGAAACTTGTTTGTGATGTGTGTACTCAACTAACAGAGTTGAACCTTTCTTTTTACAGAGCAGTTTTGAAACACTCTTTTTGTAGAATCTGCGAGGGGATATTTGGATACATTTCAGGATTTTGTTGGAAACGGGAATATCTTCATATAAAATCTCGACAGAAGCATTCTCAGAAACTTCTTTGTGATATGTGCATTCAAGTCACAGAGTTGAATATTCCCTTTCACAGAGTAGGTTTGAAACACTCTTTTTGTAGTATCTGGAAGTGGACATTTGGAGCGCGTTGACACCTACGGTGAAAAGGGAAATATCTTCCCATAAAAACTAGACAGAAGCAATCTCAGAATCTTCTTTGGGATATATGCACGCAGCTAACAGAGTTGAACCTTTCTATTGACAGAGCAGTTTTGAAACAGTCTTTCTGTGGAATCTGCAAGTGGATATTTGGATAGCTTGGAGGATTTCGCTGGAAACGGGATTACGTATAAAAAGTAGACAGCAACATCCTCAGAACCTTCTTTGTGATGTGTGCATTCAAGTCACAGAGTTGAACATTCCCTTTCGTACAGCAGTTTTTAAACACTCTTTCTGTGGTATCTGGAAGTGAACATTAGGACAGCTTTCAGGTCTATGGTGAGAAAGGAAATATCTTCAAATAAAAACTAGACAGAAGCATTCTCATAAACTTGTTTGTGATGTGTGAACTCAGCTAACAGAGGTGGATCTTTCTTTTGATAGAGCAGTTCTGAAAAACACTTTTTGTTGAATCTGCAAGTGGACATTTGGATAGATTTGAAGATTTCGTTGGAAACGGGAATATCTCCATATCAAATCTAGACAGAAGCATTCTCAGAAACGTCTTTGTGATGTTTGCATTCAACTCATAGAGTTGAACATTCCGTTTCAGAGAGCAGCTTTGAAGCACTCTTTTTGTAGTATGTGAAAGTGGATATTTGGAGCGCTGTGAGGCCTAAGGTGAAAAAGCAAATATCTTCCCGTAACCACTAGACAGAAACATTCTCAGAAACTCCTTTATGACGTGTGCACTCACCTAACAGAGAAGAACTTTCCTTTTGACAGAGCAGTTTTGATACACTCTTTTTGTAGAATCTGCAAGTGGATATTTGGATAGCTGTGAAGATTTCGTTGGAAACGGGAATATCTTCCTATAAAATCTAGACAGAAGCATTCTCAGAAACTGCTCTGTGATGTCTGCATTCAAGTCACAGAGTTGAACATTGCCTTTCATAGAGCAGGTTTGAAACACTCTTTTTGTAGTATATGCAAGTGGACGTTTCGGACGGTTTGAGGCCCATGGTGATAAAGGGAATATCTTCCCCTACAAGCTAGAAAGAAGCATTCTGTGAAACTTGTTTGTGATGTGTGTACTCAACTAACAGAGTTGAACCTTTCTTTTTACAGAGCAGTTTTGAAACACTCTTTTTGTAGAATCTGCGAGTGGATATTTGGATACATTTCAGGATTTCGTTGGAAACGGGAATATCTTCATATAAAATCTCGACAGAAGCATTCTCAGAAACTTCTTTGTGATATGTGCATTCAAGTCACAGAGTTGAATATTCCCTTTCGCAGAGTAGGTTTGAAACACTCTTTTTGTAGTATCTGGAAGTGGACATTTGGAGTGCCTTGACGCCTACGGTGAAAAGGGAAATATCTTCCCATAAAAACTAGACAGAAGCAATCTCAGAATCTTCTTTGGGATATATGCACGCAGCTAACAGAGTTGAACCTTTCTATGGACAGAGTAGTTTTGAAATAGTCTTTCTGTGGAATCTGCAAGTGGATATTTGGATAGCTTGGAGGATTTCGTTGGAAACGGGATTACGTATAAAAAGTAGACAGCAGCATTCTCAGAAACTGCTCTGTGATGTCTGCATTCAAGTCACAGTAGTTGAACATTCCCTTTCATACAGCAGTTTTGAAACACTCTTTCTGTAGTATCTGGAAGTGAACATTAGGACAGCTTTCAGGTCTATGGTGAGAAAGGAAATATCTTCAAATAAAAACTAGACAGAAGCATTCTCATAAACTTGTTTGTGATGTGTGAACTCAGCTAACAGAGGTGGATCTTTCTTTTGATAGAGCAGTTGTGAAAAACACTTTTTGTTGAATCTGCAAGTGGACATTTGGATAGATTTGAAGATTTCGTTGGAAACGGGAATATCTTCATATCAAATCTAGACAGAAGCATTCTCAGAAACGTCTTTGTGATGTTTGCATTCAACTCATAGAGTTGAACATTCAGCTTCAGAGAGCACCTTTTAAGCACTCTTTTTGTAGTATGTGCAAGTGGATATTTAGAGCGCTGTGAGGCCTACGGTGAAAAAGCAAATATCTTCCCATAACCACTAGACAGAAACATTCTCAGAAACTCCTTTATGACGTATGCACTCACCTAACAGAGAAGAACCTTCCTTTTGACAGAGCAGTTTTGATACACTCTTTTTGTAGAATCTGCAAGTGGATATTTGGATAGCTGTGAAGATTTCGATGGAATCGGGAATATCTTCCTACAAAATCTAGACAGAAGCATTCTCAGAAACTGCTCTGTGATGTCTGCATTCAAGTCACAGAGTTGAACATTGCCTTTCATAGAGCAGGTTTGAAATGCTCTTTTTGTAGTATATGGAAGTGGACTTATCGGACGGTTTGAGGCCCATGGTGATAAAGGGAATATCTTCCCCTACAAGCTAGAAAGAAGCATTGTGTGAAAGTTGTTTGTGATGTGTGTACTCAACTAACAGAGTTGAACCTTTCTTTTTACAGAGCAGTTTTGAAACACTCTTTTTGTAGAATCTGCGAGGGGATATTTGGATACATTTCAGGATTTCGTTGGAAACGGGAATATCTTCATATAAAATCTCGACAGAAGCATTCTCAGAAGCTTCTTTGTGATATGTGCATTCAAGTCACAGAGTTGAATATTCCCTTTCACAGAGTAGGTTTGAAACACTCTTTTTGTAGTATCTGGAAGTGGACATTTAGAGCGCCTTGACGCCTACGGTGAAAAGGGAAATATCTTCTCATAAAAAGTAGACAGAAGCAATCTCAGAATCTTCTTTGGGATATGTGCACGCAGCTAACAGAGTTGAACCTTTCTATTGACAGAGCAGTTTTGAAACAGTCTTTCTGTGGAATCTGCAAGTGGATATTTGGATAGCTTGGAGGATTTCGTTGGAAACGGGATTACGTATAAAAAGTAGACAGCAGCATCCTCAGAAACTTCTTTGTGATGTGTGCATTCAAGTCACAGAGTTCAACATTCCCTTTCGTACAGCAGTTTTGAAACACTCTTTCTGTAGTAACTGGAAGTGAACATTAGGACAGCTTTCAGGTCTATGGTGAGAAAGGAAATATCTTCAAATAAAAACTAGACAGAAGCATTTTCATAAACTTGTTTGTGATGTGTGAACTCAGCTAACAGAGGTGGATCTTTCTTTTGATAGAGCAGTTCTGAAAAACACTTTTTGTTGAATCTGCAAGTGGACATTTAGATAGATTTGAAGATTTCGTTGGAAACGGGAATATCTTCATATCAAATCTATACAGAAGCATTCTCAGAAACGTCTTTGTGATGTTTGCATTCAACTCATAGAGTTGAACATTCCGTTTCAGAGAGCAGCTTTGAGGCACACTTTTTGTAGTATGTGCAAGTGGATATTTGGAGAGCTCTGAGGCCTACGGTGAAAAAGCAAATATCTTCCCATAACCACTAGACAGAAACATTCTCAGAAACTCCTTTATGACGTATGCACTCACCTAACAGAGAACAACCTTCCTTTTGACAGAGCAGTTTTGATACACTCTTTTTGTAGAATCTGCAAGTGGATATTTGGATAGCTGTGAAGATTTCGTTGGAAACGGGAATATCTTCCTATAAAATCTAGACAGAAGCATTCTCAGAAACTTCTTTGTGATATCTGCATTCAAGTCACAGAGTTGAATATTCCGTTTCACAGAGTAGGTTTGAAACACTCTTTTTGTAGTATCTGGAAGTGGACATTTGGAGCGCCTTGACGCCTACGGTGAAAAGGGAAATATCTTCTCATAAAAAGTAGACACAAGCAATCTCAGAATCTTCTTTGGGATATATGCACGCAGCTAACAGAGTTGAACCTTTCTATTGACAGAGCAGTTTTGAAACAGTCTTTCTGTGGAATCTGCAAGTGGATATTTGCATAGCTTGGAGGATTTCGTTGGAAACGGGATTACGTATAAAAAGTAGACAGCAGCATCCTCAGAAACTTCTTTGTGATGTGTGCATTCAAGTAACAGAGTTGAACATTCCCTTTCGTACAGCAGTTTTGAAACACTCTTTCTGTAGTATCTGGAAGTGAACATTAGGACAGCTTTCAGGTCTATGGTGAGAAAGGAAATATCTTCAAATAAAAACTAGACAGAAGCATTCTCATAAACTTGTTTGTGATGTGTGAACTCAGCTAACAGAGGTGGATCTTTCTTTTGATAGAGCAGTTCTGAAAAACACTTTTTGTTGAATCTGCAAGTGGACATTTGGATAGATTTGAAGATTTCGTTGGAAACGAGAATATCTTCATATCAAATCTAGACAGAAGCATTCTCAGAAACGTCTTTGTGATGTTTGCATTCAACTCATAGAGTTGAACATTCCGTTTCAGAGAGCAGCTTTGAGGCACTCTTTTTGTAGTTTGTGCAAGTGGATATTTGGAGCGCTCTGAGGCCTACGGTGAAAAAGCAAATATCTTCCCATAACCACTAGACAGAAACATTCTCAGAAACTCCTTTATGACGTATGTACTCAACTAACAGAGAAGAACCTTCCTTTTGACAGAGCAGTTTTGATACACTCTTTTTGTAGAATCTGCAAGTGGATATTTGGATAGCTGTGAAGATTTCGTTTGAAACGGGAATATCTTCCTATAAAATCTAGACGGAAGCATTCTCAGAAACTGCTCTGTGATGTCTGCATTCAAGTCACAGAGTTGAACATTGCCTTTCATAGAGCAGGTTTGAAACGCTCTTTTTGTAGTATATGGAAGTGGACGTTTCGGACGGTCTGAGGCCCATGGTGATAAAGGGAATATCTTCCCCTACAAGCTAGAAAGAAGCATTCTGTGAAACTTGTTTGTGATGTGTGTACTCAACTAACAGAATTGAACCTTTCTTTTCACAGAGCAGTTTTGAAACACTCTTTTTGTAGAATCTGCGAGGGGATATTTGGATAGATTTCAGCATTTCGTTGGAAACGGGAATATCTTCATATAAAATCTCGACAGAAGCATTCTCAGAAACTTCTTTGTGATATGTGCATTCAAGTCACAGAGTTGAATATTCCCTTTCACAGAGTAGGTTTGAAACACTCTTTTTGAGGTATCTGGAAGTGGATATTTGGAGCGCCTTGACGCCTACGGTGAAAAGGGAAATATCTTCCCATAAAAACTAGACAGCAGAAATCTCAGAATCTTCTTTGGGATATATGCACGCAGCTAACAGAGTTGAACCTTTCTATTGACAGAGCAGTTTTGAAACAGTCTTTCTGTGGAATCTGCAATTGGATATTTGGATAGCTTGGAGGATTTCGTTGGAAACGGGATTACGTATAAAAAGTAGACAGCAGCATCCTCAGAAACTTCTTTGTGATGTGTGCATTCAAGTCACAGAGTTGAACTTCCCTTTCGTACAGCAGTTTTGAAACACTCTTTCTGTAGTAACTGGAAGTGAACATTAGGACAGCTTTCAGGTCTATGGTGAGAAAGGAAATATCTTCAAATAAAAACTAGACAGAAGCATTCTCATAAACTTGTTTGTGATGTGTGAACTCAGCTAACAGAGGTGGATCTTTCTTTTGATGGAGCAGTTCTGAAAAACACTTTTTGTTGAATCTGCAAGTGCACATTTGGATAGATTTGAAGATTTCGTTGGAAACGGGAATATCTTCATATCAAATCTAGACAGAAGCATTCTCAGAAACGTCTTTGTGATGTTTGCATTCAACTCATAGAGTTGAACATTCCGTTTCAGAGACCAGCTTTGAAGCACTCTTTTTGTAGTATGTGCAAGTGGATATTTGGAGCGCTCTGTGGCCTACGGTGAAAAAGCAAATATCTTCCCATAACCACTAGACAGAAACATTCTCAGAAACTCCTTTATGACGTATGCACTCACCTAACAGAGAAGAACCTTCCTTTTGACAGAGCAGTTTTGATACACTCTTTTTGTTGAATCTGCAAGTGGATATTTGGATAGCTGTGAAGATTTCGTTGGAAACGGGAATATCTTCCTATAAAATCTAGACAGAAGCATTCTCAGCAAACTGCTCTGTGATGTCTGCATTCAAGTCACAGAGTTGAACATTGTCTTTCATAGAGCAGGTTTGAAGCGTTCTTTTTGTAGTATATGGAAGTGGACGTTTCGGACGGTTTGAGGCCCATGGTGATAAAGGGAATATCTTCCCCTACAAGCTAGAAAGAAGCATTCTGTGAAACTTGTTTCTGATGTGTGTACTCAACTAACAGAGTTGAACCTTTCTTTTTACAGAGCAGTTTTGAAACACTCTTTTTGTAGAATCTGCGAGGGGATATTTGGATAGATTTCAGGATTTTGTTGGAAACGGGAATATCTTCATATAAAATCTCGACAGAAGCATTCTCAGAAACTTCTTTGTGATATCTGCATTCAAGTCACAGAGTTGAATATTCCCTTTCACAGAGTAGGTTTGAAACACTCTTTTTGTAGTATCTGGAAGTGGACATTTGGAGCGCCTTGACGCCTATGGTGAAAAGGGAAATATCTTCCCATAAAAACTAGACAGAAGCAATCTCAGAATCTTCTTTGGGATATATGCACGCAGCTAACAGAGTTGAACCTTTCTATTGACAGAGCAGTATTGAAACAGTCTTTTTGTGAAATCTGCAAGTGGATATTTGGATAGCTTGGAGGATTTCGTTGGAAACGGGATTACGTATAAAAAGTAGACAGCAGCATCCTCAGAAACTTCTTTGTGATGTGTGCATTCAAGTCACAGAGTTGAACATTCCCTTTCGTACAGCAGTTTTAAAACACTCTTTCTGTAGTATCTGGAAGTGAACATTAGGACAGCTTTCAGGTCTATGGTGAGAAAGGAAATATCTTCAAATAAAAACTACACAGAAGCATTCTCATAAACTTGTTTGTGATGTGTGAACTCAGCTAACAGAGGTGGATCTTTCTTTTGATAGAGCAGTTCTGAAAAACACTTTTTGTAGAATCTGCAAGTGGACATTTGGATAGATTTGCAGATTTCGTTGGTAACGGGAATATCTTCATATCAAATCTAGACAGAAGCATTCTCAGAAACGTCTTTGTGATGTTTGCATTCAACTCATAGAGTTGAACATTCCGTTTCAGAGAGCAGGTTTGAAGCAATCTTTTTGTAGTATGTGCAAGTGGACATTTGGAGCGCTCTGAGGCCTACGGTGAAAAAGCAAATATCTTCCCATAACCACTAGACAGAAACATTCTCAGAAACTCCTTTATGACGTATGCACTCACCTAACAGAGAAGAACCTTCCTTTTGACTGAGCAGTTTGATACACTCTTTTTGTAGAATCTGAAAGTGGATATTTGGATAGCTGTGAAGATTTCGTTGGAAACGGGAATATCTTCCTATAAAATCTAGACAGAAGCATTCTCAGAAACTGCTCTGTGATGTCTGCATTCAACTCACAGAGTTGAACATTGCCTTTCATAGAGCAGGTTTGAAACACTCTTTTTGTAGTAAATGGAAGTGGACGTTTCGGACGGTTTGAGGCCCATGGTGATAAAGGGAATATCTTCCCCTACAAGCTAGAAAGAAGCAATCTCAGAATTTTCTTTGGGATATACGCACACAGCTAACAGAGTTGAACTTTTCTATTGACATAGCAGTTTTGAAACAGTCTTTCTGTGGAATCTGCAAGTAGATATTTTGATAGCTTGGAGGATTTCGTTGGAAACGGGATTACGTATAAAAATTAGACAGCAGCATCCTCAGAAACTTCTTTGTGAAGTTTCTGCATTCTAGTCACAGAGTTGAACATTCCCTTTCGTACAGCAGTTTTGTATCTGGAAGTGGACATTTGGAGCGCCTTGACACCTACGGTGAAAAGGGAAATATCTTCCCATAAAAACTAGACAGAAGCAATCTCAGAATCTTCTTTGGGATATATGCACGCAGCTAACAGAGTTGAACCTTTCTATTGACAGAGCAGTTTTGAAACAGTCTTTCTGTGGAATCTGCAAGTGGATATTTGGATAGCTTGGAGGATTTCTTTGGAAACGGGATTACGTGTAAAAAGTAGACAGCAGCATCCTCAGAAACATCCTTGTGATGTGTGCATTCAAGTCACAGAGTTGAACATTCCCTATCGTACAGCAGTTTTGAAACACTCTTTCTGTAGTATCTGGAAGTGAACTTTAGGACAGCTTTCAGGTCTATAGTGAGAAAGGATATATCTTCAAATAAAAACTAGACAGAAGCATTCTCATAAACTTGTTTGTGATGTGTGAACTCAGCTAACAGAGGTGGATCTTTCTTTTGATAGAGCAGTTCTGAAAAACACTTCTTGTTGAATCTGCAAGTGGACATTTGGATAGATTTGAAGATTTCATTGGAAACGGGAATATCTTCATATCAAATCTAGACAGAAGCATTCTCAGAAACGTCTTTGTCATGTTTGCATTCAACTCATAGAGTTGAACATTCCCTTTCAGAGAGCAGCTTTGAAACACTCTTTTTGAAGTATGTGCAAGTGGATATTTGGAGCGCTCTGAGGCCTACGCTGAAAAAGCAAATATCTTCCCATAACCACTAGACAGAAACATTCTCAGAAACTCCTTTATGACGTATGGCACTCACCTAACAGAAAAGAACCTTCCTTTTGACAGAGCAGTTTTGATACACTCTTTTTGTAGAATCTGCAAGTGGATATTTGGATAGCTGTGAAGATTTCGTTGGAAACGGGAATATCTTCCTATAAAATCTAGACAGAAGCATTCTCAGAAACTGCTCTGTGATGTCTGCATTCAAGTCACAGAGTTGAACATTGCCTTTCATAGAGCAGGTTTGAAACACTCTTTTTGTAGTATATGGAAGTGGACATTTCGGAAGGTTTGAGGCCCATGGTGATAAAGGGAATATCTTCCCCTACAAGCTAGAAAGAAGCATTCTGTGAAACTTGTTTGTGATGTGTGTACTGAACTAACAGAGTTGAACCTTTCTTTTTACAGAGCAGTTTTGAAACACTCTTTTTGTAGAATCTGCGAGGGGATATTTGGAGAGATTTCAGGATTTCGTTGGAAACGGGAATATCTTCATATAAAATCTCGACAGAAGCATTCTCAGAAACATCTTTGTGATATCTGCATTCAAGTCACAGAGTTGCATATTCCCTTTCACAGAGTAGGTTTTAAACACTCTTTTTGTAGTATCTGGAAGTGGACATTTGGAGTGCCTTGACGTCTACGGTGAAAAGGGAAATATCTTCCCATAAAAACTAGACAGAAGCAATCTCAGAATTTTCTTTGGGATATATGCACACAGCTAACAGAGTTGAACTTTTCTATTGACATAGCAGTTTTGAAACAGTCTTTCTGTGGAATCTGCAAGTGGATATTTGGATAGCTTGGAGGATTTCGTTGGAAACGGGATTACGGTATAAAAAGTAGACAGCAGCATCCTCAGGAACTTCTTTGTGATGTGTGCATTCAAGTCACAGAGTTGAACATTCCCTTCCGTACAGCAGTTTTGAAACACTCTTTCTGTAGTATCTGGAAGTGAACATTAGGACAGCTTTCAGGTCTATGGTGAGAAAGGAAATATCTTCAAATAAAAACTAGACAGAAGCATTCTCATAAACTTGTTTGTGATGTGTGAACTCAGCTAACAGAGGTGGATCTTTCTTTTGATACAGCAGTTCTGAAAAACACTTTTTGTTGAATCTGCAAGTGGACATTAGGATAGATTTGAAGATTTCGTTGGAAACGGGAATATCTTCATATCAAATCTAGACAGAAGCATTCTCAGAAACGTCTTTGTGATGTTTGCATTCAACTCATAGAGTTGAACATTCCGTTTCAGAGAGCAGCTTTGAAGCACTCTTTTTGTAGTATGTGCAAGTGGATATTTGGAGCGCTGTGAGGCCTAAGGTGAAAAAGCAAATATCTTCCCGTAACCACTAGACAGAAACATTCTCAGAAACTCCTTTATGACGTATGCACTCACCTAACAGAGAAGAACCTTCCTTGTGACAGAGCAGTTTTGATACACTTTTTTTGTAGAATCTGCAAGTGGATATTTGGATAGCTGTGAAGATTTCGTTGGAAACGGGAATATCTTCCTATAAAATCTAGACAGAAGCATTCTCAGAAACTGCTCTGTGATGTCTGCATTCAAGTCACAGAGTTGAACATTGCCTTTCCTAGAACAGGTTTGAAACGCTCTTTTTGTAGTATATGGAAGTGGACGTTTCGGACGGTTTGAGGCCCATGCTGATAAAGGGAATATCTTCCCCTACAAGATAGAAAGAAGCATTCTGTGAAACTAGTTTGTGATGTGTGTACTCAACTAACAGAGTTGAACCTTTCTTTTTACAGAGCAGTTTTGAAACACTCTTTTTGTAGAATCTGCGAGGGGATATTTGGATACATTTCAGCATTTCGTTGGAAACGGGAATATCTTCATATAAAATCTCGACAGAAGCATTCTCAGAAACTTCTTTGTGATATCTGCATTCAAGTCACAGAGTTGAATATTCCCTTTCACAGAGTAGGTTTGAAACACTCTTTTTGTAGTATCTGGAAGTGGACATTTGGAGCGCCTTGACGCCTACGGTGAAAAGGGAAATATCTTCCCATTAAAACTAGAGAGAAGCAATCTCAGAATCTTCTTTGGGATATATGCACTCAGCTAACAGAGTTGAACCTTTCTATTGACAGAGCAGTTTTGAAACAGTCTTTCTGTGGAATCTGCAAGTGGATATTTGGATAGCTTGGAGGATTTCGTTGGAAACGGGATTACGTATAAAAAGTAGACAGCAGCATCCTCCGAAACTTCTTTGTGATGTGTGCATTCAAGTCACAGAGTTGAACATTCCTTTTCGTACAGCAGTTTTGAAACACTCTTTCTGTAGTATCTGGAAGTGAACATTAGGACAGCTTTCAGGTCTATGGTGAGAAAGGAAATATCTTCAAATAAAAACTAGACAGAAGCATTCTCATAAACTTGTTTGTGATGTGTGAACTCAGCTAACAGAGGTGGATCTTTCTTTTGATAGAGCAGTTCTGAAAAACACTTTTTGTTGAATCTGCAAGTGGACATTTGGATAGATTTGAAGATTTCGTTGGAAACGGGAATATCTTCATATCAAATCTAGAAAGAAGCATTCTCAGAAACGTCTTTGTGATGTTTGCATTCAACTCATAGAGTTGAACATTCCCTTTCAGAGAGCAGCTTTGAAGCACTCTTTTTGTAGCATGTGTAAGTGGACATTTGGAGCGCCCTGAGGCCTACGGGGAAAAAGGAAATATCTTCCCATAACCACTAGAGAGAAACATTCTCAGAAACTCCTTTATGACGTATGTACTCAACTGACAGAGAAGAACCTTCCTTTTGACAGAGCAGTTTTGATACACTCTTTTTGTAGAATCTGCAAGTGGATATTTGGATAGCTGTGAAGATTTCGTTGGAAACGGGAATATCTTCCTATAAAATCTAGACAGAAGCATTCTCAGAAACTGCTCTGTGATGTCTGCATTCAAGTCACAGAGTTGAACATTGCCTTTCCTAGAGCAGGGTTGAAACGCTCTTTTTGTAGTATATGGAAGTGGACGTTTCGGACGGTTTGAGGCCCATGGTGATAAAGGGAATATCTTCCCCTACAAGCTAGAAAGAAGCATTCTGTGAAACTTGTTTGTGATGTGTGTACTCAACTAACAGAGTTGAACCTTTCTTTTTACAGAGCAGTTTTGAAACACTCTTTTTGTAGAATCTGCGAGGGGATATTTCGATAGATTTCAGGATTTCGTTGGAAACGGTAATATCTTCATATAAAATCTCGACAGAAACATTCTCAGAAACTTCATTGTGATATCTGCATTCAAGTCACAGAGTTGAATATTCCCTTTCAGAGAGTAGGTTTGAAACACTCTTTTTGTAGTATCTGGAAGTGGACATTTGGAGCGCCTTGACACCTACGGTGAAAAGGGAAATATCTTCCCATAAAAACGAGACAGAAGCAATCTCAGAATCTTCTTTGGGATATATGCACGCAGCTAACAGAGTTGAACCTTTCTATTGACAGAGCAGTTTTGTAACAGTCTTTCTGTGGAATCTGCAAGTGGATATTTGGATAGCTTGGAGGATTTCGTTGGAAACGGGATTACCTATAAAAAGTAGACAGCAGCATCCTCAGAAACTTCTTTGTGATGTGTGCATTCAAGTCACAGAGTTAAATATTCCCTTTCGTACAGCAGTTTTGAAAAACTCTTTCTGTAGTATCTGGAAGTGAACATTAGGACAGCATTCAGGTCTATGGTGAGAAAGGAAATATCTTCAAATAAAAACTAGACAGAAGCATTCTCATAAACTTGTTTGTGATGTGTGAACTCAGCTAACAGAGGTGGATCTTTCTTTTGATAGAGCAGTTCTGAAAAACACTTTTTGTTGAATCTGCAAGTGGACATTTGGATAGATTTGAAGATTTCGTTGGAAACGGGAATATCTTCATATCAAATCTAGACAAAAAGCATTCTCAGAAACGTCTTTGTGATGTTTGCATTCAACTCATAGAGTTGAACATTCCCTTCCAGAGAGTAGCTTTGAAGCACTCTTTTTGTAGCATGTGCAAGTGGACATTTGGAGCGCCCTGAGGCCTACGGGGAAAAAGCAAATATCTTCCCATAACCACTAGACAGAAACATTCTCAGAAACTCCTTTATGACGTATGCACTCACCTAACAGAGAAGAACCTTCCTTTTGACAGAGCAGTTTTGATACACTCTTTTTGTAGAATCTGCCAGTGGATATTTGGATAGCTGTGAAGATTTCGTTGGAAACGGGAATATCTTCATATCAAATCTAGACAGAAAGCATTCTCAGAAACTGCTCTGTGATGTCTGCATTCAAGTCACAGAGTTGAACATTGCCTTTCATAGAGCAGGTTTGAAACGCTCTTTTTGTAGTATATGGAAGTGGACTTATCGGACGGTTTGAGGCCCATGGTGATAAAGGGAATATCTTCCCCTACAAGCTAGAAAGAAGCATTCTGTGAAACTTGTTTGTGAAGTGTGTACTCAACTAACAGAGTTGAACCTTTCTTTTTACAGAGCAGTTTTGAAACACTCTTTTTGTAGAATCTGCGAGGGGATATTTGGATAGATTTCAGGATTTCATTGGAAACGGGAATATCTTCATATAAAATCTCGACAGAAGCATTCTCAGAAACTTCTTTGTGATATGTGCATTCAAGTCACAGAGTTGAATATTCCCTTTCACAGAGTAGGTTTGAAACACTCTTTTTGTAGAATCTGGAAGTGGACATTTGGAGCGCCTTGACACCTACGGTGAAAAGGGAAATATCTTCCCATAAAAACTAAACAGAAGCAATCTCAGAATTTTCTTTGGGATATATGCACACAGCTAACAGAGTTGAACTTTTCTATTGACAGAGCAGTTTTGAAACAGTCTTTCTGTGGAATCTGCAAGTGGATATTTGGATAGCTTGGAGGATTTCGTTGGAAACAGGATTACGTATAAAAAGTAGACAGCAGCATCCTCAGAAACTTCTTTGAGATGTGTGCATTCAAGTCACAGAGTTGAACATTCCCTTTCGTACAGCAGTTTTGAAACACTCTTTCTGTAGTATCTGGAAGTGAACATTAGGACAGCTTTCAGCTCTATGGTGAGAAAGGAAATATCTTCAAATAAAAACTAGACAGAAGCATTCTCATAAACTTGTTTGTGATGGGTGAACTCAGCTAACAGAGGTGGATCTTTCTTTTGATAGAGCAGTTCTGAAAAACACTTTTTGTTGAATCTGCAAGTGGACATTTGGATAGATTTGAAGATTTCGTTGGAAACGGGAATACCTTCATATCAAATCTAGACAGAAGCATTCTCAGAAACGTATTTGTGATGTTTGCATTCAACTCACAGAGTTGAACATTCCCTTTCAGAGCGCAGCTTTGAAGCACTCTTTTTGTAGTATGTGCAAGGGGATATTTGGAGCGCTCTGAGGCCTACGGTGAAAAAGCAAATATCTTCCCATAACCACTAGACAGAAACATTCTCAGAAACTCCTTTATGACGTATGTACTCAACTAACAGAGAAGAACCTTCCTTTTGACAGAGCAGTTTTGATACACTCTTTTTGTAGAATCTGCAAGTGGATATTTGGATAGCTGTGAAGGTTTCGTTGGAAACGGGAATATCTTCCTATAAAATCTAGACAGAAGCATTCTCAGAAACTGCTCTGTGATGTCTGCATTCAAGTCACAGAGTTGAACATTGCCTTTCATAGAGCAGGTTTGAAACGCTCTTTTTGTAGTATATGGAAGTGGACTTTTCGGACAGTTTGAGGCCCATGGTGATAAAGGGAATATCTTCCCCTACAAGCTAGAAAGAAGCATTCTGTGAAACTTGTTTGTGATGTGTGTACTCAACTAAGAGAGTTGAACCTTTCTTTTCACAGAGCAGTTTTGAAACACTCCTTTTGTAGAATCTGCGAGGGGATATTAGGATAGATTTCAGGATTTCGTTGGAAACGGGAATATCTTCATACAAAATCTCGACAGAAGCATTCTCAGAAACTTCTTTGTGATATGTGCATTCAAGTCACAGAGTTGAATATTCCCTTTCACAGAGTAGGTTTGAAGCACTCTTTTTGTAGTATCTGGAAGTGGACATTTGGAGCGCCTTGACACCTACGGTGAAAAGGGAAATATCTTCCCATAAAAACTAGACAGAAAGCAATCTCAGAATCTTCTTTGGGATATATGCACGCAGCTAACAGAGTTGAACCTTTCTATTGACAGAGCAGTTTTGAAACAGTCTTTCTGTGGAATCTGTAAGTGGATATTTGGATAGCTTGGAGGATTTCGTTGGTAACGGGATTACGTATAAAAATTAGACAGCAGCATCCTCAGAAACTTCTTTGTGATGTGTGCATTCAAGTCACAGAGTTGAACATTCCCTTTCGTACAGCAGTTTTGAAACACTCTTTCTGTAGTATCTGGAAGTGAACATTAGGACAGCTTTCAGGTCTATCGTGAGAAAGGAAATATCTTCAAATAAAAACTAGACAGAAGCATTCTCATAAACCTGTTTCTGATGTGTGAACTCAGCTAACAGAGGTGGATCTTTCTTTTGATAGAGCAGTTCTGAAAAACACTTTTTGTTGAATCTGCAAGTGGACATTTGGATAGATTTGAAGATTTCGTTGGAAACGGGAATATCTTCATATCAAATCTAGACGGAAGCATTCTCAGAAACGTTTTTGTGATGTTTGCATTCAACTCATAGAGTTGAACATTCCGTTTCAGAGAGCAGCTTTGAAGCACTCTTTTTGTAGTATGTGCAAGTGGATATTTGGAGCGCTCTGAGGCCTACGGTGAAAAAGCAAATATCTTCCCATAACCACTAGACAGAAACATTCTCAGAAACTCCTTTATGACGTGTGCACTCACCTAACAGAGAAGAACCTTCCTTTTGAAAGAGCAGTTTTGATACACTCTTTTTGTAGAATCTGCAAGTGGATATTTGGATAGCTGTGAAGATTTCGTTGGAAACGGGAATATCTTCCTATAAAATCTAGACAGAAGCATTCTCAGAAACTGCTCTGTGATGTCTGCATTCAAGTCACAGAGTTGAACATTGCCTTTCATAGAGCAGGTTTGAAACGCTCTTTTTGTAGTATATGGAAGTGGACTTTTTGGACGGTTTGAGGCCCATGGTGATAAAGGGAATATCTTCCCCTACAAGCTAGAAAGAAGCATTCTGTGAAACTTGTTTGTGATGTGTGTACTCAACTAACAGAGTTGAACCTTTCTTTTTACAGAGCAGTTTTGAAACACTCTTTTTGTAGAATCTGTGAGGGGATATTTGGATAGATTTCAGGATTTCGTTGGAAACGGGAATATCTTCATAGAAAATCTCGACAGAAGCATTCTCAGAAACTTCTTTGTGATATGTGCATTCAAGTCACAGAGTTCAATATTCCCTTTCACAGAGTAGGTTTGAAACACTCTTTTTGTAGTATCTGGAAGTGGACATTTGGAGCGCCTTGACGCCTACGGTGAAAAGGGAAATATCTTCCCATAAAAACTAGACAGAAGCAATCTCAGAATCTTCTTTGGGATATATGCACGCAGCTAACAGAGTTGAACCTTTCTATTGACAGAGCAGTTTTGAAACAGTCTTTCTGTGGAATCTCCAAGTGGATATTTGGATAGCTTGGAGGATTTCGTTGGAAACGGGATTACGTATAAAAAGTAGACAGCAGCATCCTCAGAAACTTCTTTGTGATGTGTGCATTCAAGTCACAGAGTTGAACATTCCCTTTCGTACAGCAGTTTTGAAACACTCTTTCTGTAGTATCTGGAAGTGAACATTAGGACAGCTTTCAGGTCTATGGTGAGGAAGGAAATATCTTCAAATAAAAACTAGGCAGAAGCATTCTCATAAACTTGTTTTGATGTCTGAACTCAGCTAACAGAGGTGGATCTTTCTTTTGATAGAGCAGTTCTGAAAAACACTTTTTGTTGAATCTGCAAGTGGACATTTGGATAGATTTGAAGATTTCGTTGGAAACGGGAATATCTTCATATCAAATCTAGACAGAAGCATTCTCAGAAACGTCTTTGTGATGTTTGCATTCAACTCATAGAGTTGAACATTCCCTTTGAGAGAGCAGCTTTGAAGCACTCTTTTTGTAGCATGTGCAAGTGGACATTTGGAGCGCCCTGAGGCCTACGGGGAAAAAGCAAATATCTTCCCATAACCACTAGACAGAAACATTCTCAGAAACTCCTTTATGACGTATGTACTCAACTAACAGAGAAGAACCTTCCTTTTGACAGAGCAGTTTTGATACACTCTTTTTGTAGAATCTGCAAGTGGATATTTGGATAGCTTTGAAGATTTCGTTGGAAACGGGAATATCTTCCTATAAAATCTAGACAGAAGCATTCTCAGAAACTGCTCTGTGATGTCTGCATTCAAGTCACAGAGTTGAACATTGCTTTTCCTAGAGCAGGTTTGAAACGCTCTTTTTGTAGTATATGGAAGTGGACGTTTCGGACGGTTTGAGGCCCATGGTGATAAAGGGAATATCTTCCCCTACAAGCTAGAAAGAAGCATTCTGTGAAACTTCTTTGTGATGTGTGTAGTCAAGTAACAGAGTTGAACCTTTCTTTTTACAGAGCAGTTTTGAAACACTCTTTTTGTAGAATCTGCGAGGGGATATTTGGATAGATTTCAGGATTTCGTTGGAAACGGGAATATTTTCATATAAAATCTCGACAGAAGCATTCTCAGAAACTTCTTTATGATATCTGCATTCAAGTCACAGAGTTGAATATTCCCTTTCACAGAGTAGGTTTGAAACACTCTTTTTGTAGTATCTGGAAGTGGACATTTGGAGCGCCTTGACCCCTACGGTGAAAAGGGAAATATCTTCCCATAAAAACTAGACAGAAGGAATCTCAGAATCTTCTTTGGGATATATGCACGCAGCTAACAGAGTTGAACCTTTCTATTGACAGAGCAGTTTAGAAACAGTCTTTCTTTGGAATCTGCAAGTGGATATTTGGATAGCTTGGAGGATTTCGTTGGAAACGGGATTACGTATAAAAAGTAGACAGCAGCATCCTCAGAAACTTCTTTGTGATGTGTGCATTCAAGTCACAGAGTTGAACATTCCCTTTCGTACAGCAGTTTTGAAACTCTCTTTCTGTAGTATCTGGAAGTGAACATTAGGACAGCTTTCAGCTCTATGGTGAGAAAGGAAATATCTTCAAATAAAAACTAGACAGAAGCATTCTCATCAACTTCTTTGTGATGTGTGAACTCAGCTAACAGAGGTGGATCTTTCTTTTGATAGAGCAGTTCTGAAAAACACTTTTTGTTGAATCTGCAAGTGGACATTTGTATAGATTTGAAGATTTCGTTGGAAACGGGAATATCTTCATATCAAATCTAGACAGAAGCATTCTCAGAAACGTCTTTGTCATGTTTGCATTCAACTCATAGAGTTGAACATTCCCTTTCAGAGAGCAGCTTTGAAACACTCTTTTTGTAGTATGTGCAAGTGGATATTTGGAGCGCTCTGAGGCCTAAGGTGAAAAAGCAAATATCTTCCCATAACCACTAGACAGAAACATTCTCAGAAACTCCTTTATGACGTATGCACTCACCTAACAGAAAAGAAACTTCCTTTTGACAGAGCAGTTTTGATACACTCTTTTTGTAGAATCTGCAAGTGGATATTTGGATAGCTGTGAAGATTTCGTTGGAAACGGGAATATCTTCCTATAAAATCTAGACAGAAGCATTCTCAGAAACTGCTCTGTGATGTCTGCATTCAAGTCAGAGAGTTGAACATTGCCTTTCACAGAGGAGGTATGAAACGCTCTTTTCGTAATATATGGAAGTGGACGTTTCGGACGGCTTGAGGCCCATGGAGATAAAGGAAATATCTTCCCCTACAAGCTAGAAAGAAGCATTCTGTGAAACTTGTTTGTGTTGTGTGTACTCAACTAACAGAGTTGAACCTTTCTTTTTACGGAGCAGTTTTGAAACACTCTTTTTGTAGAATCTACGAGGGGATATTTGGATAGATTTCAGGATTTCGTTGGAAACGGGAATATCTTCATATAAAATCTCGACAGAAGCATTCTCAGAAACTTCATTGTGATATCTGCATTCAAGTCACAGAGTTGAATATTCCCTTTCAGAGAGTAGGTTTGAAACACTCTTTTTGTAGTATCTGGAAGTGGACATTTGGAGCGCCTTGACACCTACGGTGAAAAGGGAAATATCTTCCCATAAAAACTAGACAGAAGCAATCTCAGAATCTTCTTTGGGATATATGCACGCAGCTAACAGAGTTGAAACTTTCTATTGACAGAGCAGTTTTGAAACAGTCTTTCTGTGGAATCTGCAAGTGGATATTTGGATAGCTTGGAGGATTTCGTTGGAAACGGGATTACGTATAAAAAGTAGACAGCAGCATCCTCAGAAACTTCCTTGTGATGTGTGCATTCAAGTCACAGAGTTGAACATTCCCTTTCGTACAGCAGTTTTGAAACACTCTTTCTGTAGTATCTGGAAGTGAACTTTAGGAGAGCTTTCAGGTCTATAGTGAGAAAGGATATATCTTCAAATAAAAACTAGACAGAAGCATTCTCATAAACTTGTTTGTGATGTGTGAACTCAGCTAACAGAGGTGGATCTTTCTTTTGATAGAGCAGTTCTGAAAAACACTTTTTGTTGAATCTGCAGGTGGACATTTGGATAGATTTGAAGATTTCGTTGGAAACGGGAATATCTTCATATCAAATCTAGACAGAAGCATTCTCAGAAACATCTTTGTGATGTTTGCATTCAACTCATAGAGTTGAACATTCCCTTTCAGAGAGCAGCTTTGAAGCACTCTTTTTGTAGTATGTGCAAGTGGATATTTGGAGCGCTCTGAGGCCTACGGTGAAAAAGCAAATATCTTCCCATAACCACTAGACAGAAACATTCTCAGAAACTCCTTTATGACGTATGTACTCAACTAACAGAGAAGAACCTTCCTTTTGACAGAGCAGTTTTGATACACTCTTTTTGTAGAATCTGCAAGTGGATATTTGGATAGCTGTGTAGATTTCGTTGGAAATGGGAATATCTTCCTATAAAATCTAGACAGAAGCATTCTCAGAAACTGCTGTGTGATGTCTGCATTCAAGACACAGAGTTGAACATTGCCTTTCATAGAGCAGGTTTGAAACGCTCTTTTTGTAGTATATGGAAGTGGACGTTTCGGACGGTTTGAGGCCCATGGTGATACAGCGAATATCTTCCCCTACCAGCTAGAAAGAAGCATTCTGTGAAACTTGTTTGTGATGTGTGTACTCAACTAACAGAGTTGAACCTTTCTTTTTACAGAGCAGTTTTGAAACAGTCTTTTTGTAGAATCTGCGAGGGGATATTTTGATAGATTTCAGGATTTCGTTGGAAACGGGAATATCTTCATATAAAATCTCGACAGAAGCATTCTCAGAAACTTCCTTGTGATATGTGCATTCAAGTCACAGAGTTGAATATTCCCTTTCACAGAGGAGGTTTGAAACACTCTTTTTGTAGTATCTGGAAGTGGACATTTGGAGCGCCTTGACGCCTACGGTGAAAAGGGAAATATCTTCCCATAAAAACTAGACAGAAGCAATCTCAGAATCTTCTTTGGGATATATGCATGCAGCTAACAGAGTTGAACCTTTCTATTGACAGAGCAGTTTTGAAACAGTCTTTCTGTGGAATCTGCAAGTGGATATTTGGATAGCTTGGAGGATTTCGTTGGAAACGGGATTACCGTATAAAAAGTAGACAGCAGCATCCTCAGAAACTTCTTTGTGATGTGTGCATTCAAGTCACAGAGTTGAACATTCCCTTTCGTACAGCAGTTTTGAAACACTCTTTCTGTAGTATCTGGAAGTGAACATTAGGACAGCTTTCAGGTCTATGGTGAGAAAGGAAATATCTTCAAAAAAAACTGGACAGAAACATTCTCATAAACTTGTTTGTGATGTGTGAACTCAGCTAACAGAGGTGGATCTTTCTTTTGATAGAGCAGTTCTGAAAAACACTTTTTGTTGAATCTGCAAGTGGACATTTGGATAGATTTGAAGATTTCGTTGGAAATGGGAATATCTTCATATCAAATCTAGACAGAAGCATTCTCAGAAACGTCTTTGTGATGTTTGCATTCAACTCATAGAGTTGAACATTCCGTTTCAGAGACCAGCTTTGAAGCACTCTTTTTGTAGTATGTGCAAGTGGATATTTGGAGCGCTCTGAGGCCTACGGTGAAAAAGCAAATATCTTCCCATAACCTCTAGACAGAAACATTCTCAGAAACTCCTTTATGACGTATGCACTCACCTAACAGAAAAGAACCTTCCTTTTGACAGAGCAGTTTTGATACACTCTTTTTGTAGAATCTGCAAGTGGATATTTGGATAGCTGTGAAGATTTCGTTGGAAACGGGAATATCTTCCTATAAAATCTAGACAGAAGCATTCTCAGAAACTGCTCTGTGATGTCTGCATTCAAGTCACAGAGTTGAACATTGCCTTTCATAGAGCAGGTTTGAAATGCTCTTTTTGTAGTATATGGAAGTGGACTTTTCGGACGGTTTGAGGCCCATGGTGACAAAGGGAATATCTTCCCCTACAAGCTAGAAAGAAGCATTCTGTGAAACTTGTTTGTGATGTGTGCACTCAACTAACAGAGTTGAACCTTTCTTTTTACAGAGCAGTTTTGAAACACTCTTTTTGTAGAATCTGCGAGGGGATATTTGGATAGATTTCAGGATTTCGTTGGAAACGGGAATATCTTCATAGAAAATCTCGACAGAAGCATTCTCAGAAACTTCTTTGTGATATGTGCATTCAAGTCACAGAGTTGAATATTCCCTTTCACAGAGTAGGTTTGAAACACTCTTTTTGTAATATCTGGAAGTGGACATTTGGAGCGCCTTGACGCCTACGGTGAAAAGGGAAATATCTTCCCATAAAAACTAGACAGAAGCAATCTCAGAAACTTCTTTGGGATATATGCACGCAGCTAACAGAGTTGAACCTTTCTATTGACTGAGCAGATTTGAAACAGTCTTTCTGTGGAATCTGCAAGTGGATATTTGGATAGATTGGAGGATTTCGTTGGAAACGGGATTACGTATAAAAAGTAGACAGCAGCATCCTCAGAAACTTCTTTGTGATGTGTGCATTCAAGTCACAGAGTTGAACATTCCCTTTCGTACAGCAGTTTTGAAACGCTCTTTCTGTAGTATCTGGAAGTGAACATAAGGACAGCTTTCAGGTCTATGGTGAGAAAGGAAATATCTTCAAATAAAAACTAGACAGAAGCATTCTCATAAACTTGTTTGTGATGTGTGAACTCAGCTAACAGAGGTGGATCTTTCTTTTGATAGAGCAGTTCAGAAAAACACTTTTTGTTGAATCTGCAAGTGGACATTTGGATAGATTTGAAGATTTCGTTGGAAACGGGAATATCTTCATATCAAATCTAGACAGAAGCATTCTCAGAAACGTCTTTGTGATGTTTGCATTCAACTCATAGAGTTGAACATTCCGTTTCAGAGAGCAGCTTTGAAGCACTCTTTTTGTAGTATGTGCAAGTGGATATTTGGAGCGCTCTGAGGCCTAAGGTGAAAAAGCAAATATCTTCCCGTAACCACTAGACAGAAAAATTCTCAGAAACTCCTTTATGACGTATGCACTCACCTAACAGAGAAGAACCTTCCTTTTCACAGAGCAGTTTTGATACACTCTTTTTGTAGAATCTGCAAGTGGATATTTGGATAGCTGTGAAGATTTCGTTGGAAACGAGAATATCTTCCTATAAAATCTAGACAGAAGTATTCTCAGAAACTGCTCTGTGATGTCTGCATTCAAGTCACAGAGTTGAACATTGCCTTTCATAGAGGAGGTTTCAAACACTCTTTTTTTAGTATATGGAAGTGGACGTTTCGGACGGTTTGAGGCCCATGGTGATAAAGGAAATATCTTCCCCTACAAGCTAGAAAGAAGCATTCTGTGAAACTTGTTTGTGATGTGTGTACTCAAGTAACAGAGTTGAACCTTTCTTTTTACAGAGCAGTTTTGAAACACTCTTTCTGTAGAATCTGCGAGGGGATATTTGGATAGATTTCAGGATTTCTTTGGAAACGGGAATATCTTCATATAAAATCTCGACAGAAACATTCTCAGAAACTTCTTTGTGATATGTGCATTCAAGTCACAGAGTTGAATATTCCCTTTCACAGAGTAGGTTTGAAACACTCTTTTTGTAGTATCTGGAAGTGGACATTTGGAGCGCCTTGACGCCTACGGTGAAAAGGGAAATATCTTCCCATAAAAACTAGACAGAAGCAATCTCAGAATCTTCTTTGGGATATATGCACGCAGCTAACAGAGCTGAACCTTTCTATTGACAGAACAGTTTTGAAAGAGTCTTTCTGTGGAATCTGCAAGTGGATATTTGGATAGCTTGGAGGATTTCGTTGGAAACGGGATTACGTATAATAAGTAGACAGCAGCATCCTCAGAAACTTCTTTGTGATGTGTGCATTCAAGTCACAGAGTTGAACATTCCCTTTCGTACAGCAGTTTTGAAACACTCTTTCTGTAGTATCTGGAAGTGAACATTAGTACAGCTTTCAGGACTATGGTGAGAAAGGAAATATCTTCAAATAAAAACTTGAGAGAAGCATTCTAATAAACTTGTTTGTGATGTGTGAACTCAGCTAACAGAGGTGGATCTTTCTTTTGATAGAGCAGTTCTGAAAAACACTTTTTGTTGAATCTGCAAGTGGACATTTGGATAGATTTGAAGATTTCGTTGGAAACGGGAATATCTTCATATCAAATCTAGACAGAAGCATTCTCAGAAACGTCTTTGTGATGTTTGCATTCAACCCATAGAGTTGAACATTCTGTTTCAGAGAGCAGCTTTGAAGCGCTCTTTTTGTAGTATGTGCAAGTGGATATTTTGAGCGCTCTGAGGCCTAAGGTGAAAAAGCAAATATCTTCCCATAACCACTAGACAGAAACATTCTCAGAAACTTCTTTATGACGTATGTACTCAACTAGCAGAGAAGAACCTTCCTTTTGAGAGAGCAGTTTTGATACACTCTTTTTGTAGAATCTGCAAGTGGATATTTGGATAGCTGTGAAGATTTCGTTGGAAACGGGAATATCTTCCTATAAAATCTAGACAGAAGCATTCTCAGAAACTGCTCTGTGATGTCTGCATTCAAGTCACAGAGTTGAACATTGCCTTTCATAGAGCAGGTTTGAAACGCTCTTTTCGTAGTATATGGAAGTGGACGTTTCGGACGGTTTGAGGCCCATGGTGATAAAGCGAATATCTTCCCCTACCAGCTAGAAGGAAGCATTCTGTGAAACTTGTTTGTGATGTGTGTACTCAACTAACAGAGTTGAACCTTTCTTTTTACAGAGCAGTTTTGAAACACTCTTTTTGTAGAATCTGCGAGGGGATATTTGGATAGATTTCAGGATTTCGTCGGAAACGGGAATATCTTCATATAAAATCTCGACAGAAGCATCCTCAGAAACTACTTTGTGATGTGTGCATTCAAGTCACAGAGTTGAACATTCCCTTTCGTACAGCAGTTTTGAAACACTCTTTTTGTAGTATCTGGAAGTGGACATTTGGAGCGCCTTGACACCTACGGTGAAAAGGGAAATATCTTCCCATAAAAACTAGACAGAAGCAATCTCAGAATCTTTTTTGGGATATATGCACGCAGTTAACAGAGTTGAACCTTTCTATTGACAGAGCAGTTTTGAAACAGTCTTTCTGTGGAATCTGCAAGTGGATATTTGGATAGCTTGGAGGATTTCGTTGGAAACGGGATTACGTATAAAAAGTAGACAGCAGCATCCTCAGAAACTTCTTTGTGATGTGTACATTCAAGTCACAGAGTTGAACATTCCCTTTCGTACAGCAGTTTTGAAACACTCTTTCTGTAGTATCTGGAAGTGAACATTAGGACAGCTTTCAGGTCTATGGTGAGAAAGGAAATATCTTCAAATAAAAACTAGACAGAAGCATTCTCATAAACTTGTTTGTGATGTGTGAACTAAGCTAACAGAGGTGGATCTTTCTTTTGATAGAGCAGTTCTGAAAAACACTTTTTGTTGAATCTGCAAGTGGATATTTGGATAGATTTGAAGATTTCGTTGGAAACGGGAATATCTTCATATCAAATCTAGACAGAAGCATTCTCAGAAACGTCTTTGTGATGTTTGCATTCAACTCATAGAGTTGAACATTCCCTTTCAGAGAGCAGCTTTGAAGCACTCTTTTTGTAGCATGTGCAAGTGGACATTTGGAGCGCCCAGAGGCCTACGGGGAAAAAGCAAATATCTTCCCATAACCACTAGACAGAAGCATTCTCAGAAACTCCTTTATGACGTATGCACTCACCTAACAGAAAAGAACCTTCCTTTTGACAGAGCAGTTTTGATACACTCTTTTCGTAGAATCTGCAAGTGGATATTTGGATAGCTGTGAAGATTTCGTTGGAAACGGGAATATCTTCCTATAAAATCTAGACAGAAGCATTCTCAGAAACTGCTCTGTGATGTCTGCATTCAAGTCACAGAGTTGAACATTGCCTTTCATAGAGCAGGTTTGAAACGCTCTTTTTGTAGTATATGGAAGTGGACTTATCGGACGATTTGAGGCCCATGGTGATAAAGGGAATATCTTCCCCTACAAGCTAGAAAGAAGCATTCTGTGAAACTTGTTTGTGATGTGTGTACTCAACTAACAGAGTTGAACCTTTCATTTTACAGAGCAGTTTTGAAACACTCTTTTTGTAGAATCTGTGAGGGGATATTTGGATAGATTTCAGGATTTCGTTGGAAACGGGAATATCTTCATATAAAATCTCGACAGAAGCATTCTCAGCAAACTTCTTTGTGATATGTGCATTCAAGTCACAGAGTTGAATATTCCCTTTCACAGAGCAGGTTTGAAACACTCTTTTTGTACTATCTGGAAGTGGACATTTGGAGCGCCTTGACGCCTACGGTGAAAAGGGAAATATCTTCCCATAAAAACTAGACAGAAGCAATCACAGAATCTTCTTTGGGATATATGCACGCAGCTAACAGAGTTGAACCTTTCTATTGACAGAGCAGTTTTGAAACAGTCTTTCTGTGGAATCTGCAAGTGGATATTTGGATAGCTTGGAGGATTTCGTTGGAAACGGGATTACGTATAAAAAGTAGACAGCAGCATCCTCAGAAACTTCTTTGTGATGTGTGCATTCAAGTCACAGAGTTGAACATTCCCTTTCGTACAGCAGTTTTGAAACACTCTTTCTGTAGTATCTGGAAGTGAACATTAGGTCAGCTTTCATGTCTATGGTGAGAAAGGCAATATCTTCAAATAAAAACTAGACAGAAGCATTCTCATAAACTTGTTCGTGATGTGTGAACTCAGCTAACACACGTGGATCTTTCTTTTGATAGAGCAGTGCTGAAAAACAGTTTTTGTTGAATCTGCAAGAGGACATTTGGATGGATTTGAAGATTTCGTTGGAAACGGGAATATCTTCATATCAAATCTAGACAGAAGCATTCTCAGAAACGTCTTTGCGATGTTTGCATTCAACTCATAGAGTTGAACATTCCGTTTCAGAGAGCAGCTTTGAGGCACTCTTTTTGTAGTATGTGCAAGTGGATATTTGGAGCGCTCTGAGGCCTACGGTGGAAAAAGCAAATATCTTCCCATAACCACTAGACAGAAACATTCTCAGAAACTCCTTTATGACGTATGCACTCACCTAACAGAGAAGAACCTTCCTTTTGACAGAGCAGTTTTGATACAATCTTTTTGTAGAATCTGCAAGTGGATATTTGGATAGCTGTGAAGATTTCGTTGGAAACGGGAATATCTTCCTATAAAATCTATACAGAAGCATTCTCAGAAACTGCTCTGTGATGTCTGCATTCAAGTCACAGAGTTGAACATTGCGTTTCATAGAGCAGGTTTGAAACGCTCTTTTTGTAGTATATGGAAGTGGACTTTTCGGACGGTTTGAGGCCCATGGTGATAAAGGGAATATCTTCCCCTACAAGCTAGAAAGAAGCATTCTGTGAAACTTGTTTGTGATGTGTGTACACAACTAACAGAGTTGAACCTTTCTTTTTACAGAGCAGTTTTGAAACACTCTTTTTGTAGAATCTGCGAGGGGATATTTGGATAGATTTCAGGATTTCGTTGGAAACGGGAGTATCTTCATATAAAATCTCGACAGAAGCATTCTCAGAAACTTCTTTGTGATATCTGCCTTCAAGTCACAGAGTTGAATATTCCCTTTCACAGAGTAGGTTTGAAACACTCTTTTTGTAGTATCTGAGAGTGGACATTTGGAGCGCCTTGACGCCTACGGTGAAAAGGGAAATATCTTCCCATAAAAACTAGACAGAAGCAATCTCAGAATCTTCTTTGGGATATATGCACGCAGCTAACAGAGTTGAACCTTTCTATTGACAGAGCAGTTTTGAAACAGTCTTTCTGTGGAATCTGCAAGTGGATATTTGGATAGCTTGGAGGATTTCGTTGGAAACGGGATTACGTATAACAAGTAGACAGCAGCGTCCTCAGGAACTTCTTTGTGATGTGTGCATTCAAGTCACAGAGTTGAACATTCCCTTCCATACAGCAGTTTTGAAACACTCTTTCTGTAGTATCTGGAAGTGAACATTAGGACAGCTTTCAGGTCTATGGTGAGAAAGGAAATATCTTCAAATAAAAACTAGACAGAAGCATTCTAATAAACTTGTTTGTGATGTGTGAACTCAGCTAACAGAGGTGGATCTTTCTTTTGATAGAGCAGTTCTGAAAAACACTTTTTGTTGAATCTGCAAGTGGACATTTGGATAGATTTGAAGATTTCGTTGGAAACGGGAATATCGTCATATCAAATCTAGACAGAAGCATTCTCTGAAACGTCTTTGTGATGTTTGCATTCAACTCATAGAGTTGAACATTTCGTTTCAGAGAGCAGCTTTGAGGCACTCTTTTTGTAGTATGTGCAAGTGGATATTTGGAGCGCTCTGAGGCCTACGGTGAAAAAGCAAATATCTTCCCATAACCACTAGACAGAAAACATTCTCAGTAAACTCCTTTATGACGTATGCACTCACCTAACAGAAAAGAACCTTCCTTTTGACAGAGCAGTTTTGATACACTCTTTTTGTAGAATCTGCAAGTGGATATTTGGATAGCTGTGAAGATTTCGTTGGAAACGGGAATATCTTCCTATAAAATCTAGACAGAAGCATTCTCAGAAACTGCTCTGTGATGTCTGCATTCAAGTCACAGAGTTGAACATTGCCTTTCATAGAGCAGGTTTGAAACGCTCTTTTTGTAGTATATGGAAGTGGACGTTTCGGACGGTTTGAGGCCCATGGTGTTAAAGGGAATATCTTCCCCTACAAGGTAGAAAGAAGCATTCTGTGAAACTTGTTTGTGATGTTTGTACTCAACTAACAGAGTTGAACCTTTCTTTTTGCAGAGCAGTTTTGAAACACTCTTTTTGTAGAATCTGCGAGGGGATATTTGGATAGATTTCAGGATTTCGTTGGAAACGGGAATATCTTCATATAAAATCTCGACAGAAGCATTCTCAGAAACTTCATTGTGATATCTGCATTCAAGTCACAGAGTTGAATATTCCCTTTCACAGAGTAGGTTTGAAACAGTCTTTTTGTAGTATCTGGAAGTGGATATTTGGAGCGCCTTGACACCTACGGTGAAAAGGGAAATATCTTCCCATAAAAACTAGACAGAAGCAATCTCAGAATCTTCTTTGGGATATATGCACGCAGCTAACAGAGTTGAACCTTTCTATTGACAGAGCAGTTTTGAAACAGTCCTTCTGTGGAATCTGCAAGTGGATATTTGGATAGCTTGGAGGATTTCGTTGGAAACGGGATTACGTATAAAAAGTAGACAGCAGCATCCTCAGAAACTTCTTTGTGATGTGTGCATTCAAGTCACAGAGTTGAACCTTCCCTTTCGTACAGCAGTTTTGAAACACTCTTTCTGTAGTATCTGGAAGTGAACATTAGGACAGCTTTCAGGTCTATGGTGAGAAAGGAAATATCTTCAAATAAAAACTAGACAGAAGCATTCTCATAAACTTGTTTGTGATGTGTGAACTCAGCTAGCAGAGGTGGATCTTTCTTTTGATAGAGCAGTTCGGAAAAACACTTTTTGTTGAATCTCCAAGTGGACATTTGGATTGATTTGAAGATTTCGTTGGAAACGGGAATATCTTTATATCAAATCTAGACAGAAACATTGTCAGAAACTCCTTTATGACGTATGCACTCACCTAACAGCAGAAGAACCTTCCTTTTGACAGAGCAGTTTTGATACACTCTTTTTGTAGAATCTGCAAGTGGATATTTGGATAGCTGCGAAGATTTCGTTGGAAACGGGAATATCTTCCTATAAAATCTAGACAGAAGCATTCTCAGAAACTGCTCTGTGATGTCTGCATTCAAGTCACAGAGTTGAACATTGCCTTTCATAGAGCAGGTTTGAAACGCTCTTTTTGTAGTATATGGAAGTGGACGTTTCAGACGGTTTGAGGCCCATGGTGATAAAGGGAATATCTTCCCCTACAAGCTAGAAAGAAGCATTCTGTGAAACTTGTTTGTGATGTGTGTACTCAACTAACAGAGTTGAACCTTTCTTTTTACAGAGCAGTTTTGAAACACTCTTTTTGTAGAATCTGCGAGGGGATATTTGGGATAGATTTCAGGATTTCGTTGGAAAGGGGAATATCTTCATATAAAATCTCGACAGAAGCATTCTCAGAAACTTCTTTGTGATATGTGCATTCAAGTCACAGAGTTGAATATTCCCTTTCACAGAGTAGGTTTGAAACACTGTTTTTGTAGTATCTGGAAGTGGACATTTGGAGCGCCTTGACGCCTACGGTGAAAAGGGAAATATCTTCCCATAAAAACTAGACAGAAGCAATCTCAGAATCTTCTTTGGGATATATGCACGCAGCTAATAGAGTTGAACTTTTCTATTGACAGAGCAGATTTGAAACAGTCTTTCTGTGGAATCTGCAAGTGGATATTTGGATAGCCTGGAGGATTACGTTGGAAACGGGATTACGTATAAAAAGTAAACAGCAGCATCCTCAGAAACATCCTTGTGATGTGTGCATTCAAGTCACAGAGATGAACATTCCCTTTCTTACAGCAGTTTTGAAACACTCTTTCTGTAGTATCTGGAAGTGAACTTTAGGAGAGCTTTCAGGTCTATAGTGAGAAAGGATATATCTTCAAATAAAAACTAGACAGAAGCATTCTGATAAACTTGTTTGTGAAGTGTGAACTCAGCTAACAGAGGTGGATCTTTCTTTTGATAGAGCAGTTCTGAAAAACACTTTTTGTTGAATCTGCAAGTGGACATTTTGATAGATTTGAAGATTTCGTTGGAAACGGGAATATCTTCATATCAAATCTAGACAGAAGCATTCTCGGAAACGTCTTTGTGATGTTTGCATTCAACTCACAAAGTTGAACATTCCGTTTCAGAGAGCAGCTTTGAGGCACTCTTTTTGTAGTATGTGCAAGTGGATATTTGGAGCGCTCTGAGGCCTTCTGTGAAAAAGCAAATATCTTCCCATAACCACTAGACAGAAACATTCTCAGAAACTCCTTTATGACGTATGTACTCAACTAGCAGAGAAGAACTTTCCTTTTGACAGAGCATTTTTGATACATTCTTTTTGTAGTATCTGCAAGTGGATATTTGGATAGCTGTGAAGATTTCGTTGGAAACGGGAATATCTTCCTATAAAGTCTGGACAGAAGCATTCTCAGAAACTGCTACTGTGATGTCTGCATTCAAGTCACAGAGTTGAACATTGCCTTTCATAGAGCAGGTTTCAAACACTCTTTTTTTAGTATATGGAAGTGGACGTTTCGGATGGTTTGAGGCCCATGGTGATAAAGGAAATATCTTCCCCTACAAGCTAGAAAGAAGCATTGTGTGAAACTTGTTTGTGATATGTGTACTCAACTAACAGAGTTGAACCTTTCTTTTTACAGAGCAGTTTTGAAACACTCTTTTTGTAGAATCTGCGAGGGGATATTTGGATAGATTTCAGGATTTCGTTGGAAACGGGAATATCTTCATATAAAATCTCGATAGAAGCATCCTCAGAAACTTCTTTGTGTTGTGTGCATTCAAGTCACAGAGTTGAATATTCCCTTTCACAGAGTTGGTTTGAAACACTCTTTTTGTAGTATCTGGAAGTGGACATTTGGAGCGCCTTGACACCTACGGTGAAAAGGGAAATATCTTCCCATAAAAACTAGACAGAAGCAATCTCAGAATCTTCTTTGGGATATATGTACGCAGCTAATAGAGTTGAACCTTTCTATTGACAGAGCAGTTTTGAAACAGTCTTTCTGTGGAATCTGCAAGTGGATATTTGGATAGCTTGGAGGATTTCGTTGGAAACGGGAATACGTATAAAAAGTAGACAGCAGCATCCTCAGAAAACTTCTTTCTGATGTGTGCATTCAAGTCACAGAGTTGAACATTCCCTTTCGTACAGCAGTTTTGAAACACTCTTTCTGTAGTATCTGGAAGTGAACATTAGGACAGCTTTCAGGTCTATGGTGAGAAAGGAAATATCTTCAAATAAAAACTAGACAGAAGCATTCTGATAAACTTGTTTGTGAAGTGTGAACTCAGCTAACAGAGGTGGATCTTTCTTTTGATAGAGCAGTTCTGATAAACACTTTTTGTTGAATCTGCAAGTGGACATTTGGATAGATTTGAAGATTTCGTTGGAAACGGGAATATCTTCATATCAAATCTAGACAGATAAGCATTCTCGGAAACGTCTTTGTCATGTTTGCATTCAACTCATAGAGTTGAACATTCCGTTTCAGAGAGCAGCTTTGAAGCACTCTTTTTGTAGTATGTGCAAGGGGATATTTGGAGTGCTCTGAGGCCTAAGGTGAAAAAGCAAATATCTTCCCATAACCACTAGACAGAAACATTCTCAGAAACTCCTTTATGACGTATGCACTCACCTAACAGAGAAGAACCTTCCTTTTGACAGAGCAGTTTTGATACACTCTTTTTGTAGAATCTGCAAGTGGATATTTGGATACCTGTGAAGATTTCGATGGAAACGGGAATAACTTCCTATAAAATCTAGACAGAAGCATTCTCAGAAACTGCTCTGTGATGTCTGCATTCAAGTCACAGAGTTGAACATTGCCTTTCCTAGAGCAGGTTTGAAACGCTCTTTTTGTAGTATATGTAAGTGGACGTTTCGGACGGTTTGAGGCCCATGGTGATAAAGGGAATATCTTCCCCTACAAGCTAGAAAGAAAGCATTCTGTGAAACTTGTTTGTGATGTGTGTACTCAACTAACAGAGTTGAACCTTTCTTTTTACAGAGCAGTTTTGAAACACTCTTTTTGTAGAATCTGCGAGGGGATATTTGGATAGATTTCAGGATTTCGTTGGAAAGGGGAATATCTTCATATAAAATCTCGACAGAAGCATTCTCAGAAACTTCTTTGTGATATCTGCATTCAAGTCACAGTGTTCAATATTCCCTTTCACAGAGTAGGTTTGAAACACTCTTTTTGTAGTATCTGGAAGTGGACATTTGGACCGCCTTGACACCTACGGTGAAAAGGGAAATATCTTCCCATAAAAACTAGACAGAAGCAATCTCAGAATCTTCTTTGGGATATATGCACGCAGCTAACAGAGTTGAACCTTTCTATTGACAGAGCAGTTTTGAAACAGTCTTTCTGTGGAATCTGCAAGTGGATATTTGGATAGCTTGGAGGATTTCTTTGGAAACGGGATTAAGTATAAAAAGTAGACAGCAGCATCCTCAGAAACTTCTTTGTGATGTGTGCATTCAAGTCACAGAGTTGAACATTCCCTTTCATACAGCAGTTTTGAAACACTCTTT
The DNA here is from genome assembly GCF_000001405.40 of Homo sapiens. NCBI lineage: Eukaryota > Metazoa > Chordata > Mammalia > Primates > Hominidae > Homo > Homo sapiens. Next base: position 11,348,600 of record NC_000021.9, read on the forward strand.
CTGTAGTGTCTGGAAGTGAACATTAGGAGAGCTTTCAGGTCTATGGTGAGAAAGGAAATATCTTCAAATAAAAACTAGACAGAAGCATTCTCATAAACTTGTTTGTGATGTCTGAACTCAGCTAACAGAGGTGGATCATTCTTTTGATAGAGCAGTTCTGAAAAACACTTTTTGTTGAATCTGCAAGTGGACATTTGGATAGATTTGAAGATTTCGTTGGAAACGGGAATATCTTCATATCAAATCTAGACAGAAGCATTCTCAGAAACGTCTTTGTGATGTTTGCATTCAACTCATAGAGTTGAACATTCCGTTTCAGAGAGCAGCTTTGAGGCACTCTTTTTCTAGTATGTGCAAGTGGATATTTGGAGCGCTCTGAGGCCTACGGTGAAAAAGCAAATATCTTCCCATAACCACTAGACAGAAACATTCTCAGAAACTCCTTTATGACGTATGCACTCACCTAACAGAAAAGAACCTTCCTTTTGACAGAGCAGTTTTGATACACTCTTTTTGTTGAATCTGCAAGTGGATATTTGGATAGCTGTGAAGATTTCGTTGGAAACGGGAATATCTTCCTATAAAATCTAGACAGAAGCATTCTCAGAAACTGCTCTGTGATGTCTGCATTCAAGTCACAGAGTTGAACATTGCCTTTCATAGAGCAGGTTTGAAACGCTCTTTTTGTAGTATATGGAAGTGGACTTATCGGACGGTTTGAGGCCCATGGTGATAAAGGGAATATCTTTCCCTACAAGCTAGAAAGAAGCATTCTGTGAAACTTGTTTGTGATGTGTGTACTCAACTAACAGAGTTGAACCTTTCTTTTTACAGAGCAGTTTTGAAACACTCTTTTTGTAGAATCTGTGAGGGGATATTTGGATAGATTTCAGGATTTCGTTGGAAACGGGAATATCTTAATATAAAATCTCGACAGAAGCATTCTCAGAAACTTCTTTGTGATATGTGCATTCAAGTCACAGAGTTGAATATTCCCTTTCACAGAGTAGGTTTGAAACACTCTTTTTGTAGTATCTGGAAGTGGACATTTGGAGCGCCTTGACGCCTACCGTGAAAAGGGAAATATCTTCCCATAAAAACTAGACAGAAGCAACCTCAGAATCTTCTTTGGGATATATGCACGCAGCTAACAGAGTTGAACCTTTCTATTGACAGAGCAGTTTTGAAAGAGTCTTTCTGTGGAATCTGCAAGTGGATATTTGGATAGCTTGGAGGATTTCGTTGGAAACGGGATTACGTATAATAAGTAGACAGCAGCATCCTCAGAACCTCCTTTTGATGTGTGCATTCAAGTCACAGAGTTGAACATTCCCTTTTGTACAGCAGTATTGAAACACTCTTTCTGTAGTATCTGGAAGTGAACATTAGGACAGCTTTCAGGTCTATGGTGAGAAAGGAAATATCTTCAAATAAAAACTAGACAGAAGCATTCTCATAAACTTGTTTGTGATGTGTGAACTCAGCTAACAGAGGTGGATCGTTCTTTTGATAGAGCAGTTCTGAAAAACACATTTTGTTGAATCTGCAAGTGGACATTTGGATAGATTTGAAGATTTCGTTGGAAACGGGAATATCTTCATATCAAATCTAGACAGAAGCATTCTTGGAAACGTCTTTGTGATGTTTGCATTCAACTCATAGAGTTGAACATTCCGTTTCAGAGAGCAGCTTTGAAGCACTCTTTTTGTAGTATGTGCAAGTGGATATTTGGAGCGCTCTGAGGCCTACGGTGAAAAAGCAAATATCTTCCCATAACCACTAGACAGAAACATTCTCAGAAACTCCTTTATGACGTATGCACTCACCTAACAGAGAAGAACCTTCCTTTTGACAGAGCAGTTTTGATACACTCTTTTTGTAGAATCTGCAAGTGGATATTCGATAGCTGTGAAGTTTTCGTTGGAAACGGGAATATCTTCCTATAAAATCTAGACAGAAGCATTCTCAGAAACTGCTCTGTGATGTCTGCATTCAAGTCACAGAGTTGAACATTGCCTTTCATAGAGCAGGTTTGAAACGCTCTTTTTGTAGTATATGGAAGTGGACGTTTCGGACGGTTTGAGGCCCATGGTGATAAAGGGAATATCTTCACCTACAAGCTAGAAAGAAGCATTGTGTGAAACTTATTTGTGATGTGTGTACTCAACTAACAGAGTTGAACCTTTCTTTTTACAGAGCAGTTTTGAAACACTCTTTTTGTAGAATCTGCGAGGGGATATTTGGATACATTTCAGCATTTCGTTGGAAACGGGAATATCTTCATATAAAATCTCGACAGAAGCATTCTCAGAAACTTCTTTGTGATATCTGCATTCAAGTCACAGAGTTGAATATTCCCTTTCACAGAGTAGGTTTGAAACACTCTTTTTGTAGTATCTGGAAGTGGACATTTGGAGCACCTTGACACCTACGGTGAAAAGGGAAATATCTTCCAATAAAAACTAGACAGAAGCAATCTCAGAATCTTCTTTGGGATATATGCACGCAGCTAACAGAGTTGAACCTTTCTATTGACAGAGCAGTTTTGAAACAGTCTTTCTGTGGAATCTGCAAGTGGATATTTGGATAGCTTGGAGGATTTCGTTTGAAACGGGATTACGTATAAAAAGTAGACAGCAGCCTCCTCTGAAACTTCTTTGTGATGTGTGCATTCAAGTCACAGAGTTGAACATTCCCTTTCGTACAGCAGTTTTGAAACACTCTTTCTGTAGTATCTGGAAGTGAACATTAGGACAGCTTTCAGGTCTATGGTGAGAAAGGCAATATCTTCAAATAAAAACTAGACAGAAGCATTCTCATAAACTTGTTTGTGATGTGTGAACTCAGCTAACAGAGGTGGATCTTTCTTTTGATAGAGCAGTTCTGAAAAACACTTTTTGTTGAATCTGCAAGTGGACATTTGTATAGATTTGAAGATTTCGTTGGAAACGGGAATATCTTCATATCAAATCTAGACAGAAGCATTCTCAGAAACGTCTTTGTGATGTTTGCATTCAACTCATAGAGTTGAACATTCCGTTTCAGAGAGCAGCATTGAAGCACTCTTTTTGTAGTATGTGCAAGTGGATATTTGGAGCGCTCTGAGGCCTACGGTGAGAAAGCAAATATCTCCCCATAACCACTAGACAGAAACATTCTCAGAAACTTCTTTATGACGTATGTACTCAACTAGCAGAGAAGAACTTTCCTTTTGACAGAGAACTTTTGATACACTCTTTTTGTAGTATCTGCAAGTGGATATTTGGATAGCTGTGAAGATTTCGTTGGAATCGGGAATATCTTCCTATAAAGTCTGGACAGAAGCATTCTCAGAAACTGCTCTGTGATGTCTGCATTCAAGTCACAGAGTTGAACATTGCCTTTCATAGAGCAGGTTTGAAATGCTCTTTTTGTAGTATATGGAAGTGGACTTTTCGGACGGTTGGAGGCCCATGGTGATAAAGGGAATATCTTCCCCTACAAGCTAGAAAGAAGCATTCTGTGAAACTTGTTTGTGATGTGTGTACTCAACTAACAGAGTTGAACCTTTCTTTTTACAGAGCAGTTTTGAAACACTCTTTTTGTAGAATCTGCGAGGGGAAATTTGGATAGATTTCAGGATTTCATTGGAAACGGGAATATCTTCATACAAAATCTCGACAGAAGCATTCTCAGAAACTTCTTTGTGATATCTGCATTCAAGTCACAGAGTTGAATATTCCCTTTCACAGAGTAGGTTTGAAACACTCTTTTTGTAGCATCTGGAAGTGGACATTTGGAGCGCATTGACGCCTACGGTGAAAAGGGAAATATCTTCCCATAAAAACTAGACAGAAGCAATCTCAGAATCTTCTTTGGGATATATGCACGCAGCTAACAGAGTTGTACCTTTCTATTGACAGAGCAGTTTTGAAACAGTCTTTCTGTGGAATCTGCAAGTGGATATTTGGATAGCTTGGAGGATTTCGTTGGAAACGGGATTACGCATAAAAAGTAGACAGCAGCATCCTCAGAAACTTCTTTGTGATGTGTGCATTCAAGTCACAGAGTTCAACATTCCCTTTCGTACAGCAGTTTTGAAACACTCTTTCTGTAGTAACTGGAAGTGAACATTAGGACAGCTTTCAGGTCTATGGTGAGAAAGGAAATATCTTCTAATAAAAACTAGACAGAAGCATTCTCATAAACTTGTTTGTGATGTCTGAACTCAGCTAACAGAGGTGGATCTTTCTTTTGATAGAGCAGTTCTGAAAAACACTTTTTGTTGAATCTGCAAGTGGACATTTGGATAGATTTGAAGATTTCGTTGTAAACGGGAATATCTTCATATCAAATCTAGACAGAAGCATTCTCAGAAACGTCTTTGCGATGTTTGCATTCAACTCATAGAGTTGAACATTCCCTTTCAGAGACCAGCTTTGAAGCACTCTTTTTGTAGTATGTGCAAGTGGATATTTGGAGCGCTCTGAGGCCTACGGTGAAAAAGCAAATATCTTCCCATAACCACTACACAGAAACATTCTCAGAAACTCCTTTATGACGTATGCACTCACCTAACACAGTAAGAACCTTCCTTTTGACAGAGCATTTTTGATACACTCTTTTTGTAGCATCTGCAAGTGGATATTTGGATATCTGTGAAGATTTCGTTGGAAACGGGAATATCTTCCTATAAAATCTAGACAGAAGCATTCTCAGAAACTGCTCTGTGATGTCTGCATTCAACTCACAGAGTTGAACATTGCCTTTCATAGAGCAGGTTTGAAACGCTCTTTTTGTAGTATATGGAAGTGGATGTTTCGGACGGTTGGAGGCCCATGGTGATAAAGGGAATATCTTCCCCTACAAGCTAGAAAGAAGCATTCTGTGAAACTTGTTTGTGATGTGTGTACTCAACTAACAGAGTTGAACCTTTCTTTTTACAGAGCAGTTTTGAAACACTCTTTTTGTAGAATCTGCGAGGGGATATTTGGATAGATTTCAGGATTTCGTTGGAAACGGGAATATCTTCATATAAAATCTGGACAGAAGCATTCTCAGAAACTTCTTTGTGATATCTGCATTCAAGTCACAGAGTTGAATATTCCCTTTCACAGAGTAGGTTTGAAACACTCTTTTTGTAGTATCTGGAAGTGGACATTTGGAGCGCCTTGACGCCTACGGTGAAAAGGGAAATATCCTCTCATAAAAAGTAGACAGAAAGCAATCTCAGAATCTTCTTTGGGATATATGTACGCAGCTAATAGAGTTGAACCTTTCTATTGACAGAGCAGTTTTGAAACAGTCTTTCTGTGGAATCTGCAAGTGGATATTTGGATAGCTTGGAGGATTTCGTTGGAAACGGGATTACGTATAAAAAGTAGACAGCAGCATCCTCAGAAACTTCTTTGTGATGTGTGCATTCAAGTCACAGAGTTGAACATTCCCTTTCGTACAGCAGTTTTGAATCACTCTTTCTGTAGTATCTGGAAGTGAACATTAGGACAGCTTTCAGGTCTATGGTGAGAAAGGAAATATCTTCAAATAAAAACTAGACAGAAGCATTCTCATAAACTTGTTTGTGATGTGTGAACTCATCTAACAGAGGTGGATCTTTCTTTTGATAGAGCAGTTCTGAAAAACACTTTTTGTTGAATCTGCAAGTGGACATTTGGAAAGATTTGAAGATTTCGTTGGAAACGGGAATATCTTCATATCAAATCTAGACAGAAGCATTCTCAGAAACGTCTTTGTGATGTTAGCATTCAACTCATAGAGTTGAACATTCCCTTTCAGAGAGCAGCTTTGAAGCACTCTTTTTGTAGTATGTGCAAGTGGACATTTGGAGCGCTTTGAGGCCTACGGGGAAAAAGCAAATATCTTCCCATAACCACTAGACAGAAACATTCTCAGAAACTTCTTTATGACGTATGTACTCAAGTAGCAGAGAAGAACTTTCCTTTTGACAGAGCACTTTGGATACACACTTTTTATAGTATCTGCAAGTGGATATTTGGATAGCTGTGAAGATTTCGTTGGAAACGGGAATATCTTCCTATAAAGTCTGGACAGAAGCATTCTCAGAAACTGCTCTGTGATGTCTGCATTCAAGTCACAGAGTTGAACATTGCCTTTCATAGAGCAGGTTTGAAACGCTTTTTTGTAGTATATGGAAGTGGACGTTTCGAACGGTTTGAGGCCCATGGTGATAAAGGGAATATCTTCCCCTACAAGCTAGAAAGAAGCATTCTGTGAAACTTGTTTGTGATGTGTGTACTCAACTAACAGAGTTGAACCTTTCGTTTTACAGAGCAGTTTTGAACCACTCTTTTTGTAGAATCTGCGAGTGGATATTTGGATAGATTTCAGGATTTCGTTGGAAACGGGAATATCTTCATATAAAATCTCGACAGAAGCATTCTCAGAAACTTCTTTGTGATATGTGCATTCAAGTCACAGAGTTGAATATTCCCTTTCACAGAGTAGATTTGAAACACTCTTTTTGTAGTATCTGGAAGTGGACATTTGGAGCGCCTTGACGCCTACGGTGAAAAGGGAAATATCTTCCCATAAAAACTAGACAGAAGCAATCTCAGAATCTTCTTTGGGATATATGCACGCAGCTAACAGAGTTGAACCTTTCTATTGACAGAGCAGTTTTGAAACAGTCTTTCTGTGGAATCTGCAAGTGGATATTTGGATATCTTGGAGGATTTCGTTGGAAACGGGATTACGTATAAAAAGTAGACAGCAGCATCCTCAGAAACTTCTTTGTGATGTGTGCATTCAAGTCACAGAGTTGAACATTCCCTTTCGTACAGCAGTTTTGAAACACTCTTTCTGTAGCATATGGAAGTGAACATTAGAACAGCTTTCAGGTCTATGGTGAGAAAGGAAATATCTTCAAATAAAAACTAGACAGAAGCATTCTGTGAAACTTGTTTGAGATGTGTGTACTCAACTAACAGTGTTGAACCTTTCTTTTTACAGAGCAGTTTTGAAACACTCTTTTGGTAGAATCTGCGAGGGGATATTTGGATAGATTTCAGGATTTCGTTGGAAACGGGAATATCTTCATATAAAATCTCGACAGAAGCATTCTCAGAAACGTCTTTGTGATGTTAGCATTCAACTCATAGAGTTGAACATTCCCTTTCAGAGAGCAGCTTTGAAGCACTCTTTTTGTAGTATGTGCAAGTGGATATTTGGAGCGCTCTGAGGCCTAAGGTGAAAAAGCAAATATCTTCCCGTAACCACTAGACAGAAACATTCTCAGAAACTCCTTTATGACGTATGCACTCACCTAACAGAGAAGAACTTACCTTTTGACAGAGCAGTTTTGATACACTCTTTTTGTAGAATCTTCAAGTGGATATTTGGATAGCTGTGAAGATTTCGTTGGAAACGGGAATATCTTCCTATAAAATCTAGACAGAAGCATTCTCAGAAACTGCTCTGTGATGTCTGCATTCAAGTCACAGAGTTGAACATTGCCTTTCCTAGAACAGGTTTGAAACGCTCTTTTTGTAGTATATGGAAGTGGACGTTTCGGACGGTTTGAGGCCCATGGTGATAAAGGGAATATCTTGCCCTACAAGCTAGAAAGAAGCATTCTGTGAAACTTGTTTGTGATGTGTGTACTCAACTAACAGAGTTGAACCTTTCTTTTTACAGAGCAGTTTTGAACCACTCTTTTTGTAGAATCTGCGAGGGAATATTTGGATAGAATTCAGGATTTCGTTGGAAACGGGAATATCTTCATATAAAATCTCGACAGAAGCATTCTCAAAAACTTCTTTGTGATATGTGCATTCAAGTCACAGAGTTGAATATTCCCTTTCACAGAGTAGGTTTGAAACACTCTTTTTGTAGTATCTGGAAGTGGACATTTGGAGCGCCTTGACACCTACGGTGAAAAGGGAAATATCTTCCCATAAAAACTAGACAGAAAGCAATCTCAGAATTTTCTTTGGGATATATGCACACAGCTAACAGAGTTGAACTTTTCTATTGACATAGCAGTTTTGAAACAGTCTTTCTGTGGAATCTGCAAGTGGATATTTGGATAGCTTGGAGGATTTCGTTGGAAACGGGATTACGTATAAAAAGTAGACAGCAGCATCCTCAGAAACTTATTTGTGATGTGTGCATTCAAGTCACAGAGTTGAACATTCCATTTCATACAGCAGTTTTGAAACACTCTTTCTGTAGTATCTGGAAGTGAACATTAGGACAGCTTTCAGGTCTATGGTGAGAAAGGAAATATCTTCAAATAAAAACTAGACAGAAGCATTCTCATAAACTTGTTTGTGATGTGTGAACTCAGCTAAAAGAGGTGGATCTTTCTTTTGATAGAGCAGTTCTGAAAAACACTTTTTGTTGAATCTGCAAGTGGACATTTGGATAGATTTGAAGATTTCGTTGGAAACGGGAATATCTTCATATCAAATCTAGACAGAAGCATTCTCAGAAACGTCTTTGTGATGTTTGCATTCAACCCATAGAGTTGAACATTCCCTTTCAGAGAGCAGCTTTGAAGCACTCTTTTTGTAGTATGTGCAAGGGGATATTTGGAGCGCTCTGAGGCCTAAGGTGAAGAAGCAAATATCTTCCCATAACCACTAGACAGAAACATTCTCAGAAACTCCTTTATGACGTATGCACTCACCTAACAGAGAAGAACCTTCCTTTTGACAGAGCAGTTTTGATACACTCTTTTTGTAGAATCTGCAAGTGGATATTTGGATAGCAGTGAAGATTTCGTTGGAAACGGGAATATCTTCCTATAAAATCTAGACAGAAGCATTCTAAGAAACTGCTCTGTGATGTCTGCATTCAAGTCACAGAGTTGAACATTGCCTTTCATAGAGCAGGTTTGAAATGCTCTTTTTGTAGTATATGGAAGTGGACGTTTCAGACGGTTTGAGGCCCATGGTGATAAAGGGAATATCTTCCCCTACAAGCTAGAAAGAAGCATTCTGTGAAACTTGTTTGTGATGTGTGTACTTAACTAACAGAGTTGAACCTTTCTTTTCACAGAGCAGTTTTGAAACACTCTTTTTGTAGAATCTGCGAGCGGATATTTGGATAGATTTCAGGATTTCGTTGGAAACGGGAATATCTTCATATAAAATCTCGACAGAAGCATTCTCAGAAACTTCTTTGTGATATCTGCCTTCAAGTCACAGAGTTGAATATTCCCTTTCACAGAGTAGGTTTGAAACACTCTTTTTGTAGTATCTGGAAGTGGACATTTGCAGCGCCTTGACGCCTACGGTGAAAAGGGAAATATCTTCCCATAAAAACTAGACAGAAGCAATCTCAGAATCTTCTTAGGGATATATGCACGCAGCTAACAGAGTTGAACCTTTCTATTGACAGAGCAGTTTTGAAACAGTCTTTCTGTGGAATCTGCAAGTGGATATTTGGATAGCTTGGAGGATTTCGTTGGAAACGGGATTACGTATAAAAAGTAGACAGCCAGCATCCTCAGAAACTTCTTTGTGATGTGTGCATTCAAGTCACAGTGTTGAACATTCCCTTTCGTACAGCAGTTTTGAAACACTCTTTCTGTAGTATCTGGAAGTGAACATTAGGACAGCTTTCAGGTCTATGGTGAGAAAGGAAATATCTTCAAATAAAAACTAGACAGAGCGTTCTCATAAACTTGTTTGTGATGTGTGAACTCAGCTAACAGAGGTGGATCTTTCTTTTGATAGAGCAGTTCTGAAAAACACTTTTTGTTGAATCTGCAAGTGGACATTTGGATAGATTTGAAGATTTCGTTGGAAACGGGAATATCTTCATATCAAATCTAGACAGAAGCATTCTCAGAAACGTCTTTGTGATGTTTGCATTCAACTCATAGAGTTGAACATTCCGTTTCAGAGAGCAGCTTTGAGGCACTCTTTTTGTAGTATGTGCAAGTGGATATTTGGAGCGCTCTGAGGCCTTCGGTGAAAAAGCAAATATCTTCCCATAACCACTAGACAGAATCATTCTCAGAAACTCCTTTATGACGTATGCACTCACCTAACAGAGAAGAACCTTCCTTTTGACAGAGCAGTTTTGATACACTCTTTTTGTAGAATCTGCAAGTGGATATTTGGATAGCTGTGAAGATTTCGTTGGAAACGGGAATATCTTCCTATAAAATCTAGACAGAAGCATTCTCAGAAACTCCTCTGTGATGTCTGCATTCAAGTCACAGAGTTGAACATTGCCTTTCATAGAGTAGGTTTGAAACGCTCTTTTTGTAGTATATGGAAGTGGACGTTTCGGACGGTTTGAGGCCCATGGTGATAAAGGGAATATCTTCCCCTACAAGCTAGAAAGAAGCATTCTGTGAAACTTGTTTGTGATGTGTGTACTCAACTAACAGAGTTGAACCTTTCTTTTTACAGAGCAGTTTTGAAACACTCTTTTTGTAGAATCTGTGAGGGGATATTTGGATAGATTTCAGGATTTCGTTGGGAACGGGAATATCTTCATATAAAATCTCGACAGAAGCATTCTCAGAAGCTTCTTTGTGATATGTGCATTCAAGTCACAGACTTGAATATTCCCTTTCACAGAGTAGGTTTGAAACACTCTTTTTGTAGTATCTGGAAGTGGACATTTGGAGCACCTTGACGCCTACGGTGAAAAGGGAAATATCTTCTCATAAAAAGTAGACAGAAGCAATCTCAGAATCTTCTTTGGGATATATGCACGCAGCTAACAGAGTTGAACCTTTCTATTGACAGAGCAGTTTTGAAACAGTCTTTCTGTGGAATCTGCAAGTGGATATTCGGATAGCTTGGAGGATTTCGTTGGAAACGGGATTAAGTATAAAAAGTAGACAGCAGCATCCTCAGAAACTTCTTTGTGATGTGTGCATTCAAGTCACAGAGTTGAACATTCCCTTTCGTACAGCAGTTTTGAAACACTCTTTCTGTAGTATCTGGAGGTGAACATTAGGACAGCTTTCAGCTCTATGGTGAGAAAGGAAATATCTTCAAATAAAAACTAGACAGAAGCATTCTCATAAACTTGTTTGTGATGTGTGAACTCAGCTAACACACGTGGATCTTTCTTTTGATAGAGCAGTTCTGAAAAACACTTTTTGTTGAATCTGCAAGTGGACATTTGGATAGATTTGAAGATTTCGTTGGAAACGGGAATATCTTCATATCAAATCTAGACAAAAGCATTCTCAGAAACGTCTTTGCGATGTTTGCATTCAACTCATAGAGTTGAACATTCCGTTTCAGAGAGCAGCTTTGAAGCACTCTTTTTGTAGTATGTGCAAGTGGATATTTGGAGTGCTCTGAGGCCTACGGTGAAAAAGCAAATATCTTCCCATAACCACTAGACAGAAACATTCTCAGAAACTCCTTTCTGACGTATGCACTCAGCCAACAGAGAAGAACCTTCCTTTTGACAGAGCAGTGTTGATACACTCTTTTTGTAGAATCTGCAAGTGGATATTTGGATAGCTGTGAAGATTTCGTTGGAAACGGGAATATCTTCCTATAAAATCTAGACAGAAGCATTCTCAGAAACTGCTCTGTGATGTCTGCATTCAAGTCACAGAGTTGAACATTGCCTTTCCTACAGCAGGTTTGAAACGCTCTTTTTGTAGTATATGGAAGTGGACGTTTCGGACGGTTTGAGGCCCATGGTGATAAAGGGATTATCTTCCCCTACAAGCTAGAAAGAAGCATTCTGTGAAACTTGTTTGTGATGTGTGTACTCAAATAACAGAGTTGAACCTTTCTTTTTACAGAGCAGTTTTGAAACACTCTTTTTGTAGAATCTGCGAGGGGATATTTGGATAGATTTCAGGATTTCGTTGGAAACGGGAATATCTTCATATAAAATCTCGACAGAAGCATTCTCAGAAGCTTCTTTGTGATATGTGCATTCAAGTCACAGAGTTGAATATTCCCTTTCACAGAGTAGGTTTGAAACACTCTTTTTGTAGTAACTGGAAGTGGACATTTTGAGCACCTTGACGCCTACGGTGAAAAGGGAAATATCTTCTCATAAAAAGTAGACAGAAGCAATCTCAGAATCTTCTTTGGGATATATGCACGCAGCTGACAGAGTTGAACCTTTCTATTGACAGAGCAGTTTTGAAACAGTCTTTCTGTGGAATCTGCAAGTGGATGTTTGGATAGATTGGAGGATTTCGTTGGAAACGGGATTAGGTATAAAAAGTAGACAGCAGCATCCTCAGAAACTTCCTTGTGATGTGTGCATTCAAGTCACAGAGATGAACATTCCCTTTCGTACAGCAGTTTTGAAACACTCTTTCTGTAGTATCTGGAAGTGAACATTAGGAGAGCTTTCATGTCTATAGTGAGAAAGGATATATCTTCAAATAAAAACTAGACAGAAGCATTCTCATAAACTTGTTTGTGATGTGTGAACTCAGCTAACAGAGGTGGATCTTTCTTTTGATAGAGCAGTTCTGAAAAACACTTTTTGTTGAATCTCCAAGTGGACATTTGGATAGATTTGAAGATTTCGTTGGAAACGGGAATATCTTCATATCAAATCTAGACAGAAGCATTCTCAGAAACGTCTTTGTGATGTTTCCATTCAACTCATAGAGTTGAACATTCACTTTCAGAGAGCAGCTTTGAAGCACTCTTTTTGTAGTATGTGCAAGTGGATATTTTGATCGCTCTGTGGCCTACGGTGAAAAAGCAAATATCTTCCCATAACCACTAGACAGAAACATTCTCAGAAACTCCTTTATGACGTATGCACTCACCTAACAGAGAAGAACCTTCCTTTTGACAGAGCAGGTTTGATACACTCTTTTTGTAGAATCTGCAAGTGGATATTTGGATAGCTGTGAAGATTTCGTTGGAAACGGGAATATCTTCCTATAAAATCCTAGACAGAAGCATTCTCAGTAAACTGCTCTGTGATGTCTGCATTCAAGTCACAGAGTTGAACATTGCCTTTCATAGAGCAGGTTTGAAATGCTCTTTTTGTAGTATATGGAAGTGGATGTTTCGGACGGTTGGAGGCCCATGGTGATAAAGGGAATATCTTCCCCTACAAGCTAGAAAGAAGCATTCTGTGAAACTTGTTTGTGATGTGTGTACTCAACTAACAGAGTTGAACCTTTCTTTTTACAGAGCAGTTTTGAAACACTCTTTTTGTAGAATCTGCGAGGGGATATTTGGATAGATTTCAGGATTTCGTTGGAAACTGGAATATCTTCATATAAAATGCTCGACAGAAGCATTCTCAGAAACTTCTTTGTGATACCTGCATTCAAGTCACAGAGTTGAATATTCCCTTTCACAGAGTAGGTTTGAAACACTCTTCTTGTAGTATCTGGAAGTGGACATTTGGAGCACCTTGACGCCTATGGTGAAAAGGGAAATATCTTCCCATAAAAACTAGACAGAAGGAATCTCAGAATCTTCTTTGGGATATATGCACGCAGCTAACAGAGTTGAACCTTTCTATTGACAGAGCAGTTTTGAAACAGTCTTTCTGTGGAATCTGCAAGTGCATATTTGGATAGCTTGGAGGATTTCGTTGTAAACGGGATTACGTATAAAAATTAGACAGCAGCATCCTCAGAAACTTCTTTGTGATGTGTGCATTCAACTCACAGAGTTGAACATTCCCTTTCGTACAGCAGTTTTGAAACACTCTGTAGTATCTGGAAGTGAACATTAGGACAGCTTTCAGCTCTATGGTGAGAAACGAAATATCTTCAAATAAAAACTAGACAGAAGCATTCTGATAAACTTGTTTGTGAAGTGTGATCTCAGCTAACAGAGGTGGATCTTTCTTTTGATAGAGCAGTTCTGAAAAACACTTTGTTGAATCTGCAAGTGGACATTTGGATAGATTTGAAGATTTTGTTGGAAACGGGAATATCTTCATATCAAATCTAGACAGAAGCATTCTCAGAAACGTCTTTGCGATGTTTGCATTCAACTCATAGAGTTGAACATTCCGTTTCAGAGAGCAGCTTTGAGGCGCTCTTTTTGTAGTATGTGCAAGTGGATATTTGGAGCGCTCTGAGGCCTTCGGTGAAAAAGCAAATATCTTCCCATAACCACTAGACGGAAACATTCTCAGAAACTTCTTTATGACGTATGTACTCAACTAACAGAGAAGAACCTTCCTTTTGACAGAGCAGTTTTGATACACTCTTCTTGGAGAATCTGCAAGTAGATATTTGGATATCTGTGAAGAATTCGTTGGAAAAGGGAATATCTTTCTATAAAATCTAAACAAAAGCATTCTCAGAAACTGCTCTGTGATGTCTGCATTCAAGTCACAGAGTTGAACATTGCCTTTCATAGAGCAGGTTTGAAACGCTCTTTTTGTACTATATGGAAGTGGATGTTTCGGACGGTTTGAGGCCCATGGTGATAAAGGGAATATCTTCCCCTACAAGCTAGAAAGAAGCATTCTGTGAAACTTGTTTGTGATGTGTGTACTCAACTAACAGAGTTGAACCTTTCTTTTTACAGAGCAGTTTTGAAACACTCTTTTTGTAGAATCTGCGAGGGGATATTTGGATAGATTTCAGGATTTCGTTGGAAACGGGAATATCTTCCTATAAAATCTCGACAGAAGCATTCTCAGAAGCTTCTTTGTGATATGTGCATTCAAGTCACAGAGTTGAATATTCCCTTTCACAGAGTAGGTTTGAAACATTCTTTTTGTAGTATCTGGAAGTGGACATTTGGAGCACCTTGACACCTACGGTGAAAAGGGAAATATCTTCTCATAAAAAGTAGACAGAAGCAATCTCAGAATTTTCTTTGGGATATACGCACACAGCTAACAGAGTTGAACTTTTCTATTGACATAGCAGTTTTGAAACAGTCTTTCTGTGGAATCTGCAAGTGGATATTTTGATAGCTTGGAGGATTTCGTTGGAAACGGGATTACGTATAAAAATTAGACAGCAGCATCCTCAGAAACTTCTTTGTGATGTGTGCATTCAAGTCACAGAGTTGAAAATTCCCTTTCGTACAGCAGTTTTGAAACACTCTTTCTGTAGTATGTGGAAGTGAACATTAGGACAGCTTTCAGGTCTATGGTGAGAAAGGAAATATCTTCAAATAAAAACTAGACAGAAGCAATCTCATAAACTTGTTTGTGATGTGTGAACTCAGCTAACAGAGGTGGATCTTTCTTTTGATAGAGCAGTTCTGAAAAACACTTTTTGTTGAATCTGCAAGTGGACATTTGGATAGATTTGAAGATTTCGTTGGAAACGGGAATATCTTCATATCAAATCTAGACAGAAGGCATTCTCAGAAACGTCTTTGTGATGTTTGCATTCAACTCATAGAGTTGAACATTCCGTTTCAGAGAGCAGCTTTGAGGCACTCTTTTTGTAGTATGTGCAAGTGGATATTTGGAGCGCTCTGAGGCCTACGGTGAAAAAGCAAATATCTTCCCATAACCACTAGACAGAAACATTCTCAGAAACTCCTTTATGACGTATGCACTCACCTAACAGAGAAGAACCTTCCTTTTGACAGAGCAGTTTTGATACACTCTTTTTGTAGAATCTGCAAGTGGATATTTGGATAGCTGTGAAGATTTCGTTGGAAACGGGAATATCTTCCTATAAAATCTAGACAGGAGCATTGTCAGAAACTGCTCTGTGATGTCTGCATTCAAGTCACAGAGTTGAACATTGCCTTTCATAGAGCAGGTTTGAAACGCTCTTTTTGTAGTATATGGAAGTGGATGTTTCGGACGGTTGGAGGCCCATGGTGATAAAGGGAATATCTTCCCCTACAAGCTAGAAAGAAGCATTCTGTGAAAGTTGTTTGTGATGTGTGTACTCAACTAACAGAGTTGAACCTTTCTTTTTACAGAGCAGTTTTGAAACACTCTTTTTGTAGAATCTGCGAGGGGATATTTGGATAGATTTCAGGATTTCGTTGGAAACGGGAATATCTTCATATAAAATCTCGACAGAAGCATTCTCAGGAAACTTCTTTGTGATATCTGCATTCAAGTCACAGAGTTGAATATTCCCTTTCACAGAGTAGGTTTGAAACACTCTTTTTGTAGTATCTGGAAGTGGACATTTTGAGCGCCTTGACACCTACGGTAAAAAGGGAAATATCTTCCCATAAAAACTAGACAGAAGCAATCTCAGAATCGTCTTTGGGATATATGCACGCAGCTAACAGAGTTGAACCTTTCTATACACAGAGCAGTTTTGAAACAGTCTTTCTGTGGAATCTGCAAGTGGATATTTGGATAGCTTGGAGGATTTCGTTGGAAACGGGATTACGTATAAAAAGTAGACAGCAGCATCCTCAGAAACATCCTTGTGATGTGTGCATTCAAGTCACAGAGTTGAACATTCCCTTTCGTACAGCAGTTTTGAAACACTCTTTCTGTAGTATCTGGAAGTGAACTTTAGGACAGCTTTCAGGTCTATGGTGAGAAAGGATATATCTTCAAATAAAAACTAGACGGAAGCATTCTCATAAACTTGATTGTGATGTGTGAACTCAGCTAACAGAGGTGGATCTTTCTTTTGATAGAGCAGTTCTGAAAAACACTTTTTGTTGAATCTGCAAGTGGACATTTGGATAGATTTGAAGATTTCGTTGGAAACGGGAATATCTTCATATCAAATCTAGACAGAAGCATTCTCAGAAACGTCTTTGTGATGTTTGCATTCAACTCATAGAGTTGAACATTCCGTTTCAGAGACCAGATTTGAAGCACTCTTTTTGTAGTATGTGCAAGTGGATATTTGGAGCGCTCTGAGGCCTACGGTGAAAAAGCAAATATCTTCCCATAACCACTAGACTAGAAACATTCTGAGAAACTCCTTTATGACGTATGCACTCACCTAACAGAGAAGAACCTTCCTTTTGACAGAGCATTTTTGATACACTCTTTTTGTAGAATCTGAAAGTGGATATTTGGATAGCTGTGAAGATTTCGTTGGAAATGGGAATATCTTCCTATAAAATCTAGACAGAAGCATTCTCAGAAACTGCTCTGTGATGTCTGCATTCAAGTCACAGAGTTGAACATTGCCTTTCATAGAGCAGGTTTGAAACGCTCTTTTTGTAGTATATGGAAGTGGACTTTTCGGACGGTTGGAGGCCCATGGTGATAAAGGAAATATCTTCCCCTACAAGCTAGAAAGAAGCATTCTGTGAAACTTGTTTGTGAGGTGTGTACTCAACTAACAGAGTTGAACTTTTCTTTTTACAGAGCAGTTTTGAAACACTCTTTTTGTAGAATCTGCGAGGGGATATTTGGATAGATTTCAGGATTTCGTTGGAAAGGGGAATATCTTCATATAAAATCTCGACAGAAGCATTCTCAGAAACTTCTTTGTGATATGTGCATTCAAGTCACACAGTTGAATATTCCCTTTCACAGAGTAGGTTTGAAACACTCTTTTTGTAGTATCTGGAAGTGGACATTTGGAGCGCCTTGACGCCCACGGTGAAAAGGGAAATATCTTCCCATAAAAACTAGACAGAAGCAATCTCAGAATCTTCTTTGGGATATATGTACGCAGCTAATAGAGTTGAACCTTTCTATTGACAGAGCAGTTTTGAAACAGTCTTTCTGTGGAATCTGCAAGTGGATATTTGGATAGCTTGGAGGATTTTGTTGGAAACGAGATTACGTATAAAAAGTAGACAGCAGCATCCTCAGAAACTTCTTTGTGATGTGTGCATTCAAGTCACAGTGTTGAACATTCCCTTTTGTACAGCAGTTTTGAAACACTCTTTCTGTAGTATCTGGAAGTGAACATTAGGACAGCTTTCAGGTCTATGGTGAGAAAGGAAATATCTTCAAATAAAAACTAGACAGAAGCATTCTCATAAACTTGTTCGTGATGTGTGAACTCAGCTAAGAGCCGTGGATCTTTCTTTTGATAGAGCAGTTCTGAAAAACACTTTTTGTTGAATACGCAAGTGGACATTTGGATAGATTTGAAGATTTCGTTGGAAACGGGAATATCTTCATATCAAATCTAGACAGAAGCATTCTCAGAAACGTCTTTGTGATGTTTGCATTCAACTCATAGAGTTGAACATTCCGTTTCAGAGACCAGCTTTGAGGCACTCTTTTTGTAGTATGTGCAAGTGGATATTTGGAGCGCTCTGAGGCCTACGGTGAAAAAGCAAATATCTTCCCATAACCACTAGACAGAAACATTCTCAGAAACTCCTTTATGACGTATGTACTCAACTAACAGAGAAGAACCTTCCTTTTGACAGAGCAGTTTTGATGCACTCTTTTTGTAGAATCTGCAAGTGGATATTTGGATAGCTGTGAAGATTTCGTTGGAAACGGGAATATCTTCCTATAAAATCTAGAGAGAAGCATTCTCAGAAACTGCTCTGTGATGTCTGCATTACAAGTCACAGAGTTGAACATTGCCTTTCATAGAGCAGGTTTGAAACGCTCTTTTTGTAGTATATGGAAGTAAACGTTTCGGACGGTTTGAGGCCCATGGTGATAAAGGGAATATCTTCCCCTACAAGCTAGAAAGAAGCATTCTGTGAAACTTGTTTGTGATGTGTGTACTCAACTAACAGAGTTGAACCTTTCTTTTTACAGAGCAGTTTTGAAACACTCTTTTTGTAGAATCTGCGAGGGGATATTTGGAGAGATTTCAGGATTTCGTTGGAAACGGGAATATCTTCATATAAAATACTCGACAGAAGCATTCTCAGAAACTTCTTTGTGATATCTGCATTCAAGTCACAGAGTTGAATGTTCCCTTTCACAGAGTAGGTTTGAAACACTCTTTTTGTAGTATCTGGAAGTGGACATTTGGAGCGCCTTGACACCTACGGTGAAAAGGGAAATATCTTCCGATAAAAACTAGACAGAAGCAATCTCAGAATCTTCTTTGGGATATATGCACGCAGCTAACAGAGTTGAACCTTTCTATTGACAGAGCAGTTTTGAAACAGTCTTTCTGTGAAATCTGCAAGTGGATATTTGGATAGCTTGGAGGATTTCGTTGGAAACGGGATTAAGTATAAAAAGTAGACAGCAGCATCCTCAGAATCTTCTTTGTGATGTGTGCATTCAAGTCACAGAGTTGAACATTCCCTTTCGTACAGCAGTTTTGAAACACTCTTTCTGTAGTACCTGGAAGTGAACATTAGGACAGCTTTCAGGTCTATGGTGAGAAAGGAAATATCTTCAAATAAAAACTAGACAGAAGCATTCTCATAAACTTGTTTGTGATGTCTGAACTCAGCTAACAGAGGTGGATCTTTCTTTTGATAGAGCAGTTCTGAAAAACACTTTTTGTTGAATCTGCAAGTGGACATTTGGATAGATTTGAAGATTTCGTTGGAAACGGGAATATCTTCCTATCAAATCTAGACAGAAGCATTCTCAGAAACGTCTTTGTGATGTTTGCATTCAACTCATAGAGTTGAACATTCCCTTTCAGAGAGCAGCTTTGAAGCACTCTTTTTGAAGCATGTGCAAGTGGACATTTGGAGCGCCCTGAGGCCTACGGGGAAAAAGCAAATATCTTCCCATAACCACTAGACAGAAACATTCTCAGAAACTCCTTTATGACGTATGTACTCAACTAACAGAGAAGAACCTTCCTTTTGACAGAGCAGTTTTGATACACTCTTTTTGTAGAATCTGCAAGTGGATATTTGGATAGCTGTGAAGATTTCGTTGGAAACTGGAATATCTTCCTATAAAATCTAGACAGAAGCATTCTCAGAAACTGCTCTGTGATGTCTGCATTCAAGTCACAGAGTTGAACATTGTCTTTCATAGAGCAGATTTGAAGCGCTCTTTTTGTAGTATATGGAAGTGGACGTTTCGGACGGTTTGAGGCCCATGGTGATAAAGGGAATATCTTCCCCTACAAGCTAGAAAGAAGCATTCTGTGAAACTTGTTTGTGATGTGTGTACTCAACTAACGGAGTTGAACCTTTCTTTTTACAGTGCAGTTTTGAAACACTCTTTTTGTAGAATCTGCGAGGGGATATTTGGATAGATTTCAGGATTTCGTTGGAAACGGGAGTATCTTCATATAAAATCTCGACAGAAGCATTCTCAGAAACTTCTTTGTGATATGTGTATTCAAGTCACAGAGTTGAATACTCCCTTTCACAGAGTAGGTTTGAAACACTCTTTTTGTAGTATCTGGATGTGGACATTTGGAGCGCCTTGACGCCTACGGTGAAAAGGGAAATATCTTCCCATAAAAACTAGACAGTAGCAATCTCAGAATCTTCTTTGGGATATATGCACGCAGCTAACAGAGTTGAATCTTTCTATTGACAGAGCAGATTTGAAACAGTCTTTCTGTGGAATCTGCAAGTGGATATTTGGATAGATTGGAGGATTTCGTTGGAAACGGGATTATGTATAAAAAGTAGACAGCAGCATCCTCAGAAACTTCTTTGTGATGTGTGCATTCAAGTCACAGAGTTGAACATTCCCTTTCGTACAGCAGTTTTGAAACACTCTTTCTGTAGTATATGGAAGTGAACATTAGGACAGCTTTCAGGTCTATGGTGAGAAAGGAAATATCTTCAAATAAAAACTAGACAGAAGCATTCTCATAAACTTGTTTGTGATGTGTGAACTCAGCTATCAACGGTGGATCTTTCTTTTGATAGAGCAGTTCTGAAAAACACTTTTTGTTGAATCTGCAAGTGGACATTTGGATAGTTTTGAAGATTTCCTTGGAAACGGGAATATCTTCATATCAAATCTAGACAGAAGCATTCTCGGAAACGTCTTTGTGATGTTTGCATTCAACTCATAAAGTTGAACATTCCGTTTCAGAGAGCAGCTTTGAGGCATTCTTTTTGTAGTATGTGCAAGTGGATATTTGGAGCGCTCTGAGGCCTTCTGTGAAAAAGCAAATATCTTCCCATAACCACTAGACAGAAACATTCTCAGAAACCCCTTTATGACGTATGCACTCACCTAACAGAAAAGAACCTTCCTTTTGACAGAGCAGTTTTGATACACTCTTTTTGTAGAATCTGCAAGTGGATATTTGGATAGCTGTGAAGATTTCGTTGGAAACGGGAATATCTTCCTATAAAATCTAGACAGATGCATTCTCAGAAACAGCTCTGTGATGTCTGCATTCAAGTCACAGAGTTGAACATTGCCTTTCATAGAGCAGGTTTGAAACGCTCTTTTTGTATTATATGGAAGTGGACGTTTCGGACGCTTTGAGACCCATGGTGATAAAGGGAATATATTCCCCTACAAGCTAGAAAGAAGCATTCTGTGAAACTTGTTTGTGATGTGTGTACTCAAGTAACAGAGTTGAACCTTTCTTTTTACAGAGCAGTTTTGAAACACTCTTTCTGTAGAATCTGCGAGGGGATATTTGGATAGACTTCAGGATTTCATTGGAAACGGGAATATCTTCATATAAAATCTCGACAGAAGCATTCTCAGAAACTTCTTTGTGATATGTGCATTCAAGTCACAGAGTTGAATATTCCCTTTCACAGAGTAGGTTTGAAACACTCTTTTTGTTGTATCTGGAAGTGGACATTTGGAGCGCCTTGACGCCTACGGTGAAAAGGGAAATATCTTCCCATAAAAACTAGACAGAAGCAATCTCAGAATCTTGTTTGGGATATATGCACGCAGCTAACACAGTTGAACCTTTCTATTGACAGAGCAGTTTTGAAACATTCTTTCTGTGGAATCTGCAAGTGGATATTTGGATAGCTTGGAGGATTTCGTTGGAAACGGGATTACGTATCAAAAGTAGACAGCGGCATCCTCAGAAACTTCTTTGTGATGTGTGCATTCAAGTCACAGAGTTGAACATTCCCTTTCGTACAGCAGTTTTGAAACACTCTTTCTGTAGTATCTGGAAGTGAACATTAGGACAGCTTTCAGGTCTATGGTGAGAAAGGAAATACCTTCAAATAAAAACTAGACAGAAGCATTCTCATATACTTGTTTGTGATGTGTGAACTCAGCTAACAGAGGTGGATCTTTCTTTTGATAGAGCAGTTCTGAAAAACACTTTTTGTTGAATCTGCAAGTGGACATTTCGATAGATTTGAAGATTTCGTTGGAAACGGGAATATCTTCATATCAAATCTAGACAGAAGCATTCTCAGACACGTCTTTGCGATGTTTGCATTCAACTCATAGAGTTGAACATTCCGTTTCAGAGAGCAGCTTTGAGGCACTCTTTTTGTAGTATGTGCAAGTGGATATTTGGAGCGCTCTGAGGCCTACGGTGAAAAAGCAAATATCTTCCCATAACCACTAGACAGAAACATTCTCAGAAACTCATTTATGACGTATGCACTCACCTAACAGAAAAGAACCTTCCTTTTGACAGAGCAGTTTTGATACACTCTTTTTGTAGAATCTGCAAGTGGATATTTGGATAGCTGTGAAGATTTCGTTGGAAACGGGAATATCTTCCTATAAAATCTAGACAGAAGCATTCTCAGAAACTGCTCTGTGATGTCTGCATTCAAGTCACAGAGTTGAACATTGCCTTTCATAGAGCAGGTTTGAAACGCTCTTTTTGTAGTATATGGAAGTGGATGTTTCGGACGGTTGGAGGCCCAAGGTGATAAAGGGAATATCTTCCCCTACAAGCTAGAAAGAAGCATTCTGTGAAACTTGTTTGTGATGTGTGTACTCAACTAACAGAGTTGAACCTTTCTTTTTACAGAGCAGTTTTGAAACACTCTTTTTGTAGAACCTGCGAGGGGATATTTGGATAGATTTCAGGATTTCGTTGGAAACGGGAATATCTTCATATAAAATCTCGACAGAAGCATTCTCAGAAACTTCTTTGTGATATCTGCATTCAAGTCACAGAGTTGAATATTCCTTTTCACAGAGTAGGATTGAAACACTCTTTTTGTAGTATCAGGAAGTGGACATTTGGAGCGCCTTGACGCCTACGGTGAAAAGGGAAATATCTTCCCATAAAAACTAGACAGAAGCAATCTCAGAATCTTCTTTGGGATATATGCACGCAGCTAACAGAGTTGAACCTTTCTATTGACAGAGCAGTTTTGAAACAGTCTTTCTGTGGAATCTGCAAGTGGATATTTGTATAGCTTGGAGGATTTCGTTGGAAACGGGATTACGTATAAAAAGTAGACAGCAGCATCCTCAGAAAACTTCTTTGTGATGTGTGCATTCAAGTCACAGAGTTGTACATTCCCTTTCGTACAGCAGTTTTGAAACACTCTTTCTGTAGTATCTGGAAGTGAACATTAGGACAGCTTTCAGGTCTATGGTGAGAAAGGAAATATCTTCAAATAAAAACTAGACGGAAGCATTCTCATAAACTTGTTTGTGATGTGTGAACTCAGCTAACAGAGGTGGATCTTTCTTTTGATACAGCAGTTTTGAAAAACACATTTTGTTGAATCTGCAAGTGGACATTTGGATAGATTTGAAGATTTCGTTGGAAACGGGAATATCTTCATATCAAATCTAGACAGAAGAATTCTCAGAAACGTCTTTGTGATGTTTGCATTCAACTCATAGAGTTGAACATTCCCTTTCAGAGAACAGCTTTGAAGCACTCTTTTTGTAGTATGTGCAAGGGGATATTTGGAGCGCTCTGAGGCCTAAGGTGAAAAAGCAAATATCTTCCCATAACCACTAGACAGAAACATTCTCAGAAACTGCTTTATGACGTATGCACTCACCTAACAGAGAAGAACCTTCCTTTTGACAGAGCAGTTTTGATACACTCTTTTTGTAGAATCTGCAAGTGGATATTTGGATAGCTGTGAAGATTTCGTTGGAAACGAGAATATCTTCCTATAAAATCTAGACAGAAGCATTCTCAGAAACTGCTCTGTGATATCTGTATTCAAGTCACAGAGTTGAACATTGCCTTTCATAGAGCAGGTTTGAAACGCTCTTTTTGTAGTATATGTAAGTGGATGTTTCGGACGGTTGGAGGCCCATGGTGATAAAGGGAATATCTTCTCCTACAAGCTAGAAAGAAAGCATTCTGTGAAACTTGTTTGTGATGTGTGTACTCAACTAACAGCAGTTGAACCTTTCTTTTTACAGAGCAGTTTTGAAACACTCTTTTTGTAGAATCTGCGAGGGGATATTTGGATAGATTTCAGGATTTCGTTGGAAAGGGGAATATCTTCATATAAAATCTCGACAGAAGCATTTTCAGAAACTTCTTTGTGATATCTGCATTCAAGTCACAGAGTTCAATATTCCCTTCCACAGAGAAGGTTTGAAACACTCTTTTTGTAGTATCTGGAAGTGGATATTTGGAGCGCCTTGACACCTACGGTGAAAAGGGAAATATCTTCCCATAAAAACTAGACAGAAGCAATCTCAGAATCTTCCTTGGGATATATGCACACAGCTAACTGAGTTGAACTTTTCTATTGACATAGCAGTTTTGAAACAGTCTTTCTGTGGAATCTGCAAGTGGATATTTGGATAGCTTGGAGGATTTCGTTGGAAATGGGATTACGTATAAAAAGTAGACAGCAGCATCCTCAGAAACTTCTTTGTGATGTGTGCATTCAAGTCACAGAGTTGAACATTCCCTTTCGTACAGCAGTTTTGAAACACTCTTTCTGTAGTATCTGGAAGTGAAAATTAGGACAGCTTTCAGGTCTATGGTGAGAAAGGAAATATCTTCAAATAAAAACTAGACAGAAGCATTCTCATAAACTTGATTGTGATGTCTGAACTCAGCTAACAGAGGTGGATCTTTCTTTTGATAGAGCAGTTCTGAAAAACACTTTTTGTTGAATCTGCAAGTGGACATTTGGATAGATTTGAAGATTTCGTTGGAAACGGGAATATCTTCATATCAAATCTAGACAGAAGCATTCTCAGAAACGTCTTTGTGATGTTTGCATTCAACTCATAGAGTTGAACATTCCATTTCAGAGAGCAGCTTTGAAGCACTCTTTTTGTAGTATGTGCAAGTGGATATTTGGAGCGCTCTGAGGCCTACGGTGAAAAAGCAAATATCTTCCCATAACCACTATACAGAAACATTCTCAGAAACTCCTTTATGACGTATGCACTCAACTAACAGAGAAAAACCTTCCTTTTGACAGAGCAGTTTTGATACACTCTTTTTGTAGAATCTGCAAGTGGATATTTGGATAGCTGTGAAGATTTCGTTGGAAACGGGAATATCTTCCTATAAAATCTAGACAGGAGCATTCTCAGAAACTGCTCTGTGATGTCTGCATTCAAGTCACAGAGTTGAACATTGCCTTTCATAGAGCAGGTTTGAAACGCTCTTTTTGTAGTATATGGAACTGGATGTTTCGGACGGTTTGAGGCCCATGGTGATAAAGGGAATATCTTCCCCTACAAGCTAGAAAGAAGCATTCTGTGAAACTTGTTTGTGATGTGTGTACTCAACTAACAGAGTTGAACCTTTCGTTTTACAGAGCAGTTTTGAACCACTCTTTTTGTAGAATCTGCGAGGGGATATTTGGATAGATTTCAGGATTTCGTTGGAAACGGGAATATCTTCATATAAAATCTCGACAGAAGCATTCTCAGTAAACTTCTTTGTGATATGTGCATTCAAGTCACAGAGTTGAATATTCCCTTTCACAGAGTAGGTTTGAAACACTCTTTTTGTAGTATCTGGAAGTGGACATTTGGAGCGCCTTGAGGCCTACGGTGAAAAGGGAAATATCTTCTCATAAAAAGTAGACAGAAGCAATCTCAGAATCTTCTTTGGGATATATGCATGCAGCTAACAGAGTTGAACCTTTCTATTGACAGAGCAGTTTTGAAACAGTCTTTCTCTGGAATCTGCAAGTGGATATTTGGATAGCTTGGAGGATTTCGTTGGAAACGGGATTACGTATAAAAAGTAGACAGCAGCATCCTCAGAAACTTCTTTGTGATGTGTGCATTCAAGTCACAGAGTTGAACATTCCCTTTCGTACAGCAGTTTTGAAACACTCTTTCTGTAGTATCTGGAAGTGAACATTAGGACAGCTTTCAGCTCTATGGAGAGAAAGGAAATATCTTCAAATAAAAACTAGACAGAAGCATCTTATAAACTTGTTTGTGATGTGTGAACTCAGCTAACAGAGGTGGATCTTTCTTTTGATAGAGCAGTTCTGAAAAACACTTTTTGTTGAATCTGCAAGTGGACATTTGGATAGATTTGAAGATTTCGTTGGAAACGGGAATATCTTCATATCAAATCTAGACAGAAGCATTCTCAGAAACGTCTTTGTGATGTTTGCATTCAACTCATAGAGTTGAACATTCCCTTCCAGAGAGTAGCTTTGAAGCACTCTTTTTGTAGCATGTGCAAGTGGACATTTGGAGCGCCCTGAGGCCTACGGGGAAAAGCAAATATCTTCCCATAACCACTAGACAGAAACATTCTCAGAAACTCCTTTATGACAGTATGCACTCACCTAACAGAAAAGAACCTTCCTTTTGACAGAGCAGTTTTGATACACTCTTTTTGTGGAATCTGCAAGTGGATATTTGGATAGCTGTGAAGATTTCGTTGAAAACGGGAATATATTCCTATAAAATCTAGACAGAAGCATTCTCAGAAACTGCTCTGTGGTGTCTGCATTCAAGTCACAGAGTTGAACATTGCCTTTCATAGAGCAGGTTTGAAACACTCTTTTTGTAGTATATGGAAGTGGACGTTTCGGACGGTTTGAGGCCCATGGTGATTTAGGGAATATCTTCCCCTACAAGCTAGAAAGAAGCATTCTGTGAAACTTGTTTGTGATGTGTGTACTCAACTAACAGAGTTGAACGTTTCTTTTTACAGAGCAGTTTTGAAACACTCCTTTTGTAGAATCTGCGAGGGGATATTTGGATAGATTTCAGGATTTCGTTGGAAACGGGAATATCTTCATATAAAATCTCGACAGAAGCATTCTCAGAAACTTCTTTGTGATATCTGCATTCAAGTCACAGAGTTGAATATTCCCTTTCACAGAGTAGGTTTGAAACACTCTTTTTGTAGTATCTGGAAGTGGACATTTTGAGCGCCTTGACACCTACGGTAAAAAGGGAAATATCTTCCCATAAAAACTACACAGAAGGCAATCTCAGAATCTTCTTTGGGATATATGCACGCAGCTAACAGAGTTGAATCTTTCTGTTGACAGAGCAGATTTGAAACAGTCTTTCTGTGGAATCTGCAAGTGGATATTTGGATAGATTGGAGGATTTCGTTGGAAACGGGATTACGTATAAAAAGTAGACAGCAGCATCCTCAGAAACATCCTTGTGATGTGTGCATTCATGTCACAGAGTTGAACATTCCCTTTCGTACAGCAGTTTTGAAACACTCTTTCTGTAGTATCTGTTAGTGAACTTTAGGACAGCTTTCAGGTCTATAGTGAGAAAGGATATATCTTCAAATAAAAACTAGACAGAAGCATTCTCATAAACTTGTTTGTGATGTGTGAACTCAGCTAACAGAGGTGGATCTTTCTTTTGATAGAGAAGTTTTGAAAAACACTTTCTGTTGAATCTGCAAGTGGACATTTGGATAGATATGAAGATTTCGTTGGAAACGGGAATATCTTCATATCAAATCTAGACAGAAGGATTCTCGGAAACGTCTTTGTGATGTTTGCATTCAACTCATAGAGTTGAACATTCCGTTTCAGAGAGCAGCTTTGAAGCACTCTTTTTGTAGTATGTGCAAGTGGATATTTGGAGCGCTCTGAGGCCTACGGTGAAAAAGCAAATATCTTCCCATAACCACTATACAGAAACATTCTCAGAAACTCCTTTATGACGTATGTACTCAACTAACAGAGAAGAACATTCTTTCTTTTGATACAGCAGTTTTGATACACTCTTTTTGTAGAATCTGCAAGTGCATATTTGGATAGCTGTGAAGATTTCGTTGGAAACGGGAATATCTTCCTATAAAATCTAGACAGAAGCATTCTCAGAAACTGCTCTGTGATGTCTGCATTCAAGTCACAGAGTTGAACATTGCCTTTCATAGAGCAGGTTTGAAACGCTCTTTTTGTAGTATAGGGAAGTGGATGTTTCGGACGGTTGGAGGCCCATGGTGATAAAGGGAATATCTTCCCCTACAAGCTATAAAGAAGCATTCTGTGAAACTTGTTTGTGATGTGTGTACTCAACTAACAGAGCCTTTCTTTTTACAGAGCAGTTTTGAAAAACTCTTTTTGTAGAATCTGCGAGGGGATATTTGGATAGATTTCAGGATTTCGTTGGAAACGGGAATATCTTCATATAAAATCTCGACAGAAGCATTCTCAGAAACTTCTTTGTGATATGTGCATTCAAGTCACAGAGTTGAATATTCCCTTTCACAGAGTAGGTTGGAAACACTCTTTTTGTAGTATCTGGAAGTGGACATTTGGAGCGCCTTGACACCTACGGTGAAAAGGGAAATATCTTCCCATTAAAAACTAAACAAAAGCAATCTCAGAATCTTCTTTGGGATATATGCACGCAGCTAACAGAGATGAACCTTTCTATTGACAGAGCAGTTTTGAAACAGTCTTTCTGTGGAATCTGCAAGTGGATATTTGGATAGATTGGAGGATTTCGTTGGAAACGGGATTACGTATAAAAAGTAGACAGCAGCATCCTCAGAAACTTCTTTGTGATGTGTGCATTCAAGTCACAGAGTTGAACATTCCCTTTCGTACAGCAGTTTTGAAACACTCTTTCTGTAGTATCTGGAAGTGAACATTAGGACAGCCTTCAGGTCTATGTTGAGAAAGGAAATATCTTCAAATAAAAACTAGACAGAAGCATTCTCATAAACTTGTTTGTGATGTGTGAACTCAGCTAACACAGGTGGATCTTTCTTTTGATTGAGCAGTTCTGAAAAACACTTTTTGTTGAATCTGCAAGTGGACATTTGGATAGATTTGAAGATTTCGTTGGAAACGGGAATATCTTCATATCAAATCTAGACAGAAGCATTCTCAGAAACGTCTTTGCGATGTTTGCATTCAACTCATAGAGTTGAACATTCCGTTTCAGAGAGCAGCTTTGAGGCACTCTTTTTGTAGTATGTCCAAGTGGATATTTGGAGCGCTCTGAGGCCTACGGTGAAAAAGCAAATATCTTCCCATAACCACTAGACAGAAACATTCTCAGAAACTCCTTTATAACGTATGCACTCACCTAACAGAGAAGAACCTTCCTTTTGACAGAGCAGTTTTGATACACTCTTTTTGTAGAATCTGCAAGTGGATATTTGGATATCTGTGAAGATTTCGTTGGAAACGGGAATATCTTCCTATAAAATCTAGACAGAAGCATTCTCAGAAACTGCTCTGTGATGTCTGCATTCAAGTCACAGAGCTGAACATTGCCTTTCATAGAGCAGGTTTGAAACGCTCTTTTTGTAGTATATGGAAGTGGACGTTTCTGACAGTTTGAGGCCCATGGTGATAAAGGGAATATCTTCCCCTACAAGCTAGAAAGAAGCATTCTGTGAAACTTGGTTGTGATGTGTGTACTCAACTAACAGAGTTGAACCTTTCTTTTTACAGAGCAGTTTTGAAACACTCTTTTTGTAGAATCTGCGAGGGGATATTTGGATAGATTTCAGGATTTCGTTGGAAACGGGAATATCTTCATATAAAATCTCGACAGAAGCATTCTCAGAAACTTCTTTGTGATATCTGCCTTTAAGTCACAGAGTTGAATATTCCCTTTCACAGAGTAGGTTTGAAACACTCTTTTTGTAGTATCTGGAAGTGGACATTTGGAGCGCCTTGACGCCTACAGTGAAAAGGGAAATATCTTCCCATAAAAACTAGACAGAAGCAATCTCAGAATCTTCTTTGGGATATATGTACGCAGCTAATAGAGTTGAACCTTTCTATTGACAGAGCAGTTTTGAAACAGTCTTTCTGTGGAATCTGCAAGTGGATATTTGGATAGCTTGGAGGATTTTGTTGGAAACGGGATTACGTATAAAAAGTAGACAGCAGCATCCTCAGAATCTTCTTTGTGATGTGTGCATTCAAGTCATAGAGTTGAACATTCCCTTTCGTACAGCAGTTTTGAAACACTCTTTCTGTAGTATCTGGGAGTGAACATTAGGACAGCTTTCAGGTCTATGGTGAGAAAGGAAATATCTTCAAATAAAAAGTAGACAGATAAGCATTCTCATAAACTTGTTTGTGATGTGTGAACTCAGCTAACAGAGGTGGATCTTTCTTTTGATAGAGCAGTTCTGAAAAACACTTTTTGTTGAATCTGCAAGTGGACCTTTGGATAGATTTGAAGATTTCGTTGGAAACGGGAATATCTTCATATCAAATCTAGACAGAAGCATTCTCAGAAACGTCTTTGTGATGTTTGCATTCAACTCGTAGAGTTGAACATTCCGTTTCAGAGAGCAGCTTTGAAGCACTCTTTTTGTAGTATGTGCAAGTGGATATTTGGAGCGCTCTGAGGCCTACGGTGAAAAAGCAAATATCTTCCCATAACCACTAGACAGAAACATTCTCAGAAACTCCTTTATGACGTATGCACTCACCTAACAGAGAAGAACCTTCCTTTTGACAGAGCAGTTTTGATACACTCTTTTTGTAGAATCTGCAAGTGGATATTTGGATAGCTGTGAATATTTCGTTGGAAACGGGAATATCTTCCTATAAAATCTAGACAGAAGCATTCTCAGAAACTGCTCTGTGATGTCTGCATTCAAGTCACAGAGTTGAACATTGCCTTTCATAGAGCAGGTTTGAAACGCTCTTTTTGTAGTATATGGAAGAGGACGTTTCGGACGGTTTGAGGCCCATGGTGATAAAGGGAATATCTTCCCCTACAAGCTAGAAAGAAGCATTCTGTGAAACTTGTTTGTGATGTGTGTACTCAACTAACAGAGTTGAACCTTTCTTTTTACAGAGCAGTTTTGAAACACTCTTTTTGTAGAATCTGCGAGGGGATATTTGGATAGATTTCAGGATTTCGTTGGAAACGGGAACATCTTCATAGAAAATCTCGACAGAAGCATTCTCAGAAACTTCTTTGTGATATCTTCCTTCAAGTCACAGAGTTGAATATTCCCTTTCACAGAGTAGGTTTGAAACACTCTTTTTGTAGTATCTGGAAGTGGACATTTGGAGCGCCTTGACGCCTACGGTGAAAAGGGAAATATCTTCCCATAAAAACTAGACAGAAGCAATCTCAGAATCTTCTTTGGGATATATGCACGCAGCTAACAGAGTTGAACCTTTCTATTGACAGAGCAGTTTTGAAACAGTCTTTCTGTGGAATCTGCAAGTGGATATTTGGATAGCTTGGAGGATTTCGTTGGAAACGGGATTACGTATAAAAGGTAGACAGCAGCATCCTCAGAAACTTCTTTGTGATGTGTGCATTCAAGTCACAGAGTTGAACATTCCCTTTCGTACAGCAGTTTTGAAACACTCTTTCTGTAGTATCTGGAAGTGAACATTAGGACCGCTTTCAGGTCTATGGTGAGAAAGGAAATATCTTCAAATAAAAATTAGACAGAAGCATTCTCATAAACCTGTTAGTGATGTGTGAACTCAGCTAACAGAGGTGGATCTTTCTTTTGATAGAGCAGTTCTGAAAAACACTTTTTGTTGAATCTGCAAGTGGACATTTGGATAGATTTGAAGATTTCGTTGGAAACGGGAATATCTTCATATCAAATCTAGACAGAAGCATTCTCAGAAACGTCTTTGTGATGTTCGCATTCAACTCATAGAGTTGAACATTCCCTTTCAGAGAGCAGCTTTGAAGCACTCTTTTTGTAGTATGTGCAAGTGGATATTTGGAGCGCTCTGAGGCCTACGGTGAAAAAGCAAATATCTTCCCATAACCACTAGACAGAAACATTCTCAGAAACTCCTTTATGACGTATGCACTCACCTAACAGAAAAGAACCTTCCTTTTGACAGAGCAGTTTTGATACACTCTTTTTGTAGAATCTGCAAGTGGATATTTGGATAGCTGTGAAGATTTCGTTGGAAACGGGAATAACTTCCTATAAAATCTAGACAGAAGCATTCTCAGAAACTGCTCTGTGATGTCTGCATTCAAGTCACAGAGTTGAACATTGCCTTTCATAGAGCAGGTTTGAAACGCTCTTTTTGTAGTATATGAAAGTGGATGTTTCGGACGGTTGGAGGCCCATGGTGATAAAGGGCATATCTTCCCCTACAAGCTAGAAAGAAGCATTGTGTGAAACTTGTTTGTGATGTGTGTACTCAACTAACAGAGTTGAACCTCTCTTTTTACAGAGCAGTTTTGAAACACTCTTTTTGTAGAATCTGCGAGGGGATATTTGGATACATTTCAGCATTTCGTTGGAAACGGGAATATCTTCATATAAAATCTCGACAGAAGCATTCTCAGAAACTTCTTTGTGATATCTGCACTCAAGTCACAGAGTTGAATATTCCCTTTCACAGAGTAGGTTTGAAACACTCTTTTTGTAGTATCTGGAAGTGGACATTTGGAGCGCCTTGACGCCTACGGTGAAAAGGGAAATATCTTCCCATAAAAACTAGACAGAAGCAATCTCAGAATCTTCTTTGGGATATATGCACGCAGCTAACAGAGTTGAACCTTTCTATTGACAGAGCAGTTTTGAAACAGTCTTTCTGTGGAATCTGCAAGTGGATATTTGGATAGCTTGGAGGATTTCGTTGGAAACGGGATTACGTATAAAAAGTATACAGCAGCATCCTCAGAATCTTCCTTGTGATGTGTGCTTTCAAGTCACAGAGTTGAACATTCCCTTTCGTACAGCAGTTTTGAAAAACTCTTTCTGTAGTATCTGGAAGTGAACTTTAGGAGAGCTTTCACGTCTATAGTGAGAAAGGATATATCTTCAAATAAAAACTAGACAGAAGCATTCTCATAAACTTGTTTGTGATGTGTGAACTCAGCTAACAGAGGTGGATCTTTCTTTTGATAGAGCAGTTCTGAAAAACACTTTTTGTTGAATCTGCAAGTGGACATTTGGATAGATTTGAAGATTTCGTTGGAAACCGGAATATCTTCATGTCAAATCTAGACAGAAGCATTCTCAGAAACGTCGTTGCGATGTTTGCATTCAACTCATAGAGTTGAACATTCCGTTTCAGAGAGCAGCTTTGAGGCACTCTTTTTGTAGTATGTGCAAGTGGATATTTGGAGCGCTCTGAGGCCTTCGGTGAAAAAGCAAATATCTTCCCATAACCACTAGATGGAAACATTCTCAGAAACTCCTTTATGACGTATGCACTCACCTAACAGAGAAGAACCTTCCTTTTGACAGAGCAGTTTTGATACACTCTTTTTGTAGAATCTGCAAGTGGATATTTGGATAGCTGTGAAGATTTCGTCGGAAACGGGAATATCTTCCCATAAAATCTAGAGAGAAGCATTCTCAGAAACTGCTCTGTGATGTCTGCATTCAAGTCACAGAGTTGAACATTCCCTTTCCTAGAGCAGGTTTGAAACGCTCTTTTTGTAGTATATTGAAGTGGACATTTCGGATGGTTTGAGGCCCATGGTGATAAAGGGAATATCTTCCCCTACAAGCTAGAAAGAAGCATTCTGTGAAACTTGTTTGTGATGTGTGTACTCAACTAACAGAGTTGAACCTTTCTTTTTACAGAACAGTGTTGAAACACTCTTTTTGTAGAATCTGCGAGGGGATATTTGGATAGATTTCAGGATTTCGTTGGAAACGGGAATATCTTCATATAAAATCTCGACGGAAGCATTCTCAGAAACTTCTTTGTGATATGTGCATTCAGGTCACAGAGTTGAATATTCCCTTTCACAGAGTAGGTTTGAAACACTCTTTTTGTAGTATCTGGAAGTGGACATTTGGAGCGCCTTGACGCCTACGGTGAAAAGGGAAATATCTTCCCATAAAAACTAGACAGAAGCAATCTCAGAATCTTCTTTGGGATATATGCACGCAGCTCACAGAGTTGAACCTTTCTATTGACAGAGCAGTTTAGAAACAGTCCTTCTGTGGAATCTGCAAGTGGATATTTGGATAGCTTGGAGGATTTCTTTGGAAACGGGATTACGTATAAAAAGTAGACAGCAGCATCCTCAGAAACTTCTTTGTGATGATTGAATTCAAGTCACAGAGTTGAACATTCCCTTTCGTACAGCAGTTTTGAAACACTCTTTCTGTAGTATCTGGAAGTGAACATTAGGACAGCTTTCAGGTCTATGGTGAGAAAGGAAATATCTTCAAATAAAAACTAGACAGAAGCATTCTCATAAACTTGTGTGTGATGTGTGAACTCAGCTAACAGAGGTGGATCTTTCTTTTGATAGAGCAGTTCTGAAAAACACTTTTTGATGAATCTGCAAGTGGACATTTGGATAGATTTGAAGATTTCTTTGGAAACGGGAATATCTTCATATCAAATCTAGACAGAAGCATTCCCAGAAACGTCTTTGTGATGTTTGCATTCAACTCATAGAGTTGAACATTCTCTTTCAGAGAGCAGCTTTGAAGCACTCTTTTTGTAGTATGTGCAAGGGGATATTTGGAGCGCTCTGAGGCCTAAGGTGAAAAAGCAAATATCTTCCCATAACCACTAGACAGAAAACATTCTCAGAAACTCCTTTATGACGTATGCACTCACCTAACAGAAAAGAACCTTCCTTTTGACAGAGCAGTTTTGATACACTCTTTTTGTAGAATCTGCAAGTGGATATTTGGATAGCTGTGAAGATTTCGTTGGAAACGGGAATATCTTCCTATAAAATCTAGACAGAAGCATTCTCAGAAACTGCTCTGTGATGTCTGCATTCAAGTCACAGAGTTGAACATTGCCTTTCCTAGAACAGGTTTGAAACGCTCTTTCTGTAGTATATGGAAGTGGACGTTTCGGACGGTTTGAGGCCCATGGTGATAAAGGGAATATCTTCCCCTACAAGCTAGAAAGAAGCATTCTGTGAAACTTGTTTGTGATGTGTGTACTCAACTAACAGAGTTGCACCTTTCTTTTTACAGAGCAGTTTTGAAACACTCTTTTTGTAGAATCTGCGAGGGGATATTTGGATAGATTTCAGGATTTCGTTGGAAACGGGAATATCTTCATATAAAATCTCAACAGAAGCCTTCTCAGAAACTTCTTTGTGATATCTGCATTGAAGTCACAGAGTTGAATATTCCCTTTCACATAGTAGGTTTGAAACACTCTTTTTGTAGTATCTGGAAGTGGACATTTGGAGCGCCTTCACGCCTACGGTGAAAAGGGAAATATCTTCCCATAAAAACTAGACAGAAGCAATCTCAGAATCTTCTTTGGGATATATGCACGTAGCTAGCAGAGTTGAACCTTTCTATTGACAGAGCAGTTTTGAAACAGTCTTTCTGTGGAATCTGCAAGTGGATATTTGGATAGCTTGGAGGATTTCGTTGGAAACGCGATTACGTATAAAAAGTAGACAGCAGCATCCTCAGAAACTTCTTTGTGATGTGTGCATTCAAGTCACAGAGTTGAACATTCCCTTTCGTACAGCAGTTTTGAAACACTCTTTCTGTAGTATCTGCAAGTGAACATTAGGACAGCTTTCAGGTCTGTGGTGAGAAAGGAAATATCTTCAAATAAAAACTAGACAGAAGCAGTCTGATAAACTTGTTTGTGAAGTGTGAACTCAGCTAACAGAGGTGGATCTTTCTTTTGATACAGCAGTTTTGAAAAACACTTTGTTGAATCTGCAAGTGGACATTTGTATAGATTTGAAAATTTCGTTGGAAACGGGAATATCTTCATATAAAATCTCGACAGAAGCATTCTCAGAAACGTCTTTGTGATGTTTGCATTCAACTCATAGAGTTGAACATTCCGTTTCAGAGAGCAGCTTTGAAGCACTCTTTTTGTAGTATGTGCAAGTGGATATTTGGAGCGCTCTGAGGCCTACGGGGAAAAAGCAAATATCTTCCCATAACCACTAGACTGAAACATTCTCAGAAACTCCTTTATGACGTATGTACTCAACTAACAGAGAAGAACCTTCCTTTTGACAGAGCAGTTTTGATACACTCTTTTTGTAGAATCTGCAAGTGGATATTTGGATAGCTGTGAAGATTTCGTTGGAATCGGGAATATCTTCCTATAAAATCTAGACAGAAGCATTCTCAGAAACTGCTCTGTGATGTCTGCATTCAAGTCACAGAGTTGAACATTGCCGTTCATAGAGCAGGTTTGAAACACTCTTTTTGTACTATATGGAAGTGGACGTTTCGGACGGTTTGAGGCCCATGGTGATAAAGGGAATATCTTCCCCTACAAGCTAGAAAGAAGCATTCTGTGAAACTTGTTTGTGATGTGTGTACTCAACTAACAGGGTTGAACCTTTCTTTTTACAGAGCAGTTTTGCAACACTCTTTTTGTAGAATCTGCGAGGGGATATTTGGATAGATTTCAGGATTTCGTTGGAAACGGGAATATCTTCATATAAAATCTCGACAGAAGCATTCTCAGAAACTTCTTTGTGATATCTGCATTCAAGTCACAGAGTTGAATATTCCCTTTCACAGAGTAGGTTTGAAACACTCTTTTTGTAGTATCTGGAAGTGGACATTTGGAGCGCCTTGACACCTACGGTGAAAAGGTAAATATCTTCCCATAAAAACGAGACA
Organism: Homo sapiens; assembly: GCF_000001405.40. Taxonomy (NCBI): domain Eukaryota; kingdom Metazoa; phylum Chordata; class Mammalia; order Primates; family Hominidae; genus Homo; species Homo sapiens. The sequence continues at coordinate 11,385,177 of NC_000021.9, forward strand.
GAAGCAATCTCCGAATCTTCTTTGGGATATATGCACGCAGCTAACAGAGTTGAACCTTTCTATTGACAGAGCAGTTTTGAAACAGTCTTTCTGTGGAATCTGCAAGTGGATATTTGGATAGCTTGGAGGATTTCGTTGGAAAAGGGATTATGTATAAAAATTAGACAGCAGCATCCTCAGAAACTTCTTTGTGATGTGTGCATTCAAGTCACAGAGTTGAACATTCCCTTTCGTACAGCAGTTTTGAAAAACTCTTTCTGTAGTATCTGGAAGTGAACATTAGGACAGCTTTCAGGTCTATGGTGAGAAAGGCAATATCTTCAAATAAAAACTAGACAGAAGCATTCTCATAAACTTGTTTGTGATGTGTGAACTCAGCTAACAGGCGTGGATCTTTCTTTTGATACAGCAGTTTTGAAAAACACTTTTTGTTGAATCTGCAAGTGGACATTTGGATAGATTTGAAGATTTCGTTGGAAACGGGAATATCTTCATATCAAATCTAGACAGAAGCATTCTCAGAAACGTCTTTGTGATGTTTGCATTCAACTCATAGAGTTGAACATTCCGTTTCAGAGAGCAGCTTTGAAGCACTCTTTTTGTAGTATGTGCAAGTGGATATTTGGAGCGATCTGAGGCCTACGGTGAAAAAGCAAATATCTTCCAATAACCACTAGACAGAAACATTCTCAGAAACTCCTTTATGACGTATGCACTCACCTAACAGAAAAGAACCTTCCTTTTGACAGAGCAGTTTTGATACACTCTTTTTGTAGAATCTGCAAGTGGATATTTGGATAGCTGTGAAGATTTCGTTGGAAACGGGAATATACTTCCTATAAAATCTAGACAGAAGCATTCTCAGAAACTGCTCTGTGATGTCTGCATTCAAGTCACAGAGTTGAACATTGCCGTTCATAGAGCAGGTTTGAAACACTCTTTTTGTAGTATATGGAAGTGGACGTTTCGGACGGTTTGAGGCCCATGGTGATAAAGGGAATATCTTCCCCAACAAGCTAGAAAGAAGCATTCTGTGAAACTTCTTTGTGATGTGTGTACTCAACTAACAGAGTTGAACCTTTCTTTTTACAGAGCAGTTTTGAAACACTCTTTTTGTAGAATCTGCGAGGGGACATTTGGATAGATTTCAGGATTTCGTTGGAAACGGGAATATCTTCATATAAAATCTCGACAGAAGCATTCTCAGAAACTTCTTTGTGATATGTGCATTCAAGTCACAGAGTTGAATATTCCCTTTCACAGAGTAGGTTTGAAACACTCTTTTTGTAGTATCTGGAAGTGGACATTTGGAGCGCCTTGACGCCTAAGGTGAAAAGGGAAATATCTTCCCATAAAAACTAGACAGAAGCAATCTCAGAATCTTCTTTGGGATATATGCACGCAGCTAACAGAGTTGAAACTTTCTATTGACAGAGCAGTTTTGAAACAGTCTTTCTGTGGAATCTGCAAATGGATATTTGGATAGCTTGGAGGATTTCGTTGGAAACGGGATTACGTATAAAAAGTAGACAGCAGCATCCTCAGAAACTTCTTTGTGATGTGTGCATTCAAGTCACAGAGTTGAACATTCCCTTTCGTACAGCAGTTTTGAAACACTCTTTCTGTAGTATCTCGAAGTGAACATTAGGACAGCTTTCAGGTCTATGGTGAGAAAGGAAATATCTTCAAATAAAAACTAGACAGAAGCATTCTCATAAACTTGTTTGTGATGTGTGAACTCAGCTAACAGAGGTGGATCTTTCTTTTGATAGAGCAGTTCTGAAAAACACGTTTTGTTGAATCTGCAAGTGGACATTTGGATAGATTTGAAGATTTCGTTGTAAACGGGAATATCGTCATATCAAATCTAGACAGAAGCATTCTCGGAAACGTCTTTGTGATGTTTGCATTCAACCCATAGAGTTGAACATTCCGTTTCAGAGAGCAGCTTTGAAGCACTCTTTTTGTAGTATGTGCAAGGGGATATTTTGAGCGCTCTGAGGCCTAAGGTGAAAAAGCAAATATCTTCCCATAACCACTAGACAGAAACATTCTCAGAAACTCCTTTATGACGTATGCACTCACCTGACAGAAAAGAACCTTCCTTTTGACAGAGCAGTTTTGATACACTCTTTTTGTAGAATCTGCAAGTGGATATTTGGATAGCTGTGAAGATTTCGTTGGAAACGGGAATATCTTCCTATAAAATCTAGACAGAAGCATTCTCAGAAACTGCTGTGTGATGTCTGCATTCAAGTCACAGAGTTGAACATTGCCTTTCACAGAGCAGGTTTGAAATGCTCTTTTTGTAGTATATGGAAGTGGACGTTTCAGACGGTTTGAGGCCCATGGTGATAAAGGGAATATCTTCCCCTACAAGCTAGAAAGAAGCATTCTGTGAAACTTGTTTGTGATGTGTGTACTCAACTAACAGAGATGAACCTTTCTTTTCACAGAGCAGTTTTGAAACACTCTTTTTGTAGAATCTGCGAGGGGATATTTGGATAGATTTCAGCATTTCGTTGGAAACGGGAATATCTTCATATAAAATCTCGGCAGAAGCATTCTCAGAAACTTCTTTGTGATATGTGCATTGAAGTCACAGAGTTGAATATTCCCTTTCACAGAGTAGGTTTGAAACACTCTTTTTGTAGTATCTGGAAGTGGACATTTGGAGCGCCTTGACACCTACGGTGAAAAGGGAAATATCTTCCCCTAAAAACTAGACAGAAGCAATCTCAGAATCTTCTTTGGGATATATGCACGCAGCTAACAGAGTTGAACCTTTCTATTGACAGAGCAGTTTTGAAACAGCCTTTCTGTGGAATCTGCAAGTGGATATTTGGATAGCTTGGAGGACTTCGTTGGAAACGGGATTAAGTATAAAAAGTAGACAGCAGCATCCTCAGAAACTTCTTTGTGATGTGTGCATTCAAGTGACAGAGTTGAACATTCCCTTTCGTACAGCAGTTTTGAAACACTCTTTCTGTAGTATCTGGAAGTGAACATTAGGACAGCTTTCAGCTCTATGGTGAGAAAGGAAATATCTTCAAACAAAAACTAGACAGAAGCATTCTCATAAACTTGTTTGTGATGTGTGAACTCAGCTAACAGAGGTGGATCTTTCTCTTGATAGAGCAGTTCTGAAAAACACTTTTTGTAGAATCTGCAAGTGGACATTTGGATAGATTTGAAGATTTCGTTGGAAACGGGAATATCTTCATATCAAATCTAGACAGAAGCATTCGCGGAAACGTCTTTGTGACGTTTGCATTCAACTCACAGAGTTGAACATTCCGTTTCAGAGAGCAGCTTTGAAGCACTCTTTTTGTCGTATGTGCAAGTGGATATTTGGAGCGCTCTGAGGCCTACGGTGAAAAAGCAAATATCTTCCCATAACCACTAGACAGAAACATTCTCAGAAACTCCTTTATGACGTATGCACTCACCTAACAGAAAAGAACCTTCCTTTTGCCAGAGCAGTTTTGATACACTCTTTTTGTAGAATCTGCAAGTGGATATTTGGATAGCTGTGAAGATTTCGTTGGAAACGGGAATATCTTCCTATAAAATCTAGACAGAAGCCTTCTCAGAAAGTGCTCTGTGATGTCTGCATTCAAGTCACAGAGTTGAACATTGCCTTTCATAGAGCAGGTTTGAAACGCTCTTTTTGTAGTATATGGAAGTGGACGTTTCGGACGGTTTGAGGCCCATGGTGATAAAGGGAATATCTTCCCCTACAAGCTAGAAAGAATCATTCTGTGAAATTTGTTTGTGATGTGTGTACTCAACTAACAGAGTTGAACCTTTCTTTTTACACAGCAGTTTTGAAACACTCTTTTTGTAGAATCTGCGAGGGGATATTTGGATAGATTTCAGGATTTCGTTGGAAACGGGAATATCTTCATATAAAATCTCGACAGAAGCATTCTCAGAAACTTCTTTGTGATATCTGCATTCAAGTCACAGAGTTGAATATTCCCTTTCACAGAGTAGGTTTGAAACACTCTTTTTGTAGTATCTGGAAGTGGACATTTGGAGCGCCTTGACACCTAAAGTGAAAAGGTAAATATCTTCCCATAAAAACTAGACAGAAGCAATCTCAGAATCTCCTTTGGGATATATGCACGCAGCTAACAGAGTTGAACCTTTCTATTGACAGAGCAGTTTTGAAACAGTCTTTCTGTGGAATCTGCAAGTGGATATTTGGATAGCTTGGAGGATTTCGTTGGAAACGGGATTACGTGTAAAAAGTAGACAGCAGCATCCTCAGAAACTTCTTTGTGATGTTTGCATTGAAGTCACAGAGTTGAACATTCCCTTTCGTACAGCAGTTTTGAAACACTCTTTCTGTAGTATCTGGAAGTGAACATTAGGACAGCTTTCAGGTCTACGGTGAGAAAGGAAATATCTTCAAATAAAAACTAGACAGAAAGCATTCTCATAAACTTGTTTGTGATGTGTGAACTCAGCTAACAGAGGTGGATCTTTCTTTTGATAGAGCAGTTCTGAAAAACACTTTTTGTTGAATCTGCAAGTGGACATTTGGATAGATTTGAAGATTTCGTTGGAAACGGGAATATCTTCATATCAAATCTAGACCGAAGCATTCTCAGAAACGTCTTTGTGATGTTTGCATTCAACTCATAGAGTTGAACATTCCGTTTCAGAGAGCAGCTGTGAAGCACTCTTTTTGTAGTATGTGCAAGGGGATATTTGGAGCGCTCTGAGGCCTAAGGTGAAAAAGCAAATATCTTCCCATAACCACTAGACAGAAACATTCTCAGAAACTCCTTTATGACGTATGTACTCACCTAAGAGAGAAGAACCTTCCTTTTGACAGAGCAGTTTTGATACACACATTTTGTAGAATCTGCAAGTGGATATTTGGATAGCTGTGAAGATTTCGTTGGAAACGGGAATATCTTCCTATAAAATCTAGACAGAAGCATTCTCAGAAAGTGCTCTGTGATGTCTGCATTCAAGTCACAGAGTTGAACATTGCCTTTCATAGAGCAGGTTTGAAACACTCTTTTTGTAGTATTTGGAAGTGGACGTTTCGGACGGTTTGAGGCCCATGGTGATAAAGGGAATATCTTCCCCTACAAGCTAGAAAGAAGCATTGTGTGAAACTTGTTTGTGATGTGTGTACTCAACTAACAGAGTTGAACCTTTCTTTTTACAGAGCAGTTTTGAAACACTCTTTTTGTAGAATCTGCGAGGGGATATTTGGATAGATTTCAGCATTTCGTTGGAAACGGGAATATCTTCATATAAAATCTCGACAGAAGCATTCTCAGAAACTTCCCTTGTGATATGTGCATTCAAGTCACAGAGTTGAATATTCCCTTTCACAGAGTAGGTTTGAAACACTCTTTTTGTAGTATCTGGAAGTGGACATTTGGAGCGCCTGGACGCCTACGGTGAAAAGGGAAATATCTTCCCATAAAAACTAGACAGAAGCAATCTCAGAATCTTCTTTGGGATATATGCACGCAGCTAACAGAGTTGAACCTTTCTATTGACAGAGCAGTTTTGAAACAGTCTTTCTGTGGAATCTGGAAGTGGATATTCGGATAGCTTGGAGGATTTCGTTGGAAACGGGATTAAGTATAAAAAGTAGACAGCAGCATCCTCAGAAACTTCTTTGTGATGTGTGCATTCAAGTCACAGAGTTGAACATTCCCTTTTGTACAGCAGTTTTGAAACACTCTTTCTGTAGTATCTGGAAGTGAACTTTAGGAGAGCTTTCAGGTCTATAGTGAGAAAGGTTATATCTTCAAATAAAAACTAGACAGAAGCATTCTCATAAACTTGTTTGTGATGTGTGAACTCAGCTAACAGAGGTGGATCTTTCTTTTGATAGAGCAGTTCTGAAAAACACGTTTTGTTGAATCTGCAAGTGGACATTTGGATAGATTTGAAGATTTCGTTGGAAACGGGAATATCTTCATATCAAATCTAGACAGAGCATTCTCAGAAACGTCTTTGTGATGTTTGCATTCAACTCATAGAGTTGAACATTCCGTTTCAGAGACCAGCTTTGAAGCACTCTTTTTGTAGTATGTGCAAGTGGATATTTGGAGCGCTCTGAGGCCTACGGTGAAAAAGCAAATATCTTCCCATAACCACTAGACAGAAACATTCTCAGAAACTTCTTTATGATGTATGTACACAACTAACAGAGTTGAACCTTCCTTTTGACACAACAGTTTTGATACACTCTTTTTGTAGAATCTGCAATTGGATATTTGGATATCTTTGAAGATTTCATTGGAAATGGGAATATCTTCATATAAAATCTAGACAGAAGCATTCTCAGAAACTGCTCTGTGATGTCTGCATTCAAGTCACAGAGTTGAACATTGCCTTTCATAGAGCAGGTTTGAAACGCTCTTTTTGTAGTGTATGGAAGTGGACGTTTCGGACGGTTTGAGGCCCATGGTGATAAAGGGAATATCTTCCCCTACAAGCTAGAAAGAAGCATTCTGTGAAACTTGTTTGTGCTGTGTGTACTCAACTAACAGAGTTGAACCTTTCTTTTTACAGAGCAGTTTTGAAACACTCTTTTTGTAGAATCTGCGAGGGGATATTTGGATAGATTTCAGGATTTCGTTGGAAACGGGAATATCTTCATATAAAATCTCGACAGAAGACCGAAGCATTCGCAGAAACTTCTTCGTGATATGTGCATTCAAGTCACAGAGTTGAATATTCCCTTTCACAGAGTAGGTTTGAAACACTCTTTTTGTAGTATCTGGAAGTGGACATTTGGAGCGCCTTGACGCCTATGGTGAAAAGGGAAATATCTTCCCATAAAAACTAGACAGAAGCAATCTCAGAATCTTCTTTGGGATATATGTACGCAGCTAACAGAGTTGAACCTTTCTATTGACAGAGCAGTTTTGAAAGAGTCTTTCTGTGGAATCTGCAAGTGGATATTTGGATAGCTTGGAGGATTTCGTTGGAAACGGGATTACGTATAAAAAGTAGACAGCAGCATCCTCCGAAACTTCTTTGTGATGTGTGCATTCAAGTCACAGAGTTGAACATTCCCTTTCATACAGCAGTTTTGAAACACTCTTTCTGTAGTATCTGGAAGTGAACATTAGGACAGCTTTCAGCTCTATGGTGAGAAAGGAAATATCTTCAAATAAAAACTAGACAGAAAGCATTCTCAAAAACTTGTTTGTGATGTGTGAACTCAGCTAACAGAGGTGGATCTTTCTTTTGATAGAGCAGTTCTGAAAAACACTTTTTGTTGAATCTGCAAGTGGACATTTGGATAGATTTGAAGATTTCGTTGGAAACGGGAATACCTTCATATCAAATCTAGACAGAAGCATTCTCAGAAACGTCTTTGCGATGTTTGCATTCAACTCATAGAGTTGAACATTCCTTTTCAGAGAGCAGCTTTGAGGCACTCTTTTTGTAGTATGTGCAAGTGGATATTTGGAGCGCTCTGAGGCCTACGGTGAAAAAGCAAATATCTTCCCATAACCACTAGACAGAAACATTCTCAGAAACTCCTTTATGACGTATGCACTCAACTAACAGGGAAGAACCTTCCTTTTGACAGAGCAGTTTTGATACACTCTTTTTGTAGAATCTGCAAGTGGATATTTGGATAGCTGTGAAGATTTCTTTGGAAACGGGAATATCTTCCTATAAAGTCTGGACAGAAGCATTCTCAGAAACTGCTCTGTGATGTCTGCATTCAAGTCACAGAGTTGAACATTGCCTTTCATAGAGCAGGTTTGAAACGCTCTTTTTGTAGTATATGGAAGTGGACTTATCGGACGTTTTGAGGCCCATGGTGATAAAGGGAATATCTTCCCCTACAAGCTAGAAAGAAGCATTGTGTGAAACCTGTTTGTGATGTGTGTACTCAACTAACAGAGTTGAACCTTTCTTTTTACAGAGCAGTTTTGAAACACTCTTTTTGTAGAATCTGCAAGGGGATATTTGGATAGATTTCAGGATTTCGTTGGAAACGGGAATATCTTCATATAAAATCTCGACAGAAGCATTCTCAGAAACTTCTTTGTGATACGTGCATTCTAGTCACACAGTTGAATATTCCCTTTCACAGAGTAGGTTTGAAACACTCTTTTTGTAGTATCTGGAAGTGGCCATTTGGAGCGCCTTGACACCTACGGTGAAAAGGGAAATATCTTCCCATAAAAACTAGACAGAAGCAATCTCAGAATCTTCTTTGGGATATATGCACGCAGCTAACAGAGTTGAACCTTTCTATTGACAGAGCAGTTTTGAAACAGTCTTTCTGTGGAATCTGCAAGTGGATATTTGGATAGATTGGAGGATTTCGCTGGAAACGGGATTACGTATAAAAAGTAGACAGCAGCATCCTCAGAAACTTCTTTGTGATGTGTGCATTCAAGTCACAGAGTTGAACATTCCCTTTCGTACAGCAGTTTTGAAACACTCTTTCTGTAGTATCTGGAAGTGAACATTAGGACAGCTTTCAGGTCTATGGTGCGAAAGGAAATATCTTCAAATAAAAACTAGACAGAAGCATTCTCATAAACTTGTTTGTGATGTGTGAACTCAGCTAACAGACGTGGATCTTTCTTTTGATACAGAAGTTTTGAAAAACACTTTTTGTTGAATCTGCAAGTGGACATTTGGATAGATATGAAGATTTCGTTGGAAACGGGAATATCTTCATATCAAATCTAGACAGAAGCATTCTCAGAAACGTCTTTGCGATGTTTGCATTCAACTCATAGAGTTGAACATTCCGTTTCAGAGAACAGCTTTGAAGCACTCTTTTTGTAGTATGTGCAAGTGGATATTTGGAGCGCTCTGAGGCCTACGGTGAGAAAGCAAATATCTTCCCATAACCACTAGACGGAAACATTCTCAGAAACTCCTTTATGACGTATGCACTCACCTAACAGAGAAGAACCTTCCTTTTGACAGAGCAGTTTTGATACACTCTTTTTGTAGAATCTGCAAGTGGATATTTGGATACCTGTGAAGATTTCGATTGGAAACGGGAATATCTTCCTATAAAATCTAGACAGAAGCATTCTCAGAAACTGCTCTGTGATGTCTGCATTCAAGTCACAGAGTTGAACATTGCCTTTCCTAGAGCAGGTTTGAAATGCTCTTTTTGTAGTATATGGAAGTAGACGTTTCGGACGGTTTGAGGCCCATGGTGATAAAGGGAATATCTTCCCCTACAAGCTAGAAAGAAGCATTCTGTGAAACTTGTTTGTGATGTGTGTACTCAACTAACAGAGTTGAAACTTTCTTTTTACAGAGCAGTTTTGAAACACTCTTTTTGTAGAATCTACGAGGGGATATTTGGATAGATTTCAGGATTTCATTGGAAACGGGAATATCTTCATATAAAATCTCGACAGAAGCATTCTCAGAAACATCTTTGTGATATCTGCATTCCAGTCACAGAGTTGAATATTCCCTTTCACAGAGTAGGTTTGAAACACTCTTTTTATAGTATCTGGAATTGGACATTTGGAGCGCCTTGACGCCTACGGTGAAAAGGGAAATATCTTCCGATAAAAACTAGACAGAAGCAATCTCAGAATCTTCTTTGGGATATATGCCACGCAGCTAACAGAGTTGAACCTTTCTATTGACAGAGCAGTTTTGAAACAGTCTTTCTGTGGAATCTGCAAGTGGATATTTGGATAGCTTGGAGGATTTCGTTGGAAACGGGATTACGTATAAAAAGTAGACAGCAGCATCCTCAGGAAACTTCTTTGTGATGTGTGCATTCAAGTCACAGAGTTGAACATTCCCTTTCGTACAGCAGTTTTGAAACACTCTTTCTGTAGTATCTGGAAGTGAACATTAGGACAGCTTTCAGGTCTATGGTGAGAAAGGAAATATCTTCAAATAAAAACTAGACGGAAGCATTCTCATAAACTTGTTTGTGATGTGTGAACTCAGCTAACAGAGGTGGATCTTTCTTTTGATAGAGCAGTTCTGAAAAACACTTTTTGTTGAATCTGCTAGTGGACATTTGGATAGATTTGAAGATTTCGTTGGAAACGGGAATATCTTCATATCAAATCTAGACAGAAGCATTCTCAGTAAACGTCTTTGCGATGTTTGCATTCAACTCATAGAGTTGAACATTCCCTTTGAGAGAGCAGCTTTGAAGCACTCTTTTTGTAGCATGTGCAAGTGGACATTTGGAGCGCCCTGAGGCCTACGGGGAAAAAGCAAATATCTTCCCATAACCACTAGACAGAAACATTCTCAGAAACTCCTTTATGACGTATGTACTCACCTAACAGAGAAGAACCTTCCTTTTGACAGAGCAGTTTTGATACACTCTTTTTGTAGAATCTGCAAGTGGATATTTGGATAGCTGTGAAGATTTCCCTGGAAACGGGAATATCTTCCTATAAAATCTAGACAGAAGCATTCTCAGAAACTGCTCTGTGATGTCTGCATTCAAGTCACAGAGTTGAACATTGCCTTTCATAGAGCAGGTTTGAAACGCTCTTTTTGTAGTATATGGAAGTGGATGTTTCCGACGGTTTGAGGCCCATGGTGATAAAGGGAATATCTTCCCCTACAAGCTAGAAAGAAGCATTGTGTGAAACTTGTTTGTGATGTGTGTACTCAACTAACAGAGTTGAACCTTTCTTTTTACAGAGCAGTTTTGAAACACTCTTTTTGTAGAATCTGTGAGGGGATATTTGGATAGATTTCAGGATTTCGTTGGAAACGAGAATATCTTCATATAAAATCTCGACAGAAGCATTCTCAGAAACTTCTTTGTGATATCTGCATTCAAGTCACAGAGTTGAATATTGCCTTTCACAGAGTAGGTTTGAAACACTCTTCTTGTAGTATCTGGAAGTGGACATTTTGAGCGCCTTGACACCTACGGTGAAAAGGGAAATATCTTCCCATAAAAACTAGACAGAAGCAATCTCAGAATCTTCTTTGGGATATATGCACGCAGCTAACAGAGTTGAACCTTTCTATTGACAGAGCAGTTTTGAAACAGTCTTTCTGTGGAATCTGCAAGTGGATATTTGGATAGCTTGGAGGATTTCGTTGGAAACGGGATACGTATAAAAAGTAGACAGCAGCATCCTCAGAAACTTCTTTGTGATGTGTGCATTCAAGTCACAGAGTTGAACATTCCCTTTCGTACAGCAGTTTTGAAACACTCTTTCTGTAGTATCTGGAAGTGAACACTAGGAGAGCTTTCAGGTCTATGGTGAGAAAGGAAATATCTTCAAATAAAAACTAGACAGAAGCATTCTCATAAACTTGTTTGTGATGTGTGAACTCAGCTTACAGAGGTGGATCTTTCTTTTGATAGAGCAGTTCTGAAAAACACATTTTGTTGAATCTGCAAGTGGACATTTGGATAGATTTTAAGATTTCGTTGGAAACGGGAATATCTTCATATCAAATCTAGACAGAAGCATTCTCAGAAACGTCTTTGTGATGTTTGCATTCAACTCATAGAGTTGAACATTCCGTTTCAGAGAGCAGCTTTGAAGCACTCTTTTTGTAGCATGTGCAAGTGGATATTTGGAGCGCTCTGAGGCCTACGGTGAAAAAGCAAATATCTTCCCATAACCACTAGACAGAAACATTCTCAGAAACTCCTTTATGACGTATGCACTCACCTAACAGAGAAGAACCTTCCTTTTGACAGAGCAGTTTTGATACACTCTTTTTGTAGAATCGGCAAGTGGATATTTGGATAGCTGTGAAGATTTCGTTGGAAACGGGAATATCTTCCTATAAAATCTAGACAGAAGCATTCTCAGAAACAGCTCTGTGATGTCTGCATTCAAGTCACAGAGTTGAACATTGCCTTTCATAGAGCAGGTTTGAAACGCTCTTTTTGTAGTATATGGAAGTGGACGTTTCGGACGGTTTGAGACCCATGGTGATAAAGGGAATATATTCCCCTACAAGCTAGAAAGAAGCATTCTGTGAAACCTGTTTGTGATGTGTGTACTCAACTAACAGAGTTGAACCTTTCTTTTTACAGAGCAGTTTTGAAACACTCTTTTTGTAGAATCTGCGAGGGGATATTTGGATAGATTTCAGGATTTCGTTCGAAACGGGAATATCTTCATATAAAATCTCGACAGAAGCATTCTCAGAAACTTCTTTGTGATATGTGCATTCAAGTCACAGAGTTGAATATTCCCTTTCACAGAGTAGGTTAGAAACACTCTTTTTGTAGTATCTGGAAGTGGACATTTGGAGCGCCTTGACACCTACGGTGAAAAGGGAAATATCTTCCCATAAAAAGTAGACAGAAGCAATCTCAGAATCTTCTTTGGGATATATGCACGCAGCTAACAGAGTTGAACCTTTCTATTGACAGAGCAGTTTTGAAACAGTCTTTCTGTGGAATCTGCAAGTGGATATTTGGATAGCTTAGAGGATTTCGTTGGAAACGGGATTACGCATAAAAAGTAGACAGCAGCATCCTCAGAAACTTCTTTGTGATGTGTGCATTCAAGTCACAGAGTTGAACATTCCCTTTCGTACAGCAGTTTTGAAACACTCTTTCTGTAGTATCTGGAAGTGAACACTAGGACAGCTTTCAGGTCTATGGTGAGAAAGGAAGTATCTTCAAATAAAAACTAGACAGAAGCATTCTCATAAACTTGCTTGTGATGTGTGAACTCAGCTAACAGAGGTGAATCTTTCTTTTGATAGAGCAGTTCTGAAAAACACTTTTTGTTGAATCTGCAAGTGGACATTTGGATAGATTTGAAGATTTCGTTGGAAACGGGAATATCTTCATATCAAATCTAGACAGAAGCATTCTCAGAAACGTCTTTGTGATGATTGCATTCAACTCATAGAGTTGAACATTCCCTTTCAGAGAGCAGCTTTGAAGCACTCTTTTTGTAGTATGTGCAAGTGGATATTTGGAGCGCTCTGGGGCCTACGGTGAAAAAGCAAATATCTTCCCATAACCACTAGACAGAAACATTCTCAGAAACTCCTTTATGAAGTATGCACTCACCTAAGAGAGAAGAACCTTCCTTTTGACAGAGCAGTTTTGATACACTCTTTTTGTAGAATCTGCAAGTGGATATTTTGATAGCTGTGAAGATTTCGTTGGAAACGGGAATATCTTCCTATAAAATCTAGACAGAAGCATTCTCAGAAACTGCTGTGTGATGTCTGCATTCAAGACACAGAGTTGAACATTGCCTTTCATAGAGCAGGTTTGAAACGCTCTTTTTGTAGTATATGGAAGTGGACGTTTCGGACGTTTTGAGGCCCATGGTGATACAGCGAATATCTTCCCCTACCAGCTAGAAAGAAGCATTCTGTGAAACTTGTTTGTGATGTGTGTACTCAACTAACAGAGTTGAACCTTTCTTTTTACAGAGCAGTTTTGAAACACTCTTTTTGTAGAATCTGCGAGGGGATATTTGGATAGATTTCAGGATTTCGTTGGAAACAGGAATATCTTCATATAAAATCTCGACAGAAGCATTCTCAGAAGCTTCTTTGTGATATGTGCATTCAAGTCACAGAGTTGAATATTCCCTTTCACAGAGTAGGTTTGAAACACTCTTTTTGTAGTATCTGGAAGTGGACATTTGGAGCGCCTTGACGCCTGCGGTGAAAAGGGAAATATCTTCTCATAAAAAGTAGACAGAAGCAATCTCAGAATCTTCTTTGGGATATATGCACGCAGCTAACAGAGTTGAACCTTTCTATTGACAGAGCAGTTTTGAAACAGTCTTTCTGTGGAATCTGCAAGTGGATATTTGGATAGCTTGGAGGATTTCGTTGGAAACGGGATTACGTATATAAAGTAGACCGCAGCATCCTCAGAAACTTCTTTGTGATGTGTGCATTCAAGTCACAGAGTTGAACATTCCCTTTCGTACAGCAGTTTTGAAACACTCTTTCTGTAGTATCTGGAAGTGAACATTAGGACAGCTTTCAGGTCTATGGTTAGAAAGGAAATATCTTCAAATAAAAACTAGACAGAAGCATTCTCATAAACTTGTTTGTGATGTGTGAACTCAGCTAACAGAGGTGGATCTTTCTTTTGATAGAGCAGTTCTGAAAAACACTTTTTGTTGAATCTGCAAGTGGACATTTGGATAGATTTGAAGATTTCGTTGAAAACGGGAATATCTTCATATCAAATCTAGACAGAAGCATTCTCAGAAACGTCTTTGTGATGTTTGCATTCAACTCATAGAGTTGAACATTCCGTTTCAGAGAGCAGCTTTGAAGCACTCTTCTTGTAGTATGTGCAAGTGGATATTTGGAGCGCTCTGAGGCCTACGGTGAAAAAGCAAATATCTTCCCATAACCACTAGACAGAAACATTCTCAGAAACTCCTTTATGACGTATGCACTCACCTAACAGGGAAGAACCTTCCTTTTGACAGAGCAGTTTTGATACACTCTTTTTGTAGAATCTGCAAGTGGATATTTGGATAGCTGTGAAGATTTCGTTGGAAACGGGAATATCTTCCTATAAAATCTAGACAGAAGCATTCTCAGAAACTGCTCTGTGATGTCTGCATTCAAGTCACAGAGTTGAACATTGCCTTTCATAGAGCAGGTTTGAAAGGCTCTTTTTGTACTATATGGAACAGGACGTTTCGACGGTTTGAGGACCATGGTGATAAAGGGAATATCTTCCCCTACAAGCTAGAAAGAAAGCATTGTGTGAAACTTGTTTGTGATGTGTGTACTCAACTAACAGAGTTGAACCTTTCTTTTTACAGAGCAGTTTTGAAACACTCTTTTTGTAGAATCTGCAAGGGGATATTTGGATAGATTTCAGGATTTCGTTGGAAACGGGAATATCTTCATATAAAATCTCGACAGAAGCATTCTCAGAAACTTCTTTGTGATATCTGCCTTTAAGTCACAGAGTTGAATATTCCCTTTCACAGAGTAGGTTTGAAACACTCTTTTTGTAGTATCTGGAAGTGGACATTTGGAGCGCCTTGAGGCCTACGGTGAAAAGGGAAATATCTTCTCATAAAAACTAGACAGAAGCAATCTCAGAATCTTCTTTGGGATATATGCATGCAGCTAACAGAGTTGAACCTTTCTATTGACAGAGCAGATTTGAAACAGTCTTTCTGTGGAATCTGCAAGTGGATATTTGGATAGCTTGGAGGATTTCGTTGGAAACGGGATTACGTATAAAAAGTAGACAGCAGCATCCTCAGAAACATCCTTGTGATGTGTGCATTCAAGTCACAGAGTTGAACATTCCCTTTCGTACAGCAGTTTTGAAACACACTTTCTGTAGTATCTGGAAGTGAACTTTAGGACAGCTTTCAGGTCTATAGTGAGAAAGGATATATCTTCAAATAAAAACTAGACGGAAGCATTCTGATAAACTTGTTTGTGAAGTTTGATCTCAGCTAACAGAGGTGGATCTTTCTTTTGATAGAGCAGTTCTGAAAAACACTTTGTTGAATCTGCAAGTGGACATTTGGATAGATTTGAAGATTTCGTTGGAAACGGGAATATCTTCATATCAAATCTAGACAGAAGCATTCTCAGAAACGTCTTTGTGATGTTTGCATTCAACTCATAGAGTTGAACATTCCGTTTCAGAGAGCAGCTTTGAAGCACTCTTTTTGTAGTATGTGCAAGTGGATATTTGGAGCGCTCTGAGGCCTACGGTGAAAAAGCAAATATCTTCCCATAACCACTAGACGGAAACATTCTCAGAAACTCCTTTATGACGTATGCACTCACCTAACAGAGAAGAACCTTCCTTTTGACAGAGCACTTTTGATACACTCTTTTTGTAGAATCTGCAAGTGGATATTTAGATAGCTGTGAAGATTTCTTTGGAAACGGGAATATCTTCCTATAAAATCTAGACAGAAGTATACTCAGAAACTGCTCTGTGATGTCTGCATTCAAGTCACAGAGTTGAACATTGCCTTTCATAGAGCAGGTTTGAAACGCTCTTTTTGTAGTATATGGAAGTGGACGTTTCGGACAGTTTGAGGCCCATGGTGATAAAGGAAATATCTTCCCCTACAAGCTAGAAAGAAGCATTCTGTGAAACTTGTTTGTGATGTGTGTACTCAACTAACAGGGTTGAACCTTTCCTTTTACAGAGCAGTTTTGCAACACTCTTTTTGTAGAATCTGCGAGGGGATATTTGGATAGCTGTGAAGATTTCGTTGGAAACGGGAATATCTTCCTATAAAATCTAGACAGAAGCATTCTCAGAAACTTCTTTGTGATATGTGCATCCAAGTCACAGAGTTGAATATTCCCTTTCACAGAGTAGGTTTGAAACACCCTTTTTGTAGTATCTGGAAGTGGACATTTGGAGCGCCTTGACACCTACGGTGAAAAGGGAAATATCTTCCCATAAAAACTAGACAGAAGCAATCTCAGAATCTTCTTTGTGATATATGCACGCAGCTAACAGAGTTGAACCTTTCTATTGACAGAGCAGTTTTGAAACAGTCTTTCTGTGGAATCTGCAAGTGGATATTTGGATAGCTTGGAGGACTTCGTTGGAAACGGGATTACGTATAAAAAGTAGACAGCAGCATTCTCAGAAACTTCTTTGTGATGTGTGCATTCAAGTCAAAGAGTTGAACATTCCCTTTCGTACAGCAGGTTTGAAAAACTCTTTCTCTAGTACCTGGAAGTGAACGTTTCGAGACCTTTCAGGTCTATGGTGAGAAAGGAAATATCTTCAAATAAAAACTAGACAGAAGCATTCTCATAAACCTGTTTGTGATGTGTGAACTCAGCTAACCGAGGTGGATCTTTCTTTTGATAGAGCAGTTCTGAAAAACACTTTTTGTTGAATCTGCAAGGGGACATTTGGATAGATTTGAAGATTTCGTTGGAAACGGGAATATCTTCATATCAAATCTAGACAGAAGCATTCTCAGAAACGTCTTTGTGATGTTTGCATTCAACTCCTAGAGTTGAACATTCCGTTTCAGAGAGCAGCTTTGAGGCACTCTTTTTGTAGTATGTGCAAGTGGATATTTGGAGCGCACTGAGGCCTACGGTGAAAAAGCAAATATCTTCCCATAACCACTAGACAGAAACATTCTCAGAAACTTCTTTATGACGTATGTACTCAACTAGCAGAGAAGAACTTTCCTTTTGACAGAGCATTTCTGATACACTCTTGTTGTACTATCTGCAAGTGGATATTTGGATAGCTGTGAAGATTTCGTTGGAAACGGGAATATCTTCCTATAAAGTCTGGACAGAAGCATTCTCAGAAAGTGCTCTGTGATGTCTGCATTCAAGTCACAGAGTTGAACATTGCCTTTCATAGAGCAGGTTTGAAACGCTCTTTTTGTAGTATATGGAAGTGGACGTTTCGGACGGTTTGAGGCCCATGGTGATAAAGGGAATATCTTCCCCTACAAGCTAGAAAGAAGCATTCTGTGAAACTTGTTTGTGATATGTGTACTCAACTAACAGAGTTGAACCTTTCTTTTTACAGAGCAGTTTTGAAACACTCTTTTTGTAGAATCTGCGAGGGGATATTTGGATACATTTCAGCATTTCGTTGGAAACGGGAATATCTTCATATAAAATCTCGACAGAAGCATTCTCAGAAACTTCTTTGTGGTATGTGCATTCAAGTCACAGAGTTGAATATTCCCTTTCACAGAGTATGTTTGAAACACTCTTTTTGTAGTATCTGGAAGTGTACATTTGGAGCGCCTTGACGCCTACGGTGAAAAGCGAAATATCTTCCCATAAAAACTAGACAGAAGCAATCTCAGAATCTTCTTTGGGATATATGCACGCAGCTAAGAGAGTTGAATCTTTCTATTGACAGAGCAGATTTGAAACAGTCTTTCTGTGGAATCTGCAAGTGGATATTTGGATAGATTGGAGGATTTCGTTGGAAACGGGATTACGTATAAAAAGTAGACAGCAGCATCCTCAGAAACTTCTTTGTGATGTGTGCATTCAAGTCACAGAGTTGAACATTCCCTTTCGTACAGCAGTTTTGAAACCCTCTTTCTGTAGTATCTGGAAGTGAACATTAGGACAGCTTTCAGCTCTATGGTGAGAAAGGAAATATCTTCAAATAAAAACTAGACAGAAGCATTCTCATAAACTTGTTTGTGATGTGTGAACTCAGCTAACAGAGGTGGATCTATCTTTTGATAGAGCAGTTCTGAAAAACACTTTTTGTAGAATCTGCAAGTGGACATTTGGATAGATTTGAAGATGTCGTTGGAAACGGGAATATCTTCATATCAAGTCTAGACAGAAGCATTCTCAGAAACGTCTTTGTGATGTTTGCATTCAACTCATAGAGTTGAACATTCCGTTTCAGAGAGCAGCTTTGAAGCACTCTTTTTGTAGTATGTGCCAGTGGATATTTGGAGCGCTCTGAGGCCTACGGTGAAAAAGCAAATATCTTCCCATAACCACTAGACAGAAACATTCTCAGAAACTCCTTTATGACGTATGCACTCACGTAACAGAGAAGAACCTTCCTTTTGACTGAGCAGTTTTGATACACTCTTTTTGTAGAATCTGCAAGTGGATATTTGGATAGCTGTGAAGATTTCGTTGGAAACGGGAATATCTTCCTATAAAATCTAGACAGAAGCATTCTCAGAAACTGCTCTGTGATGTCTGCATTCAAGTCACAGAGTTGAACATTGCCTTTCATAGAGCAGGTTTGAAACGCTCTTTTTGTACTATATGGAAGAGGACGTTTCGAACGGTTTGAGGCCCATGGTGATAAAGGGTATATCTTCCCCTACAAGCTAGAAAGAAGCATTCTGTGAAACTTGTTTGTGATGTGTGTACTCAAGTAACAGAGTTGAACCTTTCTTTTTACAGAGCAGTTTTGAAACACTCTTTCTGTAGAATCTGCGAGGGGATATTTGGATAGATTTCAGGGTTTCGTTGGAAACGGGAACATCTTCATATAAAATCTCGACAGAAGCATTCTCAGAAACTTCTTTGTGATATCTGCCTTCAAGTCACAGAGTTGAATATTCCCTTTCACAGAGTAGGTTTGAAACACTCTTTTTGTAGTATCTTGAAGTGGACATTTGGAGCGCCTTGACGCCTACGGTGAAAAGGGAAATATCTTCCCATAAAAACTAGACAGAATCAATCTCAGAATCTTCTTTGGGATATATGCACGCAGCTAACAGAGTTGAACCTTTCTATTGACAGAGCAGTTTTGAAACAGTCTTTCTGTGGAATCTGCAAGTGGATATTTGGATAGCTTGGAGGATTTCGTTGGAAACGGGATTACGTATAAAAAGTAGACAGCAGCATCCTCAGAAACTTCTTTGTGATGTGTGCATTCAAGTCACAGAGTTGAACATTCCCTTTCGTACAGCAGTTTTGAAACACTCTTTCTGTAATATCTGGAAGTGAACATTAGGACAGCTTTCAGGTCTATGGTGAGAAAGGAAATATCTTCAAATAAAAACTAGACAGAAGCATTCTCATAAACTTGTTTGTGATGTGTGAACTCAGCTAACAGAGGTGGATCTTTCTTTTGATAGAGCAGTTCTGAAAAACACTTTTTGTTGAATCTGCAAGTGGACATTTGGATAGATTTGAATATTTCGTTGGAAACGGGAATATCGTCATATCAAATCTAGACAGAAGCATTCTCAGAAACGTCTTTGTGATGTTTGCATTCAACTCGTAGAGTTGAACATTCCGTTTCAGAGAGCAGCTTTGAGGCACTCTTTTTGTAGTATGTGCAAGTGGATATTTGGAGCGCTCTGAGGCCTACGGTGAAAAAGCAAATATCTTCCCATAACCACTAGACAGAAACATTCTCAGAAACTGCTTTATGACGTATGCACTCACCTAACAGAGAAGAACCTTCCTTTTGACAGAGCAGTTTTGACACACTCTTTTTGTAGAAACTGCAAGTGGATATTGGGATAGCTGTGAAGATTTCGTTGGAAACGGGAATATCTTCCTATAAAATCTAGACAGAAGCATTCTCAGAAACTGCTCTGTGATGTCTGCATTCAAGTCACAGAGTTGAACATTGCCTTTCATAGAGCAGGTTTGAAAAGCTCTTTTTGTAGTATATGGAAGTGGACGTTTCACACGGTTTGAGGCCGATGGTGATAAAGGGAATATCTTCCCCTACAAGCTAGAAAGAAGCATTCTGTGAAACTTCTTTGTGATGTGTGTACTCAACTAACAGAGTTGAACCTTTCTTTTTACAGAGCAGTTTTGAAACACTCTTTTTGTAGAATCTGCGAGGGGATATTTGGATACATTTCAGGATTTCGTTGGAAACAGGAATATCTTCATATAAAATCTCGACAGAAGCATTCTCAGAAACTTCTTTGTGATATGTGCATTCAAGTCACAGAGTTGAATATTCCCTTTCACAGAGTAGGTTTGCAACACTCTTTTTGTAGTATCTGGAAGTGGACATTTGGAGCGCCTTGACACCTACGGTGAAAAGGGAAATATCTTCCCATAAAAACTAGACAGAAGCAATCTCAGAATCTTCTTTGGGATATATGCACGCAGCTAACAGAGTTGAACCTTTCTATTGACAGAGTAGTTTTGAAACAGTCTTTTTGTGGAATCTCCAAGTGGATATTTGGATAGCTTGGAGGATTTCGTTGGAAACGGGATTACGTATAAAAAGTAGACAGCAGCATCCTCAGAAACCTTCTTTGTGATGTGTGCATTCAAGACACAGAGTTGAACATTCCCTTTCGTACAGCAGTTTTGAAACGCTCTTTCTGTAGTATCTGGAAGTGAACATTAGGACAGCTTTCAGGTCTATCGTGAGTAAGGAAATATCTTCAAATAAAAACTAGACAGAAGCATTCTCATAAACTTGTTTGTGATGTGTGAACTCAGCTAACAGAGGTGGATCTTTCTTTTGATAGAGCAGTTCTGAAAAACACTTTTTGTTGAATCTGCAAGTGGACATTTGGATAGATTTGAAGATTTCATTGGAAACGGGAATATCTTCATATCAAATCTAGACAGAAGCATTCTCAGAAACGTCTTTGTGATGTTAGCATTCAACTCATAGAGTTGAACATTCCCTTTCAGAGAGCAGCTTTGAAGCACTCTTTTTGTAGTATGTGCAAGTGGACATTTGGAGCGCTTTGAGGCCTACGGTGAAAAAGCAAATATCTTCCCATAACCACTAGACAGAAACATTCTCAGAAACTCCTTTATGACGTATGTACTCAACTAACAGAGAAGAACCTTCCTTTTGACAGAGCAGTTTTGATACACTCTTTTTGTAGAATCTGGAAGTGGATATTTGGATAGCTGTGAAGATTTCGTTGGATACGGGAATATCTTCCTATAAAATCTAGACAGAAGCATTCTCAGAAACTGCTCTGTGATGTCTGCATTCAAGTCACAGAGTTGAACATTGCCTTTCATAGAGCAGGTTTGAAACACTCTTTTTTTAGTATATGGAAGTGGACGTTTCGGACGGTTTGAGGCCCATGGTATTAAAGGGAATATCTTCCCCTACAAGCTAGAAAGAAGCATTCTGTGAAACTTGTTTGTGATGTGTGTACTCAATTAACAGAGTTGAACCTTTCTTTTTACAGAGCAGTTTTGAAACACTCTTTTTGTAGAATCTGCGAGGGGATATTTGGATAGATTTCAGGATTTCGTTGGAAACGGGAATATCTTCATATAAAATCTCGACAGAAGCATTCTCAGAAACTTCTTTGTGATATCTGCATTCAAGTCACAGAGTTCAATATTCCCTTTCACAGAGTAGGTTTGAAACACTCTTTTTGTAGTATCTGGAAGTGGACATTTGGAGCGCCTTGACACCTACGGTGAAAAGGGAAATATCTTCCCATAAAAACTAGACAGAAGCAATCTCAGAATCCTCTTTGGGATATATGCACGCAGCTAACAGAGTTGAACCTTTCTATTGACAGAGCAGTTTTGAAACAGTCTTTCTGTGGTATCTGCAAGTGGATATTTGGATAGCTTGGAGGATTTCGTTGGAAACGGGATTACGTATAAAAAGTAGACAGCAGCATCCTCAGAAACTTCCTTGTGATGTGTGCATTCAAGTCACAGAGTTGAACATTCCCTTTCGTACAGCAGTTCTGAAACACTCTTTCTGTAGTATCTGGAAGTAAACAGCACAGCTTTCAGGTCTATGGTGAGAAAG
The DNA here is from genome assembly GCF_000001405.40 of Homo sapiens. Classification (NCBI taxonomy): domain Eukaryota; kingdom Metazoa; phylum Chordata; class Mammalia; order Primates; family Hominidae; genus Homo; species Homo sapiens. The sequence goes on from NC_000021.9 coordinate 11,407,321, forward strand.
GAAATATCTTCAAATAAAAACTAGACAGAAGCATTCTCATAAACTTGTTTGTGATGTGTGAACTCAGCTAATAGAGGTGGATCTTTCTTTTGATAGAGCAGTTCTGAAAAACACTTTTTGTTGAATCTGCAAGTGGACATTTGGATAGATTTGAAGATTTCGTTGGAAACGGGAATATCTTCATATCAAATCTAGACAGAAGCATTCTCAGAAACGTCTTTGTCATGTTTGCATTCAACTCATAGAGTTGAACATTCCGTTTCAGAGAGCAGCTTTGAAGCACTCTTTTTGTAGTATATGCAAGTGGATATTTGGAGCGCTCTGAGGCCTACGGTGAAAAAGCAAATATCTTCCCATAACCACTAGACAGAAACATTCTCAGAAACTCCTTTATGACGTATGCACTCACCTAACAGAAAAGAACCTTCCTTTTGACAGAGCAGTTTTGATACACTCTTTTTGTAGAATCTGCAAGTGGATATTTGGATAGCTGTGAAGATTTCGTTGGAAACGGGAATATCTTCATATCAAATCTAGACAGAAGCATTCTCAGAAACTGCTCTGTGATGTCTGGATTCAAGTCACAGAGTTGAACATTGCCTTTCATAGAGCAGGTTTGAAACGCTCTTTTTGTAGTATATGGAAGTGGACGTTTCGGACGGTTTGAGGCCCATGGTGATAAAGGGAATATCTTCCCCTACAAGCTAGAAAGAAGCATTCTGTGAAACTTGTTTGTGATGTGTGTACTCAACTAACAGAGTTGAACCTTTCTTTTTACAGAGCAGTTTTGAAACACTCTTTTTGTAGAATCTGCGAGGGAATATTTGGATAGATTTCAGGATTTCGTTGGAAACGGGAATATCTTCATATAAAATCTCGACAGAAGCATTCTCAGAAACTTCATTGTGATATCTGCATTCAAGTCACAGAGTTGAATATTCCCTTTCACAGAGTAGGTTTGAAACACTCTTTTTGTAGTATCTGGAAGTGGACATTTGGAGCGCCTTGACACCTACGGTGAAAAGGGAAATATCTTCCCCTAAAAACTAGACAGAAGCAATCTCAGCAATCTTGTTTGGGATATATGCACGCAGCTAACACAGTTGAACCTTTCTATTGACAGAGCAGTTTTGAAACATTCTTTCTGTGGAATCTGCAAGTGGATATTTGGATAGCTTGGAGGATTTCGTTGGAAACGGGATTACGTATCAAAAGTAGACAGCAGCATCCTCAGAAACTACTTTGTGATGTGTGCATTCAAGTCACAGAGTTGAAAATTCCCTTTCCTACAGCAGTTTTGAAACACTCTTTCTGTAGTATCTGGAAGTGAACATTAGGACAGCTTTCAGGTCTATAGTGAGAAAGGATATATCTTCAAATAAAAACTAGACAGAAGCTTTCTCATAAACTTGTTTGTGATGTGTGAACTCAGCTAACAGAGGTGGATCTTTCTTTTGATACAGCAGTTTTGAAAAACACTTTTTGTTGAATCTGCAAGTGGACATTTGGATAGATATGAAGATTTCGTTGGAAACGGGAATATCTTCATATCAAATCTAGACAGAAGCATTCTCAGAAACGTCTTTGTGATGTCTGCATTCAACTCATAGAGTTGAACATTCCCTTTCAGAGAGCAGCTTTGAAGCACTCTTTTTGTAGCATGTGCAAGTGGACATTTGGAGCGCCCTGAGGCCTACGGGGAAAAAGCAAATATCTTCCCATAACCACTAGAGAGAAACATTCTCAGAAACTCCTTTATGAGGTATGCACTCACCTAACAGAGAAGAACCTTCCTTTTGACAGAGCAGTTTTGATACACTCTTTTTGTAGAATCTGCAAGTGGATATTTGGATACCTGTGAAGATTTCGTTGGAAACGGGAATATCTTCCTATAAAATCTAGACAGAAGCATTCTCAGAAACTGCTCTGTGATGTCTGTATTCAAGTCACAGAGTTGAACATTGCCTTTGATAGAGCAGGTTTGAAACGCTCTTTTTGTAGTATATGGAAGTGGATGTTTCGGACGGTTGGAGGCCCATGGTGATAAAGGGAATATCTTCCCCTACAAGCTAGAAAGAAGCATTCTGTGAAACTTGTTTGTGATGTGTGTACTCAACTAACAGAGTTGAACCTTTCTTTTTACAGAGCAGTTTTGAAACACTCTTTTTGTAGAATCTGCCAGGGGATATTTGGATACATTTCAGGATTTCGTTGGAAACGGGAATATCTTCATATAAAATCTCGACAGAAGCATTCTCAGAAACTTCTTTGTGTTATCTGCATTCAAGTCACAGAGTTGAATATTCCCTTTCACAGAGTAGGTTTGAAACACTCTTTTTGTAGTGTCTGAAAGTGGACATTTGGAGCACATTGACACCTACGGTGAAAAGGGAAATATCTTCCCATAATAACTAGACAGAAGCAATCTCAGAATCTTCTTTGGGATATATCCACGCAGCTAACAGAGTTGAACCTTTCTATTGACAGAGCAGTTTTGAAACAGTCTTTCTGTGGAATCTGCAAGTGGATATTTGGATAGCTTGGAGGATTTCGTTGGAAACGGGATTACGTATAAAAAGTAGACAGCAGCATCCTCAGAAACTTCTTTGTGATGTGTGCATTCAAGTCACAGAGTTGAACATTCCCTTTCGTACAGCAGTTTTGAAACGCTCTTTCTGTAGTATATGGAAGTGAACATTAGGACAGCTTTCAGGTCTATGGTGAGAAAGGAAATATCTTCAAATAAAAACTAGACAGAAGCATTCTGATAAACTTGTTTGTGAAGTGTGAACTCAGCTAACAGAGGTGGATCTTTCTTTCGACACAGCAGTTTTGAAAAACACTTTTTGTTGAATCTGCAAGTAGACATTTGGATAGATTTGAAGATTTCGTTGAAAACGAGAATATGTTCATTTCAAATCTAGACAGAAGCATTCTCAGAAACGTCTTTGTGATGTTTGCATTCAACTCATAGTGTTGAACATTCCCTTTCAGAGAGCAGCTTTGAAGCACTGTTTTTGTAGTATGTGCAAGTGGACATTTGGAGCGCTTTGAGCCCTACGGGGAAAAAGCAAATATCTTCCCGTAACCACTAGACAGAAACATTCTCAGAAACCCCTTTATGACGTATGCACTCACCTAACAGGAGAAGAACCTTCCTTTTGACTGAGCAGTTTTGATACACTCTTTTTGTAGAATCTGCAAGTGGATATTTGGATAGCTGTGAAGATTTCGTTGGAAACGGGAATATCTTCCTATAAAATCTAGACAGAAGCATTCTCAGAAACTGGTCTGTGATGTCTGCATTCAAGTCACAGAGTTGAACATTGCCTTTCCTAGAGCAGGTTTGAAATGCTCTTTTTGTAGTATATGGAAGTGGACGTTTCGGACGGTTTGAGGCCCATGGTGATAAAGGGAATATCTTCCCCTACAAGCTAGAAAGAAGCATTTTGTGAAACTTGTTTGTGATGTGTGTACTCAACTAACAGAGTTGAACCTTTCTTTTTACAGAGCAGTTTTGAAACACTCTTTTTGTAGAATCTGCGAGGGGATATTTGGATAGATTTCAGGATTTCGTTGGAAACGGGAATATCTTCATATAAAATCTCGACAGAAGCATTCTCAGAAGCTTCTTTGTGATATGTGCATTCAAGTCACAGAGTTGAATATTCCCTTTCACAGAGTAGGTTTGAAACACTCTTTTTGTAGTATCTGGAAGTGGACATTTGGAGCGCCTTGACGCCTACGGTGAAAAGGGAAATATCTTCTCATAAAAACTAGACAGAAGCAATCTCAGAATCTTCTTTGGGATATATGCACGCAGCTAGCAGAGTTGAACCTTTCTATTGACAGAGCAGTTTTGAAACAGTCTTTCTGTGGAATCTGCAAGTGGATATTTGGATAGCTTGGAGGATTTCGTTGGAAACGGGATTACGTATAATAAGTAGACAGCAGCATCCTCAGAAACTTCTTTGTGATGTGTGCATTCAAGTCACAGTGTTGAACATTCCCTTTCGTACAGCAGTTTTGAAACACTCTTTCTGTAGTATCTGGAAGTGAACATTAGGACTGCTTTCAGGTCTATGGTGAGAAAGGAAATATCTTCAAATAAAAACTAGACAGAAGCATTCTCATAAACTTGTTTGTGATGTGTGAACTCAGCTAACAGACGTGGATCTTTCTTTTGATACAGCAGTTTTGAAAAACACTTTTTGTAGAATCTGCAAGTGGACATTTGGATAGATTTGAAGATTTCGTTGGAAACGGGAATATCTTCATATCAAATCTAGACAAAAGCATTCTCAGAAACGTCTTTGTGATGTTTGCATTCAACTCATAGAGTTGAACATTCCGTTTCAGAGACCAGCTTTGAAGCACTCTTTTTGTAGTATGCGCAAGTGGATATTTGGAGCGCTCTGAGGCCTACGGTGAAAAAGCAAATATCTTCCCATAACCACTAGACAGAAACATTCTCAGAAACTCCTTTATGACGTATGCACTCACCTAACAGAGAAGAACCTTACTTTTGACAGAGCAGTTTTGATACACTCTTTTTGTAGAATCTGCAAGTGGATATTTGGATAGCTGTGAAGATTTCGTTGGAAACGGGAATATCTTCCTATAAAATCTAGACAGAAGCATTCTCAGAAACTGCTCTGTGATGTCTGCATTCAAGTCACAGAGTTGAACATTGCCTTTCTTAGAACAGGTTTCAAACGCTCTTTTTGTAGTATATGGAAGTGGACGTTTCAGACGGTTTGAGGCCCATGGTGATAAAGGGAATATCTTCCCCTACAAGCTAGAAAGAAGCATTCTGTGAAACTTGTTTGTGAGGTGTGTACTCAACTAACAGAGTTGAACCTTTCTTTTCACAGAGCAGTTTTGAAACACTCTTTTTGCAGAATCTGCGAGGGGATATTTGGATAGATTTCAGGATTTCGTTGGAAACGGGAATATCTTCATATAAAATCTCGACAGAAGCATTCTCAGAAACTTCTTTGTGATATGTGCATTCAAGTCACAGAGTTGAATATTCCCTTTCACCAAGTAGGTTTGAAACACTCTTTTTGTAGTATCTGGAAGTGGACATTTGGAGCGCCTTGACGCCTACGGTGAAAAGGGAAATATCTTCCCATAAAAACTAGACAGAAGCAATCTCAGAATCTTCTTTGGGATATATGCACGCAGCTAACAGAGTTGAACCTTTCTATTGACAGAGCAGTTTTGAAACAGTCTTTCTGTGGAATCTGCAAGTGGATGTTTGGATAGCTTGGAGGATTTCGTTGGAAACGGGATTACGTATAAAAAGTAGACAGCGGCATCCTCAGAAACTTCTTTGTGATGTGTGCATTCAAGTCAGAGAGTTGAACATTCCCTTTCGTACAGCAGTTTTGAAACACTCTTTCTGTAGTATCTGGAAGTGAACATTAGGACAGCTTTCAGGTCTATGGTGAGAAAGGAAATACCTTCAAATAAAAACTAGACAGAAGCATTCTCATAAACTTGTTTGTGATGTGTGAACTCAGCTAACAGAGGTGGATCTTTCTTTTGATAGAGCAGTTCTGAAAAACACTTTTTGTTGAATCTGCAAGTGGACATTCGGATAGATTTCAAGATTTCGTTGGAAACGGGAATATCTTCATATCAAATCTAGACAGAAGCATTCTCAGAAACGTCTTTGTGATGTTGGCATTCAACTCATAGAGTTGAACATTCCGTTTCAGAGAGCAGCTTTGAGGCACTCTTTTTGTAGTATGTGCAAGTGGATATTTGGAGCGCTCTGAGGCCTACGGTGAAAAAGCAAATATCTTCCCATAAACACTAGACAGAAACATTCTCAGAAACTCCTTTATGACGTAATGCACTCACCTAACAGAGAAGAACCTTCCTTTTGACAGAGCAGTTTTGATACACTCTTTTTGTAGAGTCTGCAAGTGGATATTTGGATAGCTGTGAAGATTTCGTTGGAAACGGGAATATCTTCCTATAAAATCTAGACAGATAAGCATTCTCAGAAACTGCTCTGTGATGTCTGCATTCAAGTCACAGAGTTGAACATTGCCTTTCATAGAGCAGGTTTGAAACGCTCTTTTTGTAGTATATGGAAGTGGACGTTTCGGACGGTTTGAGGCCCATGGTGATAAAGGGAATATCTTCCCCTACAAGCTAGAAAGAAGCATTCTGTGAAACTTGTTTGTGATGTGTGTACTCAACTAACAGAGTTGAACCTTTCTTTTCACAGAGCAGTTTTGAAACACTCTTTTTGTAGAATCTGCGAGGGGATATTTGGATAGATTTCAGCATTTCGTTGGAAACGGGAATATCTTCAAATAAAATCTCGACAGAAGCATTCTCAGAAACGTCTTTGTGATATCTGCATTCAAGTCACAGAGTTGAATATTCCCTTTCACAGAGTAGGTTTGAAACACTCTTTTTGTAGTATCTGGAAGTGGACATTTGGAGCGCCTTGACGCCTACGATGAAAAGGGAAATATCTTCCCATAAAAACTAGACAGACAAGCAATCTCCGAATCTTCTTTGGGATATATGCACGCAGCTAACAGAGTTGAACCTTTCTATTGACAGAGCAGTTTTGAAACAGTCTTTCTGTGGAATCTGCAAGTGGATATTTGGATAGCTTGGAGGATTTCGTTGGAAAAGGGATTATGTATAAAAAGTAGACAGCAGCATCCTCAGAAACTTCCTTGTGATGTGTGCATTCAAGACACACAGTTGAACATTCCCTTTCGTACAGCAGTTTTGAAACACTCTTTCTGTAGTATCTGGAAGTGAACATTAGGAGAGCTTTGAGGTCTATAGTGAGAAAAGGTATATCTTCAAATAAAAACTAGACAGAAGCATTCTCATAAACTTGTTTGTGATGTGTGAACTCAGCTAACAGAGTTGGATCTTTCTTTTGATAGAGCAGTTCTGAAAAACACTTTTTGTTGAATCTGCAAGTGGACATTTGTATAGATTTGAAGATTTCGTTGGAAACGGGAATATCTTCATATCAAATCTAGACAGAAGCATTCTCAGAAACGTCTTTGTGATGTTTGCATTCAACTCATAGAGTTGAACATTCCCTTTCAGAGAGCAGCTTTGAAGCACTCTTTTTGTAGTATGTGCAAGTGGATACTTGGAGCGCTCTGAGGCCTACGGTGAAAAAGCAAATATCTTCCCATAACCACTAGACAGAAACATTCTCAGAAACTCCTTTATGACGTATGTACTCAACTAACAGAGAAGAACCTTCCTTTTGACAGAGCAGTTTTGATACACTCTTTTTGTAGAATCTACAAGTGGATATTTGGATAGCTGTGAAGATTTCGTTGGAAACGGGAATATCTTCCTATAAAATCTAGACAGAAGCATTCTCAGAAACTGCTCTGTGATGTCTGCATTCAAGTCACAGAGTTGAACATTGCCTTTCCTAGAGCAGGTTTGAAACGCTCTTTTTGTAGTATATAGAAGTGGACGTTTCGGACGGTTTGAGGCCCATGGTGATAAAGGGAATATCTTCCCCTACAAGCTAGAAAGAAGCATTCTGTGAAACTTGTTTGTGATGTGTGTACTCAACTAACAGAGTTGAACCTTTCTTTTTACAGAGCAGTTTTGAAACACTCTTTTTGTAGAATCTGCGAGGGGATATTTGGATAGATTTCAGGATTTTGTTGGAAACCGGAATATCTTTATATAAAATCTCGACAGAAGCATTCTCAGAAGCTTCTTTGTGATATGTGCATTCAAGTCACAGAGTTGAATATTCCCTTTCACAGAGTAGGTTTGAAACACTCTTTTTCTAGTATCTGGAAGTGGACATTTGGAGCGCCTTGACACCTACGGTGAAAAGGGAAATATCTTCTCATAAAAAGTAGACAGAAGCAATCTGAGAATCTTCTTTGGGATATATGCACGCAGCTAACAGAGTTGAACCTTTCTATTGACAGAGCAGTTTTGAAACAGTCTTTCTGTGGAATCTGCAAGTGGATATTTGGATAGCTTGGAGGATTTCGTTGGAAACGGGATTACCTATACAAAGTAGCCAGCAGCATCCTCAGAAACTTCTTTGTGATGTGTGCATTCAAGTCACAGAGTTGAACATTCCCTTTCGTACAGCAGTTTTGAAACACTCTTTCTGTAGTATCTGGAAGTGAATATTAGGACAGCTTTCAGGTCTATGGTGATAAAGGAAATATCTTCAAATAAAAACTAGACAGAAGCATTCTCATAAACTTGTTTGTGATGTGTGAACTCAGCTAACAGACGTGGATCTTTCTTTTGATACAGCAGTTTTGAAAAACACTTTTTGTTGAATCTGCAAGTGGACATTGGATAGATATGAAGATTTCATTGGAAACGGGAATATCTTCATATCAAATCTATACAGAAGCATTCTCAGAAACGTCTTTGCGATGTTTGCATTCAACTCATAGAGTTGAACATTCCGTTTCAGAGAGCAGCTTTCAGGCACTCTTTTTGTAGTATGTGCAAGTGGATATTTGGAGCGCTCTGAGGCCTACGGTGAAAAAGCAAATATCTTCCCATAACCACTAGACAGAAACATTCTCAGAAACTTCTTTCTGACGTATGTACTCAACTAACAGAGAAGAACCTACCTTTTGACAGAGCATTTTTGATACACTCTTTTTGTAGAATCTGCAAGTGGATATTTGGATAGCTCTGAAGATTTCTTTGGAAACGGGAATATCTTCATATCAAATCTAGACAGAAGCATTCTCAGAAACTGCTCTGTGATGTCTGCATTCAAGTCACAGAGTTGAAGATTGCCTTTCATAGAGCAGGTTTGAAATGCTCTTTTTGTAGTATATGGAAGTGGACGTTTCAGACGGTTTGAGGCCCATGGTGATAAAGGGAATATCTTCCCCTACAAGCTAGAAAGAAGCATTCTGTGAAACTTGTTTTTGATGTGTGTACTCAACTAACAGAGTTGAACCTTTCTTTTTACAGAGCAGTTTTGAAACACTCTTTTTGTAGAATCTGCGAGGGGATATTTGGATAGATTTCAGGATTTCGTTGGAAACGGGAATATCTTAATATAAAATCTCGACAGAAGCATTCTCAGAAACTTCTTTGTGATATGTGCATTCAAGTCACAGAGTTGAATATTCCCTTTCACAGAGTAGGTTTGAAACACTCTCTTTGTAGTATCTGGAAGTGGACATTTGGAGCGCCTTGACACCTACGGTGAAAAGGGAAATATCTTCCCATAAAAACTAGACAGAAGCAATCTCAGAATCTTCTTTGGGATATATGCACGCAGCTAACAGAGTTCAACCTTCCTATTGACAGAGCAGTTTTGAAACAGTCTTTCTGTGGAATCTGCAAGTGGATATTTGGATGGATTGGAGGATTTCGTTGGAAACGGGATTACGTATAAAAAGTAGACAGCAGCATCCTCAGAAACTTCTTTGTGATGTCTGCATTCAAGTCACAGAGTTGAACATTCCCTTTCGTACAGCAGTTTTGAAACACTCTTTCTGTAGTATCTGGAAGTGAACATTAGGACAGCTTTCAGGTCTATGGTGAGAAAGGAAATATCTTCAAATAAAAACTAGACAGAAGCATTCTCATAAACTTGTTCGTGATGTGTGAACTCAGCTAACACACGGTGGATCTTTCTTTTGATAGAGCAGTTCTGAAAAACACTTTTTGTTGAATCTGCAAGAGGACAGTTGGATAGATTTGAAGGTTTCGTTGGAAACGGGAATATCTTCATATCAAATCTAGACAGAAGCATTCTCAGAAACGTCTTTGTGATGTTTGCATTCAACTCATAGAGTTGAACATTCCCTTCCAGAGAGCAGCTTTGAAGCACTCTTTTTGTAGCATGTGCAAGTGGACATTTGGAGCGCCCTGAGGCCTACGGGGAAAAAGCAAATATCTTCCCATAACCACTAGACAGAAACATTCTCAGAAACTCCTTTATGACGTATGCACTCACCTAACAGAGAAGAACCTTCCTTTTGACAGAGCAGTTTTGATACACTCTTTTTGTAGAATCTGCAAGTGGATATTTGGATAGCTGTGAAGATTTCGTTGGAAACGGGAATAGCTTCCTATAAAATCTAGACAGAAGCATTCTCAGAAACTGCTCTGTGATGTCTGCATTCAAGTCACAGAGTTGAACATTGCCTTTCATAGAGCAGTTTTGAAACGCTCTTTTTGTAGTATATGGAAGTGGACGTTTCGGACGGTTTGAGGCCCATGGTGATAAAGGGAATATCTTCCCCTACAAGCTAGAAAGAAGCATTCTGTGAAACTTGTTTGTGATGTGTGTACTCAACTAACAGAGTTGAACCTTTCTTTTTACAGAGCAGTTTTGAAACATTCTTTTTGTAGAATCTGCGAGGGTATATTTGGATTGATTTCAGGATTTCGTTGGAAACGGGAATATCTTCATATAAAATCTCGACAGAAGCATTCTCAGAAACTTCTTTGTGATATGTGCATTCAAGTCACAGGGTTGAATATTCCCTTTCACAGAGTAGGTTTGAAACACTCTTTTTGTAGTATCTGGAAGTGGACATTTGGAGCGCCTTGACACCTATGGTGAAAAGGGAAATATCTTCCCATAAAAACTAGACAGAAGCAATCTCAGAATCTTCTTTGGGATATATGCACGCAGCTAACAGAGTTGAACCTATCTATTGACAGAGCAGTTTTGAAACAGTCTTTCTGTGGAATCTGCAAGTGGATATTTGGATAGCTTGGAGGATTTCGTTGGAAACGGGATTAAGTATAAAAAGTAGACAGCAGCATCCTCAGAAACTTCTTTGTGATGTGTGCATTCAAGTCACAGAGTTGAACATTCCCTTTCGTACAGCAGTTTTGAAACACTCTTTCTGTAGTAACTGGAAATGAACATTAGGACAGCTTTCAGGTCTATGGTGAGAAAGGAAATATCTTCAAATAAAAACTAGACAGAAGCATTCTCATAAACTTGTTTGTGATGTGTGAACTCAGCTTACAGAGGTGGATCTTTCTTTTGATAGAGCAGTTCTGAAAAACACTTTTTGTTGAATCTGCAAGTGGACATTTGGATAGATTTGAAGATTTCGTTGGAAACGGGAATATCTTCATATTAAATCTAGACAGAAGCATTCTCAGAAACGTCTTTGTGATGTTTGCATTCAACTCATAGAGTTGAACATTCCCTTTCAGAGAGCAGATTTGAAGCACTCTTTTTGTAGCATGTGCAAGTGGACATTTGGAGCGCCCTGAGGCCTACGGGGAAAAAGCAAATATCTTCCCATAACCACTAGACAGAAACATTCTCAGAAACTCCTTTATGACGTATGCACTCACCTAACAGAGAAGAACCTTCCTTTTGACAGAGCAGTTTTGATACACTCCTTTTGTAGAATCTGCAAGTGGATATTTTGATAGCTGTGAAGATTTCGTTGGAAACGGGAATATCTTCCTATAAAACCTAGACAGAAGCATTCTCAGCAAACTGCTCTGTGATGTCTGCATTCAAGTCACAGAGTTGAACATTGCCTTTCATAGAGCAGGTTTGAAACGCTCTTTTTGTACTATATGGAAGAGGACGTTTCGGACGGTTTGAGGCCCATGGTGATAAAGGGAATATCTTCCCCTACAAGCTAGAAAGAAGCATTGTGTGAAACTTGTTTGTGATGTTTGTACTCAACTAACAGAGTTGAACCTTTCTTTTTACAGAGCAGTTTTGAAACACTCTTTTTGTAGAATCTGCGAGGGGATATTTGGATACATTTCAGGATTTCGTTGGAAACGGGAATATCTTCATATAAAATCTCGACAGAAGCATTCTCAGAAACTTCTTTGTGATATCTGCCTTTAAGTCACAGAGTTGAATATTCCCTTTCACAGAGTAGGTTTGAAACACTCTTTTTGTAGTATCTGGAAGTGGGCATTTGGAGCGCCTTGACACCTACGGTGAAAAGGGAAATATCTTCCCATAAAAACTAGACAGAAGCAATCTCAGAATCTTCTTTGGGATATATGCAGGCAGCTAACAGAGTTGAACCTTTCTATTGACAGAGCAGTTTTGAAACAGTCTTTCTGTGGAATCTGCAAGTGGATATTTGGATAGCTTGGAGGATTTCGTTGGAAACGGGATTACGTATAAAAAGTAGACACCAGCATCCTCAGTAAACTTCTTTGTGATGTGTGCATTCAAGTCACAGAGTTGAACATTCCCTTTCGTACAGCAGTTTTGAAACACTCTTTCTATAGTATCTGGAAGTGAACATTAGGACAGCTTTCAGCTCTATGGTGAGAAAGGAAATATCTTCAAATAAAAACTAGACAGAAGCATTCTCATAAACTTGTTTGTGATGTGTGAACTCAGCTAACAGACGTGGATCTTTCTTTTGATAGAGCAGTTCTGAAAAACACGTTTTGTTGAATCTGCAAGTGGACATTTGGATAGATTTGAAGATTTCGTTGGAAACGGGAATATCGTCATATCAAATCTAGACAGAAGCATTCTCAGAAACGTCTTTGTGATGTTTGCATTCAACTCATAGAGTTGAACATTCCGTTTCAGAGAGCAGCTTTGAAGCACTCTTTTTGTAGTATGTGCAAGGGGATATTTGGAGCGCTCTGAGGCCTACGGTGAAAAAGCAAATATCTTCCCATAACCACTAGACAGAAACATTCTCAGAAACTCCTTTATGACGTATGCACTCACCTAACAGAGAAGAACCTTCCTTTTGACAGAGCACTTTTGATACACTCTTTTTGTAGAATCTGAAAGTGGATATTTGGATAGCTGTGAAGATTTCTTTGGAAACGGGAATATCTTCCTATAAAATCTAGACAGAAGCATTCTCAGAAACTGCTCTGTGATGTCTGCATTCAAGTCACAGAGTTGAACATTGCCGTTCATAGAGCAGGTTTGAAACACTCTTTTTGTAGTATATGGAAGTGGACGTTTCGGACGGTTTGAGGCCCATGGTCATAAAGGGAATATCTTCCCCTACAAGCTAGAAAGAAGCATTCTCTGAAACTTGTTTGTGATGTGTGTACTCAAGTAACAGAGTTGAACCTTTCTTTTTACAGAGCAGTTTTGAAACACTCTTTTTGTAGAATCTGCGAGGGGATATTTGGATAGATTTCAGCATTTCGTTGGAAACGGGAATATCTTCATATAAAATCTCGACAGAAGCATTCTCAGAAACTTCTTTGTGATATCTGCCTTCAAGTCACAGAGTTGAATATTCCCTTTCACAGAGTAGGTTTGAAACACTCTTTTTGTAGTATCTGGAAGTGGACATTTGGAGCGCCTTTACGCCTACGGTGAAAAGGGAAATATCTTCCCATAAAAACTAGACAAAAGCAATCTCAGAATCTTCTTTGGGATATATGCACGCAGCTAACAGAGTTGAACCTTTCTATTGACAGAGCAGTTTTGAAACAGTCTTTCTGTGGAATCTGCAAGTGGATATTTGGATAGATTGGAGGATTTCGTTGGAAACGGGATTACCGTATAAAAAGTAGACAGCAGCATCCTCAGAAAACTTCTTTGTGATGTGTGCATTCAAGTCACAGAGTTGAACATTCCCTTTCGTACAGCAGTTTTGAAACACTCTTTCTGTAGTATCTGGAAGTGAACATTAGGACAGCTTTCAGGTCTATGGTGAGAAAGGAAACATCTTCAAATAAAAACTAGACAGAAGCATTCTCATAAACTTGTTTGTGATGTGTGAACTCAGCTAACAGAGGTGGATCTTTCTTTTGATAGAGCAGTTCTGAAAAACAATTTTTGTTGAATCTGCAAGTGGACATTTGGATAGATTTGAAGATTTCGTTGGAAACGGGAATATCTTCATATCAAATCTAGACAGAAGCATTCTCATAAACGTCTTTGTGATGTTTGCATTCAACTCCTAGAGTTGAACATTCCGTTTCAGAGAGCAGCTTTGAAGCACTCTTTTTGTAGTATGTGCAAGTGGATATTTGGAGCGCTCTGAGGCCTACGGTGAAAAAGCAAATATCTTCCCATAACCACTAGACAGAAACATTCTCAGAAACTCCTTTATGACGTATGCATTCACCTAACAGAGAAGAACCTTCCTTTTGACTGAGCACTTTTGATACACTCTTTTTGCAGAATCTGCAAGTGGATATTTGGATAGCTGTGAAGATTTCGTTGGAAACGGGAATATCTTCCTATAAAATCTAGACAGAAGCATTCTCAGAAACTGCTCTGTGATGTCTGCATTCAAGTCACAGAGTTGAACATTGCCTTTCATAGAGCAGGTTTGAAACGCTCTTTTTGTAGTATATGGAAATAGACGTTTCGGACGGTTTGAGGCCCATGGTGATAAAGGGAATATCTTCCCCTACAAGCTAGAAAGAAGCATTCTGTGAAACTTGTTTGTGATGTGTGTACTCAACTAAGAGAGTTGAACCTTTCTTTTTACAGAGCAGTTTTGAAACACTCTTTTTGTAGAATCTGCGAGGGGATATTTGGATAGATTTCAGGATTTCGTTGGAAACGGGAATATCTTCATATAAAATCTCGACAGAAGCATTCTCAGAAACTTCTTTGTGATATCTGCATTCAAGTCACAGAGTTGAATATTCCCTTTCACAGAGTAGGTTTGAAACACTCTTTTTGTAGTATCTGTAAGTGGACATTTGGAGCGCCTTGACGCCTATGGTGAAAAGGGAAATATCTTCTCATAAAAAGTAGACACAAGCAATCTCAGAATCTTCTTTGGGATATATGCAGGCAGCTAACAGAGTTGAACCTTTCTATTGACAGAGCAGTTTTGAAACAGTCTTTCTGTGGAATCTGCAAGTGGATATTTGGATAGCTTGGAGGATTTCGTTGGAAACGGGATTACGTATAAAAAGTAGACAGCAGCATCCTCAGAAACTTCTTTGTGATGTGTCCATTCAAGTCACAGAGTTGAACATTCCCTTTCGTACAGCAGTTTTGAAACACTCTTTCTGTAGTATCTGGAAGTGAACATTAGGACAGCTTTCAGCTCTATGGTGAGAAAGGAAATATCTTCAAATAAAAACTAGACAGAAAGCATTCTCATAAACTTGTTTGTGATGTGTGAACTCCGCTAACATAGGTGGATCTTTCTTTTGATAGAGCAGTTCTGAAAAACACTTTTTGTTGAATCTGCAAGTGGACATTTGGATAGATTTGAAGATTTCGTTGGAAACGGGAATATCTTCATATCAAATCTAGACAGAAGCATTCTCAGAAACGTCTTTGTGATGTTTGCATTCAACTCATAGAGTTGAACATACCCTTTCAGAGAGCAGCTTTGAAGCACTCTTTTTGTAGTATGTGCAAGTGGATATTTGGAGCGCTCTGAGGCCTACGGTGAAAAAGCAAATATCTTCCCATAACCACTAGACAGAAACATTCTCAGAAACTCCTTTATGACGTATGCACTCACCTAACAGAGAAGAACCTTCCTTTTGACAGAGCAGTTTTGATACACTCTTTTTGTAGAATCTGCAAGTGGATATTTGAATAGCTGTGAAGATTTCGTTGGAAACGGGAATATCTTCCTATAAAATCTAGACAGAAGCATTCTCAGAAACTGCTCTGTGATGTCTGCATTCAAGGTCACAGAGTTGAACATTGCCGTTCATAGAGCAGGTTTGAAACACTCTTTTTGTAGTATATGGAAGTGGACGTTTCGGACGGTTTGAGGCCCATGGTGATAAAGGGAATATCTTCCCCTACAAGCTAGAAAGAAGCATTCTGTGAAACTTGTTTGTGATGTGTGTACTCAACTAACAGAGTTGAACCTTTCTTTTTACAGAGCAGTTTTGAAACACTCTTTTTGTAGAATCTACGAGGGGATATTTGGATAGATTTCAGGATTTCGTTGGAAACGGGAATATCTTCATATAAAATCTCGACAGAAGCATTCTCAGAAACTTCCTTGTGATATGTGCATTCAAGTCACAGCGTTGAATATTCCCTTTCACAGAGTAGGTTTGAAACACTCTTTTTGTAGTATCTGGAAGTGGACATTTGGAGCGCCTTGACGCCCACGGTGAAAAGGGAAATATCTTCCCATAAAAACTAGACAGAAGGAATCTCAGAATCTTCTTTGGGATATATGCACGCAGCTAACAGATTTGAACCTTTCTATTGACAGAGCAGTTTTGAAACAGTCTTTCTGTGGAATCTGCAAGTGGATATTTGGATAGCTTGGAGGATTTCGTTGGAAACGGGATTACGTATAAAAAGTAGACAGCAGCATCCTCAGAAACTTCTTTGTGATGTGTGCATTCAAGTCACAGAGTTGAACATTCCCTTTCGTACAGCAGTTTTGAAACACTCTTTCTGTAGTATCTGGAAGTGAACATTAGGACAGCTTTCAGCTCTATGGTGAGAAAGGAAATATCTTCAAATGAAAACTAGACAGAAGAATTCTCATAAACTTGTTTGTGATGTGTGAACTCAGCTAAGAGAGGTGGATCTTTCTTTTGATAGAGCAGTTCTGAAAAACACTTTTTGTTGAATCTGCAAGTGGACATTTGGATAGATTTGAAGATTTCGTTGGAAACGGGAATATCTTCATATCAAATCTAGACAGAAGCATTCTCAGAAACGTCTTTGTGATGTTTGCATTCAACTCATAGAGTTGAACATTCCCTTTCAGAGAGCAGCTTTGAAGCACTCTTTTTGTAGTATGTGCAAGGGGGTATTTGGAGAGCTCTGAGGCCTAAGGTGAAAAAGCAAATATCTTCCCATAACCACTAGACAGAAACATTCTCAGAAACTCCTTTATGACGTATGCACTCACCTAACAGAGAAGAACCTTCCTTTTGACAGAGCAGTTTTGATACACTCTTTTTGTAGAATCTGAAAGTGGATATTTGGATAGCTGTGAAGATTTCGTTGGAAACGGGAATATCCTCCTATAAAATCTAGACAGAAGCATTCTCAGAAACTGCTCTGTGATGTCTGCATTCAAGTCACAGAGTTGAACATTGCTTTTCGTAGAGCAGGTTTGAAACGCTCTTTTTGTAGTATATGGAAGTAGACGTTTCGGACGGTTTGAGGCCCATGGTGATAAAGGGAATATCTTCCCCTACAAGCTAGAAAGAAGCATTCTGTGAAACTTGTTTGTGATGTGTGTACTCAACTAACAGTGTTGAACCTTTCTTTATACAGAGCAGTTTTGAAACACTCTTTTTGTAGAATCTGCGAGGGGATATTTGGATAGATTTCAGGATTTCGTTGGAAACTGGAATATCTTCATATAAAATCTCGACAGAAGCATTTTCAGAAACTTCTTTGTGATATGTGCATTCAAGTCACAGAGTTGAATATTCCCTTTCACAGAGTAGGTTTGAAACACTCTTTTTGTAGTATCTGGAAGTGGACATTTGGAGCGCCTTGACGCCTATGGTGAAAAGGGAAATATCTTCCCATAAAAACTAGACAGAAGCAATCTCAGAATCTTCTTTGGGATATATGTACGCAGCTAATAGAGTTGAACCTTTCTATTGACAGAGCAGTTTTGAAACAGTCTTTCTGTGGAATCTGCTAGTGGATATTTGGATAGCTTGGAGGATTTCGTTGGAAACGGGATTACGTATAAAAAGTAGACAGCAGCATCCTCAGAAACTTCTTTGTGATGTGTGCATTCAAGTCACAGAGTTGAACATTCCCTTTCCTACAGCAGTTTTGAAACACTCTTTCTGTAGTATCTGGAAGTGAACATTAGGACAGCTTTCAGGTCTATGGTGAGAAAGGAAATATCTTCAAATAAAAACTAGACAGAAGCATTCTCATAAACTTCTTTGTGATGTGTGAACTCAGCTAACAGACGTGGATCTTTCTTTTGATACAGCAGTTTTGAAAAACACTTTTTGTTGAATCTGCAAGTGGACATTTGGATAGATTTGAAGATTTCGTTGGAAACGGGAATATCTTCATATCAAATCTAGACAGAAGCATTCTCAGAAACGTCTTTGTGATGTTTGCATTCAACTCATAGAGTTGAACATTCCCTTCCAGAGAGTAGCTTTGAAGCACTCTTTTTGTAGCATGTGCAAGTGGACATTTGGAGCGCCCTGAGGCCTACGGGGAAAAAGCAAATATCTTCCCATAACCACTTGACAGAAACATTCTCAGAAACTCCTTTATGACGTATGTGCTCAACTAACAGAGAAGAACCTTCCTTTTGACAGAGCAGTTTTGATACACTCTTTTTGTAGAATCTGCAAGTGGATATTTGGATAGCTGTGAAGATTTCGTTGGAAACGGGAATATCTTCCTATAAAATCTAGACAGAAGCATTCTCAGAAACTGCTCTGTGATGTCTGCATTCAAGTCACAGAGTTGAACATTGCCTTTCCTAGAACAGGTTTGAAAAGCTCTTTTTGTAGTACATGGAAGTGGACGTTTCGGACGGTTTGAGGCCCATGGTGATAAAGGGAATATCTTCCCCTACAAGCTAGAAAGAAGCATTCTGTGAAACTTGTTTGTGATGTGTGTACTCAACTAACAGAGTTGAACCTTTCTTTTTACAGAGCAGTTTTGAAACACTCTTTTTGTAGAATCTGCGAGGGGATATTTGGATAGATTTCAGGATTTCGTTGGAAACGGGAATATCTTCATATAAAATCTCGACAGCAGCATTCTCAGAAACTTCTTTGTGATATGTGCATTCAAGTTACAGAGTTGAATATTCCCTTTCACAGAGTAAGTTTGAAACCCTCTTTTAGTAGTATCTGGAAGTGGACATTTGGAGCGCCTTGACGCCTACGGTGAAAAGGGAAATATCTTCCCATAAAAACTAGACAGAAGCAATCTCAGAATCTTCTTTGGGATATATGCACGCAGCTAACAGAGTTGAACCTTTCTATTGACAGAGCAGTTTTGAAACAGTCTTTCTGTGGAATCTGCAAGTGGATATTTGATTAGCTTGGAGGATTTCGTTGGAAACGGGATTAAGTATAAAAAGTAGACAGCAGCATCCTCAGAAACTTCTTTGTGATGTGTGCATTCAAGTCACAGAGTTGAATATTCCCTTTCGTACAGCAGTTTTGAAACACTCTTTCTGTAGTATCTGGAAGTGAAAACTAGGACAGCTTTCAGGTCTATGGTGAGAAAGGAAATATCTTCAAATAAAAACTAGACAGAAAGCATTCTCATAAACTTGTTTCTGATGTGTGAACTCAGCTAACAGACGTGGATCTTTCTTTTGATACAGCAGTTTTGAAAAACACTTTTTGTTGAATCTGCAAGTGGACATTTGGATAGATTTGAAGATTTCGTTGGAAACGGGAATATCTTCATATCAAATCTAGACAGAAGCATTCTCAGAAACGTCTTTGTGATGTTTGCATTCAACCCATAGAGTTGAACATTCCGTTTCAGAGAGCAGCTTTGAGGCACTCTTTTTGTAGTATGTGCAAGTGGATATTTGGTGCGCTGTGAGGCCTACGGTGAAAAAGAAAATATCTTCCCAAAACCACTAGACAAAAACATTCTCAGAAACTCCTTTATGACGTATGCACTCACCTAACAGAGAAGAACCTTCCTTTTGACAGAGCAGTTTTGATACACTCTTTTTGTAGAATCTGCAAGTGGATATTTGGATAGCTGTGAAGATTTCGTTGGAAACGGGAATATCTTCCTATAAAATCTAGACGGAAGCATTCTCAGAAACTGCTCTGTGATGTCTGCATTCAAGTCACAGAGTTGAACATTGCCTTTCATAGAGCAGGTTTGAAACGCTCTTTTTGTAGTATATGGAAGTGGACGTTTCGGACGGTTGGAGGCCCACGGTGATAAAGGGAATATCTTCCCCTACAAGCTAGAAAGAAGCATTGTGTGAAACTTGTTTGTGATGTGTGTTCTCAACTAACAGAGTTGAACCTTTCTTTTTACAGAGCAGTTTTGAAACACTCTTTTTGTAGAATCTGCGAGGGGATATTTGGATACATTTCAGGATTTCGTTGGAAACGGGAATATCTTCATATAAAATCTCGACAGAAGCATTCTCAGAAACTTCCCTTGTGATATGTGCATTCAAGTCACAGAGTTGAATATTCCCTTTCACAGAGTAGGTTTGAAACACTCTTTTTGTAGTATCTGGAAGTGGACATTTGGAGCGCCTTGACACCTACGGTGAAAAGGGAAAAATCTTCCCATAAAAACTAGACAGAAGCAATCTCACAATCTTCTTTGGGATATATGCACGCAGCTAACAGAGTTGAACCTTTCTATTGACAGAGCAGTTTTGAAACAGTCTTTCTGTGGAATCTGCAAGTGGATATTTGGATAGCTTGGAGGATTTCGTTGGAAACGGGATTACGTATAAAAATTAGACAGCAGCATCCTCAGAAACTTCTTTGAGATGTGTGCATTCAAGTCACAGAGTTGAACATTCCCTTTCGTACAGCAGTTTTAAAACACTCTTTCTGTAGTAACTGGAAGTGAACATTAGGACAGCTTTCAGGTCTATGGTGAGAAAGGAAATATCTTCAAATAAAAACTAGACAGAAGCATTCTCATAAACTTGTTTGTGATGTGTGAACTCAGCTAACAGAGGTGGATCTTTCTTTTGATAGAGCACTTCTGAAAAACACTTTTTGTTGAATCTGCAAGTGGACATTTGGATAGATTTGAAGATTTCGTTGGAAACGGGAATATCTTCATATCAAGTCTAGACAGAAGCATTCTCAGAAACGTCTTTGTGATGTTTGCATTCAACTCATAGAGTTGAACATTCCCTTCCAGAGAGCAGCTTTGAAGCACTCTTTTTGTAGCATGTGCAAGTGGACATTTGGAGTGCCCTGAGGCCTACGGGGAAAAAGCAAATATCTTCCCGTAACCACTAGACAGAAACATTCTCAGAAACTCCTTTATGACGTATGCACTCACCTAACAGAAAAGAACCTTCCTTTTGACAGAGCAGTTTTGATACACTCTTTTTGTAGAATCTGCAAGTGGATATTTGGATAGCTGTGAAGATTTCGTTGGAAACGGGAATATCTTCCTATAAAGTCTAGACAGAAGCATTCTCAGAAACTGCTCTGTGATGTCTGCATTCAAGTCACAGAGTTGAACATTGCCTTTCATAGAGCAGGTTTGAAACGCTCTTTTTGTAGTATATGGAAGTGGACGTTTCGGACGGTTTGAGGACCATGGTGATAAAGGGAATATCTTCCCCTACAAGCTAGAAAGAAGCATTCTGTGAAACTTGTTTGTGATGTGTGTGCTCAACTAACAGAGTTGAACCTTTCTTTTTACAGAGCAGTTTTGAAACACTCTTTCTGTAGAATCTGCGAGGGGATATTTGGATAGATTTCAGGATTTCGTTGGAAACGGGAATATCTTCATATAAAATCTCGACAGAAGCATTCTAAGAAGCTTCTTTGTGATATGTGCATTCAAGTCACAGAGTTGAATATTCCCTTTCACAGAGTAGGTTTGAAACACTCTTTTTGTAGTATCTGGAAGTGGACATTTGGAGCGCCTTGACGCCTACGGTGAAAAGGGAAATATCTTCTCATAAAAAGTAGACAGAAGCAATCTCAGAATCTTCTTTGGGATATATGCACGCAGCTAACAGAGTTGAACCTTTCTATTGACAGAGCAGTTTTGAAACAGTCTTTCTGTGGAATCTGCAAGTGGATATTTGGATAGCTTGGAGCATTTCATTGGAAACGGGATTACGTATAAAAAGTAGACAGCAGCATCCTCAGAAACTTCTTTGTGATGTGTGCATTCAAGTCACAGAGTTGAACACTCCCTTTCGTACAGCAGTTTTGAAACACTCTTTCTGTAGTATCTGGAAGTGAACATTAGGACAGCTTTCAGCTCTATGGTGAGAAAGGAAATATCTTCAAATAAAAACTAGACAGAAGCATTCTCATAAACTTGTTTGTGATGTGTGAACTCAGCTAACAGAGGTGGATCTTTCTTTTGATAGAGCAGTTCTGAAAAACACGTTTTGTTAAATCTGCAAGTGGACATTTGGATAGATTTGAAGATGTCGTTGGAAACGGGAATATCTTCATATCAAATCTAGACAGAAGCATTCTCAGAAACACCTTCGTGATGTTTGCAATCAAGTCACAGAGTTGAACCTTCCGTTTCATAGAGCAGGTTGGAAACACTCTTATTGTAGCATGTGCAAGTGGACATTTGGAGCGCCCTGAGGCCTACGGGGAAAAAGCAAATATCTTCCCATAACCACTAGACAGAAACATTCTCAGAAACTCCTTTATGACGTATGTACTCAACTAACAGAGAAGAACCTTCCTTTTGACAGAGCAGTTTTGATACACACTTTTTGTAGAATCTGCAAGTGCATATTTGGATAGCTGTGAAGATTTCGTTGGAAACGGGAATATCTTCCTATAAAATCTAGACAGAAGCATTCTCAGAAACTGCTCTGTGATGTCTGCATTCAAGTCACAGAGTTGAACATTGCCTTTCATAGAGCAGGTTTGAAATGATCTTTTTCTAGTATATGGAAGTGGACGTTTCAGACGGTTTGAGGCCCATGGTGATAAAGGGAATATCTTCCCCTACAAGCTAGAAAGAAGCATTCTGTGAAACTTGTTTGTGATGTGTGTACTCAACTGACAGAGTTGAACCTTTCTTTTTACAGAGCAGTTTTGAAACACTCTTTTTGTAGAATCTGCGAGGGGATATTTGGATAGATTTCAGGATTTCGTTGGAAACGGGAATATCTTCATATAAAATCTCGACAGAA
This sequence comes from Homo sapiens, assembly GCF_000001405.40. Lineage (NCBI taxonomy): Eukaryota > Metazoa > Chordata > Mammalia > Primates > Hominidae > Homo > Homo sapiens. The sequence goes on from NC_000021.9 coordinate 11,430,045, forward strand.
GCATTCTCAGAAACTTCTTTGTGATATGTGCATTCAAGTCAAAGAGTTGAATATTCCCTTTCACAGAGTAGGTTTGAAACACTCTTTTTGTAGTATCTGGAAGTGGACATTTGGAGCGCCTTGACGCCTACGGTGAAAAGGGAAATATCTTCCCATAAAAACTAGACAGAAGCAATCTCAGAATTTTCTTTGGGATATATGCACATAGCTAATAGAGTTGAACCTTTCTATTGACAGAGCAGTTTTGAAACAGTCTTTCTGTGGAATCTGCAAGTGGATATTTGGATAGCTTGGAGGATTTCGTTGGAAACGGGATTACGTATAAAAAGTAGACAGCAGCATCCTCAGAAACATCCTTGTGATGTGTGCATTCAAGTCACAGTAGTTGAACATTCCCTTTCGTACAGCAGTTTTGAAACACTCTTTCTGTAGTATCTGGAAGTGAACTTTAGGACAGCTTTCAGGTCTATAGTGAGAAAGGATATATCTTCAAATAAAAACTAGACAGAAGCATCCTCAGAAACTTCTTTGTGATGTGTGCATTCAAGTCACAGTAGTTGAACATTCCCTTTCGTACAGCAGTTTTGAAACACTCTTTCTGTAGTATCTGGAAGTGAACATTAGGACAGCTTTCAGGTCTATGGTGAGAAAGGAAATATCTTCAAATAAAAACTACACAGAAGCATTCTCAGAAACGTCTTTGTGATGTTTGCATTCAACTCATAGAGTTGAACATTCCCTTTCAGAGAGCAGCTTTGAAGCACTCTTTTTGTAGCATGTGCAAGTGGACATTTGGAGCGCCCTGAGGCCTACGGGGAAAAAGCAAATATCTTCCCATAACCACAAGACAGAAACATTCTCAGAAACTCCTTTATGACGTATGCACTCACCTAACAGAGAAGAAACTTCCTTTTGACAGAGCAGTTTTGATACACTCTTTTTGTAGAATCTGCAAGTGGATATTTGGATAGCTGTGAAGATTTCGCTGGAAACGGGAATATCTTCCTATAAAATCTAGACAGAAGCATTCTGTGAAACTTGTTTGTGATGTGTGTACTCAACTAACAGAGTTGAACCTTTGTTTTTACAGAGCAGTTTTGAAACACTCTTTTTGTAGAATCTGCGAGGGGATATTTGGATAGATTTCAGGATTTCGTTGGAAACGGGAATATCTTCATATAAAATCTCGACAGAAGCATTCTCAGAAACTTCTTTGTGATATGTGCATTCAAGTCACAGAGTTGAATATTCCCTTTCACAGAGTAGGTTTGAAACACTCTTTTTGTAGAATCTGCGAGGGGATATTTGGATAGATTTCAGGATTTCGTTGGAAACGGGAATATCTTCATATAAAATCTCGACGGAAGCATTCTCTGAAACTTCTTTGTGATATGTGCATTCAAGTCACAGAGTTGAATATTCCCTTTCACAGAGTAGGTTTGAAACACTCTTTTTGTAGTATCTGGAAGTGGACATTTGGAGCGCCTTGACGCCTACGGTGAAAAGGGAAATATCTTCCCATAAAAACTAGACAGAAGCAAACTCAGAATCTTCTTTGTGATATATGCACGCAGCTAACAGAGTTGAACCTTTCTATTGACTGAGCAGATTTGAAACAGTCTTTCTGTGGAATCTGCAAGTGGATATTTGGATAGATTGGAGGATTTCGTTGGAAACGGGATTACGTATAAAAAGTACACAGCCGCATCCTCAGAAACATCTTTGTGATGTGTGCATTCAAGTCACAGAGTTGAACATTCCCTTTCGTACAGCAGTTTTGAAACACTCTTTCTGTAGTATCTGGAAGTGAACATTAGGACAGCTTTCAGGTCTATGGTGAGAAAGGAAATATCTTCAAATAAAAACTAGACAGAAGCATTCTCAAAAACTTGTTTGTGATGTGTGAACTCAGCTAACAGAGGTGGATCTTTCTTTTGATAGAGCAGTTCTGAAAAACACTTTTTGTTGAATCTGCAAGTGGACATTTGGATAGATTTGAAGATTTCGTTGGAAACGGGAATATCTTCATATCAAATCTAGACAGAAGCATTCCCAGAAACGTCTTTGTGATGTTTGCATTCAACTCATAGGGTTGAACATTCCCTTTCAGAGAGCAGCTTTGAAGCACTCTTTTTGTAGTATGTGCAAGTGGATATTTGGAGCGCTCTGAGGCCTACGGTGAAAAAGCAAATATCTTCCCATAACCACTAGACAGAAACATTCTCAGAAACTCCTTTATGACGTATGCACTCACCTAACAGAGAAGAACCTTCCTTTTGACAGAGCAGTTTTGATACACTCTTTTTGTAGAATCTGCAAGTGGATATTTGGATAGCTGTGAAGGTTTCGTTGGAAACGGAAATATCTTCCTATAAAATCTAGACAGAAGCATTCTCAGAAACTGCTCTGTGATGTCTGCTTTCAAGTCACAGAGTTGAACATTGCCTTTCATAGAGCAGGTTTGAAACGCTCTTTTTGTAGTATATGGAAGTGGATGTTTCGGACGGTTGGAGGCCCATGGTGATAAAGGGAATATCTTCCCCTACGAGCTAGAAAGAAGCATTGTGTGAAACTTGTTTGTGATGTGTGTACTCAACTAACAGAGTTGAACCTTTCTTTTTACAGAGCAGTTTTGAAACACTCTTTTTGTAGAATCTGCGAGGGGATATTTGGATACATTTCGGGATTTCGTTGGAAACGGGAATATCTTCATATAAAATCTCGACAGAAGCATTCTCAGAAACTTTCCTTGTGATATGTGCATTCAAGTCACAGAGTTGAATATTCCCTTTCACAGAGTAGGTTTGAAACACTCTTTTTGTAGTATCTGGAAGTGGACATTTGGAGCGCCTTGACGCCTACGGTGAAAAGGGAAATATCTTCCCATCAAAACTAGACAGAAGCAATCTCAGAATCTTCTTTGGGATATATGCACGCAGCTAACAGAGTTGAACCTTTCTATTGACAGAGCAGTTTTGAAACAGTCTTTCTGTGGAATCTGCAAGTGGATATTTGGATAGCTTGGAGGATTTCGTTGGAAACGGGATTACGTATCAAATGTAGACAGCAGCATCCTCAGTAAACATCCTTGTGATGTGTGCATTCAAGTCACAGAGTTGAACATTCCCTTTCGTACAGCAGTTTTGAAACACTCTTTCTGTAGTATCTGGAAGTGAACTTTAGGACAGCTTTCAGGTCTATAGTGAGAAAGGATATATCTTCAAATAAAAACTAGACAGAAGCATTCTCATAAACTTGTTTGTGATGTGTGAACTCAGCTAGGAGACGTGGATCTTTCTTTTGATAGAGCAGTTCTGAAAAACACGTTTTGTTGAATCTGCAAGTGGACATTTGGATAGATTTGAAGATTTCGTTGGAAACGGGAATATCTTCATATCAAATCTAGACAGAAGCATTCTCAGAAACGTCTTTGTGATGTTTGCATTCAACTCATAGAGTTGAACATTCCGTTTCAGAGAGCAGGTTTGAAGCACTCTTTTTGTAGTATGTGCAAGTGGATATTTGGAGCGCTCTGAGGCCTACGGTGAAAAAGCAAATATCTTCCCATAATCACTAGACAGAAACATTCTCAGAAACTCCTTTATGACGTATGCACTCACCTAACAGAGAAGAACCTTCCTTTTGACAGAGCAGTTTTGATACACTCTTTTTGTAGAATCTGCAAGTGGATATTTGGGATAGCTGTGAAGATTTCGTTGGAAACGGGCATATCTTCCTATAAAATCTAGACAGAAGCATTCTCAGAAACTGCTCTGTGATGTCTGCATTCAAGTAACAGAGTTGAACATTGCCTTTCATAGAGCAGGTTTGAAACGCTCTTTTTGTAGTATATGGAAGTGGACTTTTCGGACGGTTTGAGGCCCATGGTGATAAAGGGAATATCTTCCCCTACAAGCTAGAAAGAAGCATTGTGTGAAACTTGTTTGTGATGTGTGTACTCAACTGACAGATTTGAACCTTTCTTTTTACAGAGCAGTTTTGAAACACTCTTTTTGTAGAATCTGCGAGGGGATATTTGGATAGATTTCAGGATTTCGTTGGAAACGGGAATATCTTCATATAAAATCTCGACAGATGCATTCTCAGAAACTTCTTTGTGATATGTGCATTCTAGTCACAGAGTTGAATATTCCCTTTCACAGAGTAGGTTTGAAACACTCTTTTTGTAGTATCTGGAAGTGGACATTTGGAGCGCCTTGACGCCTACGGTGAAAAGGGAAATATCTTCCCATGAAAACTAGACAGAAGCAATCTCAGAATCTTCTTTGGGATATATGCACGCAGCTAACAGAGTTGAACCTTTCTATTGACAGAGCAGTTTTGAAACAGTCTTTCTGTGGAATCTGCAAGTGGATATTTGGATAGCTTGGAGGATTTCGTTGGAAACGGGATTACGTATAAAAATTAGACAGCAGCATCCTCAGAAACTTCCTTGTAATGTGTGCATTCAAGTCACAGAGTTGAACATTCCCTTTCCTACAGCAGTTTTGAAACACTCTTTCTGAAGTATCTGGAAGTGAACTTTAGGAGAGCTTTCATGTCTATAGTGAGAAAGGCTATATCTTCAAATAAAAAATAGACAGAAGCATTTTTAAAAACTTGTTTGTGATGTGTGAACTCAACTAACAGAGGTGGATCTTTCTTTCGATACAGCAGTTTTGAAAAACACTTTTTGTTGAATCTGCAAGTGGACATTTGGATAGATTGGAAGATTTCTTTGGAAACGGGAATATCTTCATATCAAATCTAGACAGAAGCATTCTCAGCAAACGTCTTTGTGATGTTTGCATTCAACCCATAGAGTTGAACATTCCCTTTCAGAGAGCAGCTTTGAAGCACTCTTTTTGTAGTATGTGCAAGGGGATATTTGGAGCGCTCTGAGGCCTAAGGTGAAAAAGCAAATATCTTCCCATAACCACTAGACAGAAACATTCTCAGAAACTCCTTTATGACGTATGCACTCACCTAACAGAGAAGAACCTTCCTTTTGACAGAGCAGTTTTGATACACTCTTTTTGTAGAATCTGCAAGTGGATATTTGGATAGCTGTGAAGATTTCGTTGGAAACGGGAATAACTTCCTATAAAATGTAGACAGAAGCATTCTCAGAAACTGCTCTGTGATGTCTGCATTCAAGTCACAGAGTTGAACATTGCCTTTCATAGAGCAGGTTTGAAACGCTCTTTTTGTAGTATATGGAAGTGGACGTTTCGGACGGTTTGAGGCCCATGGTGATAAAGGGAATATCTTCCCCTACAAGCTAGAAGGAAGCATTCTGTGAAACTTGTTTGTGATGTGTGTACTCAGCTAATAGAGTTGAACCTTTCTTTATACAGAGCAGTTTTGAAACACTCTTTTTGTAGAATCTGCGAGGGGATATTTGGATAGATTTCAGGATTTCGTTGGAAACGGGAATATCTTCATATAAAATCTCGACAGAAGCATTCTCAGAAACTTCTTTGTGATATCTGCATTCAAGTCACAGAGTTGAATATTCCCTTTCACAGAGTAGGTTTGAAACACTCTTTTTGTAGTATTTGGATGTGGACATTTTGAGCGCCTTGACGCCTACGGTGAAAAAGGAAATATCTTCCCATAAAAACTAGACAGAAGCAATCTCCGAATCTTCTTTGGGATGTATGCACGCAGCTAACAGAGTTGAACCTTTCTATTGACAGAGCAGTTTTGAAACAGTCTTTCTGTGGAATCTGCAAGTGGATATTTGGATAGCTTGGAGGATTTCGTTGGAAACGGGATTACGTATAAAAAGTAGACAGCAGCATTCTCAGAAACATCTTTGTGATGTGTGCATTCAAGTCAAAGTGTTGAACATTCCCTTTCGTACAGCAGGTTTGAAACACTCTTTCTGTAGTATCTGGAAGTGAACGGGACGAGAGCTTTCAGGCCTATAGTGAGAAAGGAGATATCTTCAAATAAAAACTAGACAGAAGCATTCTCATAAACTTGTTTGTGATGTGTGAACTCAGCTAACAGAGGTGGATCTTTCTTTTGATAGAGCAGTTCTGAAAAACACTTTTTGTTGAATCTGCAAGTGGACATTTTGATAGATATGAAGATTTCGTTGGAAACGGGAATATCTTCATATCAAATCTAGACAGAAGCATTCTCAGAAACGTCTTTGTGATGTTTGCATTGAACTCATAGAGTTGAACATTCCGTTTCAGAGACCAGCTTTGAAGCACTCTTTTTGTAGTATGTGCAAGTGGATATTTGGAGCGCTCTGAGGCCTACGGTGAAAAAGCAAATATCTTCCCATAACCACTAGACAGAAACATTCTCAGAAACTCCTTTATGACGTATGTACTCAACTAACAGAGAAGAACCTTCCTTTTGACAGAGCAGTTTTGATAAACTCATTTTGTAGAATCTGCAAGTGGATATTTGGATAGCTGTGAAGATTTCGCTGGAAACGGGAGTATCTTCCTATAAAATCTAGACAGAAGCATTCTCAGAAACTGCTCTGTGATGTCTGCATTCAAGTCACAGAGTTGAACATTGCCTTTCATAGAGCAGGTTTGAAATGCTCTTTTTGTAGTATATGGAAGTTGACGTTTCGGACGGTTTGAGGCCCATGGTGATAAAGGGAATATCTTCCCCTACAAGCTAGAAAGAAGCATTCTGTGAAACTTGTTTGTGATGTGTGTACTCAACTAACAGAGTTGAACCTTTCTTTTCACAGAGCAGTTTTGAAACACTCTTTTTGTAGAATCTGCGAGGGGATATTTGGATAGATTTCAGGATTTCGTTGGGAACGGGAATATCTTCATATAAAATCTCGACAGAAGCATTCTCAGAAACTTCCTTGTGATATGTGCATTCAAGTCACAGTGTTGAATATTCCCTTTCACAGAGTAGGTTTGAAACACTCTTTTTGTAGTATCTGGAAGTGGACATTTGGAGCGCCTTGACGCCTACGGTGAAAAGGGAAATATCTTCCCATAAAAACTAGACAGAAGCAATCTCAGAATCTTCTTTGGGATATATGTACGCAGCTAATAGAGTTGAACCTTTCTATTGACAGAGCAGTTTTGAAACAGTCTTTCTGTGGAATCTGCAAGTGGATATTTGGATACCTTGGAGGATTTCGTTGGAAACGGGATTACGTATAAAAAGTAGACAGCAGCATCCTCAGAAACTTCTTTGTGATGTGTGCATTCAAGTCACAGAGTTGAACATTCCCTTTCGTACAGCAGTTTTGAAACACTCTTTCTGTAGTATCTGGAAGTGAACATTAGGACAACTTTCAGCTCTATGGTGAGAAAGGAAATATCTTCAAATAAAAACTAGACAGAAGCATTCTCATAAACTTGTTTGTGATGTGTGAACTCAGCTAACGGAGGTGGATCTTTCTTTTGATAGAGCAGTTCTGAAAAACACTTTTTGTTGAATCTGCAAGTGGACATTTGGATAGATTTGAAGATTTCGTTGGAAACGGGAATATCTTCATATCAAATCTAGACAGAAGCTTCTCAGAAACGTCTTTGTGATGTTTGCATTCAACTCATAGAGTTGAACATTCCCTTTCAGAGAGCAGCTTTGAAGCACTGTTTTTGTAGTATGTGCAAGTGGATATTTGGAGCGCTCTGAGGCCTAAGGTGAAAAAGCAAATATCTTCCCATAACCACTAGACAGAAACATTCTCAGAAACTCCTTTATGACGTATGCACTCACCTAACAGAGAAGAACCTTCCTTTAGACAGAGCAGTTTTGATACACTCTTTTTGTAGAATCTGCAAGTGGATATTTGGATAGCTGTGAAGATTTCGTTGGAAACGGGAATATCTTCCTATAAAATCTAGACAGAAGCATTCTCAGAAACTGCTCTGTGATGTCTGCATTCAAGTTACAGAGTTGAACATTGCCTTTCATAGAGCAGGTTTGAAACGCTCTTTTTGTAGTATATGGAAGTGGACGTTTCGGACGGTTTGAGGCCCATGGTGATAAAGGGAATATCTTCCCCTACAAGCTAGAAAGAAGCATTCTGTGAAACTTGTTTGTGATGTGTGTACTCAACTAACAGAGTTGAACCTTTCTTTTTACAGAGCAGTTTTGAAACACTCTTTTTGTAGAATCTGCGAGGGGATATTTGGATAGATTTCAGGATTTCGTTGGAAACGGGAATATCTTCATATAAAATCTCGACAGAAGCATTCTCAGAAACTACTTTGTGATATCTGCATTCAAGTCACAGAGTTGAATATTCCCTTTCACAGAGTAGGTTTGAAACACTCTTTTTGTAGTATCTGGAAGTGGACATTTGGAGCGCCTTGACACCTACGGTGAAAAAGGGAAATATCTTCCCATAAAAACTAGACAGAAGGAATCTCAGAATCTTCTTTGGGATATATGCACGCAGCTAACAGAGTTGAACCTTTCTATTGATAGAGCAGTTTAGAAACAGTCTTTCTGTGGAATCTGCAAGTGGATATTTGGATAGCTTGGAGGATTTCGTTGGAAACGGGATTACGTATAAAAAGTAGACAGCAGCATCCTCAGAAACTTCTTTGTGATGTGTGCATTCAAGTCACAGAGTTGAACATTCCCTTTCGTACAGCAGTTTTGAAACACTCTTTCTGTAGTATCCGGAAGTGAACATTAGGACAGCTTTCAGCTCTATGGTGAGAAAGGAAATATCTTCAAATAAAAACTAGACAGAAGCATTCTCATAAACTTGTTTGTGATGTGAGAACTCAGCTAACAGAGGTGGATCTTTCTTTTGATAGAGCAGTTCTGAAAAACACTTTTTGTTGAATCTGCAAGTGGACATTTGGATAGATTTGAAGATTTCGTTGGAAACGGGAATATCTTCATATCAAATCTAGACAGAAGCATTCTCAGAAACGTCTTTGTGATGTTTGCATTCAACTCATAGAGTTGAACATTCCGTTTCAGAGAGCAGCTTTGAAGCACTCTTTTTGTAGTATGTGCAAGTGGATATTTGGTGCGCTCTGAGGCCTACGGTGAAAAAGCAAATATCTTCCCATAACCACTAGACAGAAACATTCTCAGAAACTCCTTTATGACGTATGCACTCACCTAACAGAGAAGAACCTTCCTTTTGACAGAGCAGTTTTGATACACTCTTTTTGTAGAATCTGCAAGTGGATATTTGAATAGCATTGAAGATTTCGTTGGAAACGGGAATATCTTCGTATAAAATCTAGACAGCAGCATTCTGAGAAACTGCTCTGTGATGTCTGCATTCAAGTCACAGAGTTGAACATTGCCTTTCATAGAGCAGGTTTGAAACGCTCTTTTTGTAGTATATGGAAGTGGACGTTTCGGACGGTTTGAGGCCCATGGTGATAAAGGGAATATCTTCCCCTACAAGCTAGAAAGAAGCATTCTGTGAAACTTGTTTGTGATGTGTGTACTCAACTAACAGAGTTGAACCTTTCTTTTTACAGAGCAGTTTTGAAACACTCTTTTTGTAGAATCTGCGAGGGGATATTTGGATACATTTCAGCATTTTGTTGGAAACGGGAATATCTTCATATAAAATCTCGACAGAAGCATTCTCAGAAACTTATTTGTGATATCTGCATTCAAGTCACAGAGTTGAATATTCCCTTTCACAGAGTAGGTTTGAAACACTCTTTGTAGTATCTGGAAGTGGACATTTGGAGCGCCTTGACGCCTACGGTGAAAAGGGAAATATCTTCCCATAAAAACAAGACAGAAGCAATCTCAGAATCTTCTTTGGGATATATGCACGCAGCTAACAGAGTTGAACCTTTCTATTGACAGAGCAGTTTTGAAACAGTCTTTCTGTGGAATCTGCAAGTGGATATTTGGATAGATTGGAGGATTTCGTTGGAAAGGGGATTACGTATCAAAAGTAGACAGCAGCATCCTCAGAAACTTCTTTGTGATGTGTGCATTCAAGTCACAGAGTTGAACATTCCCTTTCGTACAGCAGTTTTGAAACACTCTTTCTGTAGCATCTGGAAGTAAACATTAGGACAGCTTTCAGGTCTATGGTGAGAAAGGAAATATCTTCAAATAAAAACTAGACAGAAGCATTCTCATAAACTTGTTTGTGATGTCTGAACTCAGCTAACAGAGGTGGATCTTTCTTTTGATAGAGCAGTTCTGAAAAACACTTTTTGTTGAATCTGCAAGTGGACATTTGGATAGATTTGAAGATTTCGTTGGAAACGGGAATATCTTCATATCAATCTAGACAGAAGCATTCTCAGAAACGTCTTTGTGATGTTTGCATTCAACTCATAGAGTTGAACATTCCGTTTCAGAGAGCAGGTTTGAAGCACTCTTTTTGTAGTATGTGCAAGTGGATATTTGGAGCGCTCTGAGGTCTACGGTGAAAAAGCAAATATCTTCCCATAACCACTAGACAGAAACATTCTCAGAAACTTCTTTATGACGTATGTACTCAACTAGCAGAGAAGAACTTTCCTTTTGACAGAGCATTTTTGATACACTCTTTTTGTACTATCTGCAAGTGGATATTGGGATAGCTGTGAAGATTTCGTTGGAAACGGGAATATCTTCCTATAAAGTCTGGACAGAAGCATTCTCAGAAACTGCTCTGTGATGTCTGGATTCAAGTCACAGAGTTGAACATTGCCTTTCATAGAGCAGGTTTCAAACACTCTTTTTTTAGTATATGGAAGTGGATGTTTCGGACGGTTTGAGGTCCATGGTGATACAGGGAATATCTTCCCCTACAAGCTAGAAAGAAGCATTCTGTGAAACTTGTTTGTGATGTGTGTACTCAACTAACAGAGTTGAACCTTTCTTTTTACAGAGCAGTTTTGAAACACTCTTTTTGTAGAATCTGCGAGGGGATATTTGGATAGATTTCAGGATTTCATTGGAAACGGGAATATCTTCATAGAAAATCTCGACAGAAGCATTCTCAGAAACTTCTTTGTGATATGTGCATTCAAGTCACAGAGTTGAATATTCCCTTTCACAGAGTAGGTTTGAAACACTCTTTTTGTAGTATCTGGAAGTGGACATTTGGAGCGCCTTGACGCCTACGGTGAAAAGGGAAATATCTTCTCATAAAAAGTAGACAGAAGCAATCTCAGAATCTTCTTTGGGATATATGCACGCAGCTAACAGAGTTGAACCTTTCTATTGACAGAGCAGTTTTGAAACAGTCTTTCTGTGGAATCTGCAAGTGGATATTTGGATAGCTTTGAGGATTTCGTTGGAAACGGGATTACGTACAAAAAGTAGACAGCAGCATCCTCAGAAACTTCTTTGTGATGTATGCATTCAAGTCACAGAGTTGAACATTCCCTTTCGTACAGCAGTTTTGAAACACTCTTTCTGTAGTATCTGGAAGTGAACATTAGGACAGCTTTCAGGTCTATGGTGAGAAAGGAAATATCTTCAAATAAAAACTAGACAGAAGCATTCTCATAAACTTGTTTGTGATGTGTGAACTCAGCTAAGAGACGTGGATCTTTCTTTTGATAGAGCAGTTCTGAAAAACACTTTTTGTTGAATCTGCAAGTGGACATTTGGGTAGATTTGAAGATTTCTTTGGAAACGGGAATATCTTCATATCAAATCTAGACAGAAGCATTCTCAGAAACGTCTTTGTGATGTTTGCATTCAACTCATAGAGTTGAACATTCCCTTTCAGAGAGCAGCTTTGAAGCACTCTTTTTGTAGTATGTGCAAGTGGATATTTGGAGCGCTCTGAGGCCTATAGGGAAAAAGCAAATATCTTCCCATAACCACTAGACAGAAACATTCTCAGAAACTCCTTTATGACGTATGTACTCAACTAACAGAGAAGAACCTTCTTTTTGACAGAGCAGTTTTGATACACTCTTTTTGTAGAATCTGCAAGTGGATATTTGGATAGCTGTGAAGATTTCGTTGGAAACGGGAATATCTTCCTATAAAATCTAGACAGAAGCATTCTCAGAAACTGCTCTGTGATGTCTGCATTCAAGTCACAGAGTTGAACATTGCCTTTCATAGAGCAGGTTTGAAACGCTCTTTTTGTAGTATATGGAAGTGGATGTTTCGGACGGTTTGAGGCCCATGGTGATAAAGGGAATATCTTCCCCTACAAGCTAGAAAGAAGCATTCTGTGAAACTTGTTTGTGATGTGTGTACTCAACTAACAGAGTTGAACCTTTCTTTTTACAGAGCAGTTTTGAAACACTCTTTTTGTAGAATCTGCGAGGGGATATTTGGATAGATTTCAAGATTTCGTTGGAAACGGGAATATCTTCATAAAAAATCTCGACAGAAGCATTCTCAGAAACTTCTTTGTGATATGTGCATTCAAGTCAGAGAGTTGAATATTCCCTTTCACAGAGTAGGTTTGAAACACTCTTTTTGTAGTATCTGGAAGTGGACATTTTGAGCACCTTGACGCCTACGGTGAAAAGGGAAATATCTTCTCATAAAAAGTAGACAGAAGCAATCTCAGAATCTTCTTTGGGATATATGCACGCAGCTAACAGATTTGAACCTTTCTATTGACAGAGCAGTTTTGAAACAGTCTTTCTGTGGAATCTGCAAGTGGATATTTGGATAGCTTGGAGGATTTCGTTGGAAACGGGATTACGTATAAAAAGTAGACAGCAGCATCCTCAGAAACTTCTTTGTGATGTGTGCATTCAAGTCACAGAGTTGAACATTCCCTTTCGTACAGCAGTTTTGAAACACTCTTTCTGTAGTATCTGTAAGTGAACATTAGGACAGTTTTCAGGTCTATGGTGAGAAAGGAAATATCTTCAAATAAAAACTAGACAGAAGCATTCTCATAAACTTGTTTGTGATGTGTGAACTCAGCTAACAGAGATGGATCTTTCTTTTGATAGAGCAGTTCGGAAAAACACTTTTTGTTGAATCTGCAAGTGGACATTTGGATAGATTTGAAGATTTCGTTGGAAACGGGAATATCTTCATATCAAATCTAGACAGAAGCATTCTCAGAAACGTCTTTGTGATGTTTGCATTCAACTCATAGAGTTGAACATTCCGTTTCAGAGAGCAGCTTTGAAGCACTCTTTTTGTAGTGTGTGCAAGTGGATATTTGGAGCGCTGTGAGGCCTACGGTGAAAAAGCAAATATCTTCCCATAACCACTAGACAGAAACATTCTCAGAAACTCTTTTATGACGTATGCACTCACCTAGCAGAGAAGAACCTTCCTTTTGACAGAGCAGTTTTGATACACTCCTTTTGTAGAATCTGCAAGTGGATATTTGGATAGCTGTGAAGATTTCGTTGGAAACGGGAATATCTTCCTATAAAATCTAGACAGAAGCATTCTCAAGAAACTGCTCTGTGATGTCTGCATTCAAGTCACAGAGTTGAACATTGCCTTTCATAGAGCAGGTTTGGAATGCTCTTTTTGCAGTATATGGAAGTGGACGTTTCAGACGGTTTGAGGCCCATGGTGATAAAGGGAATATCTTCCCCTACAAGCTAGAAAGAAGCATTCTGTGATACTTGTTTGTGATGTGTGTACTCAACTAACAGAGTTGAACCTTTCTTTTTACAGAGCAGTGTTGAAACACTCTTTTTGTAGAATCTGCGAGGGGATATTTGGATAGATTTCAGGATTTCGTTGGAAACGGGAATATCTTCATATAAAATCTCGACGGAAGCATTCTCAGAAACATCTTTGTGATATCTGCATTCAAGTCACAGAGTTGAATATTCCCTTTCACCAAGTAGGTTTGAAACACTCTTTTTGTAGTATCTGGAAGTGGACATTGGGAGCGCCTTGACACCTACGGTGAAAAGGGAAATATCTTCCCATAAAAACTAGACAGAAGCAATCTCAGAATCTTCTTTGGGATATATGCACGCAGCTAACAGAGTTTAACCTTTCTATTGACAGAGCAGTTTTGAAACAGTGTTTCTGTGGAATCTGCAAGTGGATATTTGGATAGATTGGAGGATTTCGTTGGAAACGGGATTACATATAAAAAGTAGACAGCAGCATCCTCAGAAACTTCTTTGTGATGTGTGCATTCAAGTCACAGAGTTGAACATTCCCTTTCGTACAGCAGTTTTGAAACACTCTTTCTGTAGTATCTGGAAGTGAACATTAGGACAGCTTTCAGCTCTATGGTGAGAAAGGAAATATCTTCAAATAAAAACTGGACAGAAGCATTCTCATAAACTTGCTTGTGATGTGTGAACTCAGCTAACAGAGGTGGATCTTTCTTTTGATAGAGCAGTTCTGAAAAACACTTTTTGTTGAATCTGCAAGTGGACATTTGGATAGATTTGAAGATTTTGTTGGAAACGGGAATATCTTCATATCAAGTCTAGACAGAAGCATTCTCAGAAACGTCTTTGTGATGTTAGCATTCAACTCATAGAGTTGAACATTCCCTTTCAGAGAGCAGCTTTGAAGCACTCTTTTTGTAGTACGTTGAAGTGGACATTTGGAGCGCTTTGAGGCCTACAGGGAAAAAGCAAATATCTTCCCATAACCACTAGACAGGAACATTCTCAGAAACTTCTTTATGACGTATGTACTCAACTAGCAGAGAAGAACTTTCCTTTTGACAGAGCATTTTTGATACACTCTTTTTGTACTATCTGCAAGTGGATATTTGGATAGCTGTGAAGATTTCGATGGAAACGGGAATATCTTCCTATAAAGTCTGGACAGAAGCATTCTCAGAAACTGCTCTGTGATGTCTGCATTCAAGTCACAGAGTTGAACATTGCCTTTCATAGAGCAGGTTTCAAACACTCTTTTTTTAGTATATGGAAGTGGACGATTCGGATGGTTTGAGGATGATGGTGATAAAGGAAATATCTTCCCCTACAAGCTAGAAAGAAGCATTGTGTGAAACTTGTTTGGGATGTGTGTACTCAACTAACAGAGTTGAACCTTTCTTTTTACAGAGCAGTTTTGAAACACTCTTTTTGTAGAATCTGCGAGGGGATATTTGGATAGATTTCAGGATTTCGTTGGAAACGGGAATATCTTCATATAAAATCTCGACAGAAGCATTCTCAGAAACTTCTTTGTGATATCTGCATTCAAGTCACAGAGTTGAATATTCCCTTTCACAGTGTAGGTTTGAAACACTCTTTTGTAGTATCTGGAAGTATACATTTGGAGCGCCTTGACGCCTACGGTGAAAAGGGAAACATCTTCCCATAAAAACTAGACAGAAGCAATCTCAGAATCTTCTTTGGGATATATGCACGCAGCTAACAGAGTTGAACCTTTCTATTGACAGAGCAGTTTTGAAACAGTCTTTCTGTGGAATCTGCAAGTGGATATTTGGTTAGATTGGAGGATTTCGTTGGAAACGGGATTACGTATAAAAAGTAGACAGCAGCATTCTCAGAAACTTCTTTGTGATGTGTGCATTCAAGTCACAGAGTTGAACATTCCCTTTCGTACAGCAGTTTTGAAACACTCTTTCTGTAGTATCTGGAAGTGAACATTAGGACAGCTTTCAGGTCTATGGTGAGAAAGGAAATATCTTCAAATAAAAACTAGACAGAAAGCATTCTCATAAACTTGTTTGTGATGTGTGAACTCAGCTAACAGAGGTGGATCTTTCTTTTGATAGAGCAGTTCTGAAAAACACTTTTTGTTGAATCTGCAAGTGGACATTTGGATAGATTTGAAGATTTCTTTGGAAACGGGAATATCTTCATATCAAATCTAGACAGAAGCATTCTCAGAAACGTCTTTGTGATGTTTGCATTCAACTCACAGAGTTGAACATTCCCTTTCAGAGAGCAGCTTTGAAGCACTCTTTTTGTAGTATGTGCAAGGGGATATTTGGAGCGCTCTGAGGCCTACGGTGAAAAAGCAAATATCTTCCCATAACCACTAGACAGAAAGATTCTCAGAAACTCCTTTATGACGTATGTACTCAACTAACAGAGAAGAACCTTCCTTTTGACAGAGCAGTTTTGATACACTCTTTTTGTAGAATCTGCAAGTGGATATTTGGATAGCTGTGAAGATTTCGTTGGAAACGGGAATATCTTCCTATAAAATCTAGACAGAAGCATTCTCAGAAACTGCTCTGTGATGTCTGCATTCAAGTCACAGAGTTGAACATTGCCTTTCATAGAGCAGGTTTGAAACGCTCTTTTTGTAGTATATGGAAGTGGATGTTTCGGACGGTTGGAGGCCCATGGTGATAAAGGGAATATCTTCCCCTACAAGCTAGAAAGTAGCATTCTGTGAAACTTGTTTGTGATGTGTGTACTCAACTAACAGAGTTGAACCTTTCTTTTTACAGAGCGGTTTTGAAACACTCTTTTTGTAGAATCTGCGAGGGGATATTTGGATAGATTTCAGGATTTCGTTGGAAACGGGAATATCTTCATAGAAAATCTCGACAGAAGCATTCTCAGAAACTTCTTTGTGATATCTGCATTCAAGTCACAGAGTTGAATATTCCCTTTCACAGAGTAGGTTTGAAACACTCTTTTTGTAGCATCTGGAAGTGGACATTTGGAGCGCCTTGACACCTACGGTGAAAAGGGAAATATTTTCCCATAAAAACTAGACAGAAGCAATCTCAGAATCTTCTTTGGGATATATGCACGCAGGTAACAGAGTTGAACCTTTCTATTGACAGAGCAGTTTTGAAACAGTCTTTCTGTGGAATCTGCAAGTGGATATTTGGATAGCTTGGAGGATTTCGTTGGAAACGGGATTACGTATAAAAAGTAGAAAGCAGGATCCTCAGAAACTTCTTTGTGATGTGTGCATTCAAGTCACAGAGTTGAACATTCCCTTTCGTACAGCAGTTTTGAAACACTCTTTCTGTAGTATCTGGAAGTGAACATTACGACAGCTTTCAGGTCTATGGTGAGAAAGGAAATATCTTCAAATAAAAACTAGACAGAAGCATTCTCATAAACTTGTTTGTGATGTGTGAACTCAGCTAACAGAGGTGGATCTTTCTTTTGATAGAGCAGTTCTGAAAAACACTTTTTGTTGAATCTGCAAGTGGGCATTTGGATAGATTTGAAGATTTCAGTTGGAAACGGGAATATCTTCATATCAAATCTAGACAGAAGCATTCTCAGAAACGTCTTTGTGATGTTTGCATTCAACTCATAGAAGTTGAACATTCCGTTTCAGAGAGCAGCTTTGAAGCACTCTTTTTGTAGCATGTGCAAGTGGATATTTGGAGCGCTCTGAGGCCTACGGTGAAAAAGCAAATATCTTCCCATAACCAGTAGACAGAAACATTCTCAGAAACTCCTTTATGACGTGTGCACTCACCTAACAGAGAAGAACCTTCCTTTTGACAGAGCAGTTTTGATACACTCTTTTTGTAGAATCTGCAAGTGGATATTTGGATAGCTGTGAAGATTTCTTTGGAAACGGGAATATCTTCCTATAAAATCTAGACAGAAGCATTCTCAGAAACTGCTCTGTGATGTCTGCATTCAAGTCACAGAGTTGAACATTGCCTTTCATAGAGAAGGTTTGAAACGCTCTTTTTGTAGTATATGGATGTGGACGTTTCGGACGGTTTGAGGCCCATGGTGATAAAGGGAATATCTTCCCCTACCAGCTAGAAAGAAGCATTCTGTGAAACTTGTTTGTGATGTGTGTACTCAACTAACAGAGTTGAACCTTTCTTTTTACAGAGCAGTTTTGAAACACTCCTTTTGTAGAATCTGTGAGGGGATATTTGGATAGATTTCAGGATTTCGTTGGAAACGGGAATATCTTCATATAAAATCTCGACAGAAGCATTCTCAGAAACTTCTTTGTGATATGTGCATTCAAGTCACAGAGTTGAATATACCCTTTCACAGAGTAGGTTTGAAACACTCTTTTTGTAGTATCTGGAAGTGGACATTTGGAGCGCCTTGACGCCTACGGTGAAAAGGGAAATATCTTCCCATAAAAACTAGACAGAAGCAATCTCAGAATCTTCTTTGGGATATATGCACGCAGCTAACAGAGTTGAACCTTTCTATTGACAGAACAGTTTTGAAAGAGTCTTTCTGTGGAATCTGCAACTGGATATTTGGATAGCTTGGAGGATTTCGTTGGAAACGGGATTACGTATAATAAGTAGACAGCAGCATTCTCAGAAACTTCTTTGTGATGTGTGCATTCAAGTCACAGAGTTCAACATTCCCTTTCGTACAGCAGTTTTGAAACACTCTTTCTGTAGTATCTGGAAGTGAACATTAGGACAGCTTTCAGGTCTATGGTGAGAAAGGAAATATCTTCAAATAAAAACTAGACAGAAGCATTCTCATAAACTTGTTTGTGATGTGTGAACTCAGCTAACAGAGGTGGATCTTTCTTTTGATAGAGCAGTTCTGAAAAACACTTTCTGTTGAATCTGCAAGTGGACATTTGGATAGATTTGAAGATTTCGTTGGAAATGGGAATATCTTCATATCAAATCTAGACAGAAGCATTCTCGGAAACGTCTTTGT
Source organism: Homo sapiens (assembly GCF_000001405.40). Taxonomy (NCBI): domain Eukaryota; kingdom Metazoa; phylum Chordata; class Mammalia; order Primates; family Hominidae; genus Homo; species Homo sapiens. Next base: position 11,448,485 of record NC_000021.9, read on the forward strand.
CATGTTTGCATTCAACTCATAGAGTTGAACATTCCGTTTCAGAGAGCAGCTTTGAAGCACTCTTTTTGTAGTATGTGCAAGGGGATATTTGGAGCGCTGTGAGGCCTACGGTGAAAAAGCAAATATCTTCCCATAACCACTAGACAGAAACATTCTCAGAAACTCCTTTATGACGTATGTACTCAACTAACAGCGAAGAACCTTCCTTTTGACAGAGCAGTTTTGATACACTCTTTTTGTAGAATCTGCAAGTGGATATTTGGATAGCTGTGAAGATTTCGTTGGAAACGGGAATATCTTCCTATAAAATCTAGACAGAAGCATTCTCAGAAACTGCTGCTGTGATGTCTGCATTCAAGTCACAGAGTTGAACATTGCCTTTCATAGAGCAGGTTTGAAACGCTCTTTTTGTAGTATATGGAAGTGGACTTATCGGACGGTTTGAGGCCCATGGTGATAAAGGGAATATCTTCCCCTACAAGCTAGAAAGAAGCATTCTGTGAAACTTGTTTGTGATGTGTGTACTCAACTAACAGAGTTGTACCTTTCTTTTTACAGAGCAGTTTTGAAACACTCTTTTTGTAGAATCTGCGAGGGGATAATTGGATAGATTTCAGGATTTCATTGGAAACGGGAATATCTTCATATAAAATCTCGACAGAAGCATTCTCAGAAACTTCTTTGTGATATGTGCATTCAAGTCACAGAGTTGAATATTCCCTTTCACAGAGGAGGTTTGAAACACTCTTTTTGTAGTATCTGGAAGTGGACATTCGGAGCGCCTTGACGCCTACGGTGAAAAGGGAAATATCTTCCCATAAAAACTAGACAGAAGCAATCTCAGAATCTTCTTTGGGATATATGCACACAGCTAACAGAGTTGAACCTTTCTATTGACAGAGCAGTTTTGAAACAGTCTTTCTGTGGAATCTGCAAGTAGATATTTGGATAGATTGGAGGATTTCATTGGAAACGGGATTACGTATAAAAAGTAGACAGCAGCATCCTCAGAAACTTCTTTGTGATGTGTGCATTCAAGTCACAGAGTTGAACATTCCCTTTCGTACAGCAGTTTTGAAACACTCTTTCTGTAGTATCTGGAAGTGAACATTAGGACAGCTTTCAGGTCGATGGTGAGAAAGGCAATATCTTCAAATAAAAACTAGACAGAAGCATTCTCATAAACTTGTTTGTGATGTGTGAACTCAGCTTAGAGACGTGGCATCTTTCTTTTGATAGAGCAGTTCTGAAAAACACGTTTTGTTGAATCTGCAAGCGGACATTTGGATAGATTTGAAGATTTCGTTGGAAACGGGAATATCTTCATATCAAATCTAGACAGAAGCATTCTCAGAAACGTCTTTGTGATGTTTGCATTCAACTCATAGAGTTGAACATTCCCTTTCAGAGAGCAGCTTTGAAGCACTCTTTTTGTAGGATGTGCAAGGGGATATTTGGAGCGCTCTGAGGCCTAAGGTGAAAAAGCAAATATCTTCCCATAACCACTAGACAGAAACATTCTCAGAAACTCCTTTATGACGTATGCACTCACCTAACAGAGAAGAACCTTCCTTTTGACAGAGCAGTTTTGATACACTCTTTTTGTAGAATCTGCAAGTGGATATTTGGATAGCTGTGAAGATTTCGTTGGAATCGGGAATATCATCCTATAAAATCTAGACAGAAGCATTCTCAGAAACAGCTCTGTGATGTCTGCATTCAAGTCACAGAGTTGAACATTGCCTTTCATAGAGCAGGTTTGAAACGCTCTTTTTGAAGTATATGGAAGTGGACGTTTCGGACGGTTTGAGGCCCATGGTGATAAAGGGAATATCTTTCCCTACAAGCTACAAACAAGCATTCTGTGAAACTTGTTTGTGATGTGTGTACTCAATTAACAGAGTTGAACCTTACTTTTTAAAGAGCAGTTTTGAAACACTCTTTTTGTAGAATCTGCGAGGGGATATTTGGATAGATTTCAGGATTTCGTTGGAAACGGGAATATCTTCATATAAAATCTCGACAGAAGCATTCTCAGAAACTTCTTTGTGATATGTGCATTCAAGTCACAGAGTTGAATATTCCCTTTCACAGAGTAGGTTTGAAACACTCTTTTTGTAGTATCTGGAAGTGGACATTTGGAGCGCCTTGACACCTACGGTGCAAAGGGAAATATCTTCCCATAAAAACTAGACAGAAGTAATCTCAGAATCTTCTTTGGGATATATGCACGCAGCTAACAGAGTTGAACCTTTCTATTGACAGAGCAGTTTTGAAACAGTCTTTCTGTGGAATCTGCAAGTGGATATTTGGATGGCTTGGAGGATTTCGTTGGAAACGGGATTACGTATAAAAATTGGACAGCAGCATTCTCAGAAACTTCTTTGTGATGTGTGCATTCAAGTCAAAGTGTTGAACATTCCCTTTCGTACAGCAGTTTTGAAACACTCTTTCTGTAGTATCTGGAAGTGAACGTGATGAGAGCTTTCAGGTCTATGGTAAGAAAGGAAATATCTTCAAATAAAAACTAGACAGAAGCATTCTCATAAACTTGTTTGTGATGTGTGAACTCAGCTAACAGAGGTGGATCTTTCTTTTTATAGAGCAGTTCTGAAAAACACTTTTTGTTGAATCTGCAAGTGGACATTTGGATAGATTTGAAGATTTCGTTGGAAACGGGAATATCTTCATATCAAATCTAGACAGAAGCATTCTCAGAAACGTCTTTGGGATGTTTGCATTCAACTCATAGAGTTGAACATTCCGTTTCAGAGACCAGCTTTGAAGCACTCTTTTTGTAGTATGTGCAAGTGGATATTTGGAGCGCTCTGAGGCCTACGGTGAAAAAGCAAATATCTTCCCATAACCACTAGACAGAAACATTCTCAGAAACTCCTTTATGACGTATGTACTCAACTAACGGAGAAGAACCTTCCTTTTGACAGAGCAGTTTTGATACACTCTTTTTGTAGAATCTGCAAGTGGATATTTGGATAGCTGTGAAGATTTCGTTGGAAACGGGAATATCTTCCTGTAAAATCTAGACAGAAGCATTCTCAGGAACTGCTCTGCGATGTCTGTATTCAAGTCACAGAGTTGAACATTGCCTTTCATAGAGCAGGTTTGAAACGCTCTTTTTGTAGTATATGGAAGTGGACGTTTCGGACGGTTTGAGGCCCATGGTGATAAAGGGAATATCTTCCCCTACAAGCTAGAAAGAAGCATTCTGTGAAACTTGTTTGTGATGTGTGTACTCAACTAACAGAGTTGAACCTTTCTTTTTACAGAGCAGTTTTGAAACACTCTTTTTGTAGAATCTGCGATGGGATATTTGGATACATTTCAGCATTTCGTTGGAAACGGGAATATCTTCATATAAAATCTCGACAGAAGCATTCTCAGAAACTTCTTTGTGATATGTGCATTCAAGTCACAGAGTTGAATATTCCCTTTCACAGAGTAGGTTTGAAACACTCTTTTTGTAGTATCTGGAAGTGGACATTTGGAGCGCCTCGACGCCTACGGTGAAAAGGGCAATATCTTCCCATAAAAACTAGACAGAAGCAATCTCAGAATCTTCTTTGGGATATATGCACGCAGCTAACAGAGTTGAACCTTTCTATTGACAGAGCAGTTTTGAAACAGTCTTTCTGTGGAATCTGCAAGTGGATATTTGGATAGCTTGGAGGATTTCCTTGGAAACGGGATTACGTATAAAAAGTAGACAGCAGCATCCTCAGAAACTTCTTTGTGATGTGTGCATTCAAGTCACAGAGTTGAACATTCCCTTTCGTACAGCAGTTTTGAAACACTCTTTCTGTAGCATATGGAAGTGAACATTAGAACAGCTTTCAGGTCTATCGTGAGAAAGGAAATATCTTCAAATAAAAACTAGACAGAAGCATTCTGATAAACTTGTTTGTGAAGTGTGATCTCAGCTAACAGAGGTGGATCTTTCTTGTGATAGAGCAGTTCTGAAAAACACTTTGTTGAATCTGCAAGTGGACATTTGGATAGATTTGAAGATTTCGTTGGAAACGGGAATATCTTCATATCAAATCTAGACAGAAGCATTCTCAGAAACGTCTTTGTGATGTTTGCATTCAACTCATAGAGTTGAACATTCCGTTTCAGAGAGCAGCTTTGAAGCACACTTTTTGTAGTATGTGCAAGGGGATATTTGGAGCGCTCCGAGGCCTAAGGTGAAAAAGCAAATATCTTCCCATAACCACTAGACAGAAACATTGTCAGAAACTCCTTTATGACGTATGCACTCACCTAACAGAGAAGAACCTTCCTTTTGACAGAGCAGTTTTGATACACTCTTTTTGTAGAATCTGCAAGTGGATATTTGGATAGCTGTGAAGATTTCGTTGGAAACGGGAATATCTTCCTATAAAATCTAGACAGAAGCATTCTCAGAAACTGCTCTGTGATGTCTGCATTCAAGTCACAGAGTTGAACATTGCCTTTCATAGAGCAGGTTTGAAACGCTCTTTTTGTAGTATATGGAAGTGGACGTTTCGGACGGTATGAGGCCCATGGTGATAAAGGGAATATCTTCCCCTACAAGCTAGAAAGAAGCATTCTGTGAAACTTGTTTGTGATGTGTGTACTCAACTAACAGAGTTGAACCTTTCTTTTTACAGTGCAGTTTTGAAACACTCTTTTTGTAGAATCTGCGAGGGGATATTTGGATAGATTTCAGGATTTCGTTGGAAACGGGAGTATCTTCATATAAAATCTCGACAGAAGCATTCTCAGAAACTTCTTTGTGATATCTGCCTTTAAGTCACAGAGTTGAATATTCCCTTTCACAGAGTAGGTTTGAAACACTCTATTTGTAGTATCTGGAAGTGGACATTTGGAGCGCCTTGACACCTACGGTGAAAAGGGAAATATCTTCCCATAAAAACTAGACAGAAGCAATCTCAGAATCTTCTTTGGGATATATGCACGCAGCTAACAGAGTTGAACCTTTCTATTGACAGAGCAGTTTTGAAACAGTCTTTCTGTGGAATCTGCAAGTGGATATTTGGATAGCTTGGAGGATTTCGTTGGAAACGGGATTACGTATATAAAGTAGACCACAGCATCCTCAGAAACATCCTTGTGATGTGTGCATTCAAGTCACAGAGTTGAACATTCCCTTTCGTACAGCAGATTTGAAACACTCTTTCTGTAGTATCTGGAAGTGAACTTTAGGACAGCTTTCAGGTCTATAGTGAGAAAGGATATATCTTCAAATAAAAACTAGACGGAAGCATTCTCATAAACTTGTTTGTGATGTGTGAACTCAGCTAACAGAGGTGGATCTTTCTTTTGATAGAGCAGTTCTGAAAAACACTTTTTGTTGAATCTGCAAGTGGACATTTGGATAGATGTGAAGATTTCGTTGGAAACGGGAATATCTTCATATCCAATCTAGACAGAAGCATTCTCAGAAACGTCTTTGTGATGTTTGCATTCAACTCATAGAGTTGAACATTCCCGTTTCAGAGACCAGCTTTGAAGCACTCTTTTTGTAGTATGTGCAAGTGGATATTTGGAGCGCTCTGAGGCCTACGGTGAAAAAGCAAATATCTTCCCATAACCACTAGACAGAAACATTCTCAGAAACTCCTTTATGACGTATGCACTCTCCTAACAGAAAAGAACCTTCCTTTTGACAGAGCAGTTTTGATACACTCTTTTTGTAGAATCTGCAAGTGGATATTTGGATAGCTGTGAAGATTTCGTTGGAAACGGGAATATCTTCCTATAAAATCTAGACAGAAGCATTCTCAGAAACTGCTCTGTGATGTCTGCATTCAAGTCACAGAGTTGAACATTGCCTTTCATAGAGCAGATTTGAAACGCTCTTTTTGTAGTATATGGAACTGGATGTTTCGGACGGTTGGAGGCCCATGGTGATAAAGGGAATATCTTCCCCTACAAGCTAGAAAGAAGCATTCTGTGAAGCTTGTTTGTGATGTGTGTACTCAACTAACAGAGTTGAACCTTTCTTTTTACAGAGCAGTTTTGAAGCACTCTTTTTGTAGAATCTGCGAGGGGATATTTGGATAGATTTCAGGATTTCCTTGGAAACGGGAATATCTTCATATAAAATCTCGACAGAAAGCATTCTCAGAAACTTCTTTGTGATATCTGCCTTCAAGTCACAGAGTTGAATATTCCCTTTCACAGAGTAGGTTTGAAACACTCTTTTTGTAGTATCTGGAAGTGGACATTTGGAGCGCCTTGACGCCTACGGTGAAAAGGGAAATATCTTCCCATAAAAACTAGACAGAGCAATCTCAGAATCTTCTTTGGGATATATGGACGCAGCTAACAGAGTTGAACCTTTCTATTGACAGAGCAGTTTTGAAACAGTCTTTCTGTGGAATCTGCAAGTGGATATTTGGATAGCTTGTAGGATTTCGTTGGAAACGGGATTACGTATAAAAAGTAGACAGCAGCATCCTCAGAAACTTCTTTGTGATGTGTGCGTTCAAGTCACAGAGTTGAACATTCCCTTTCGTACAGCAGTTTTGAAACACTCTTTCTGTAGTATCTGGAAGTGAACATTAGGACAGCTTTCAGGTCTATGGTGAGAAAGGAAATATCTTCAAATAAAAACTAGACAGAAGCATTCTCATAAACTTGTTTGTGATGTGTGAACTCAGCTAACAGAGGTGGATCTTTCTTTTGATAGAGCAGTTCTGAAAAACACGTTTTGTTGAATCTGCAAGTGGACATTTCGATAGATTTGAAGATTTCGTTGGAAACGGGAATATCGTCATATCAAATCTAGACAGAAGCATTCTCAGAAACGTCTTTGTGATGTTTGCATTCAACTCATAGAGTTGAACATTCCGTTTCAGAGAGCAGCTTTGAAGCACTCTTTTTGTAGTATGTGCAAGTGGATATTTGGAGTGCTCTGAGGCCTACGGTGAAAAAGCAAATATCTTCCCATAACCACTAGACAGAAACATTCTCAGAAACTCCTTTATGACGTATGTACTCAACTAACAGAGAAGAAACTTCCTTTTGACAGAGCAGTTTTGATACACTCTTTTTGTAGAATCTGCAAGTGGATATTTGGATAGCTGTGAAGATTTCGTTGGAAACGGGAATATCTTCCTATAAAATCCAGACAGAAGCATTCTCAGAAACTGCTCTGTGATGTCTGCATTCAAGTCACAGAGTTGAACATTGCTTTTCCTAGAGAAGGTTTGAAACGCTCTTTTTGTAGTATATGGAAGTAGACTTTTCGGACGGTTTGAGGCCCATGGTGATAAAGGGAATATCTTCCCCTACAAGCTAGAAAGAAGCATTCTGTGAAACTTGTTTGTGATGTGTGTACTCAACTAACAGAGTTGAACCTTTCTTTTTACAGAGCAGTTTTGAAACACTCTTTTTGTAGAATCTGCGAGGGGATATGTGGATAGATTTCAGGATTTCGTTGGAAACGGGAATATCTTCATATAAAATCTCGACAGAAGCATTCTCAGAAACTTCTTTGTGATATGTGCATTCAAGTCACAGAGTTGAATATTCCCTTTCACAGTAGTAGGTTGGAAACACTCTTTTTGTAGTATCTGGAAGTGGACATTTGGAGCGCCTTGACACCTACGGTGAAAAGGGAAATATCTTCCCATAAAAACTAGACAGAAGCAATCTCAGAATCTTCTTTGGGATATATGCACGCAGCTAACAGAGTTGAATCTTTCTATTGACAGAGCAGATTTGAAACAGTCTTTCTGTGGAATCTGCAAGTGGATATTTGGATAGATTGGAGGATTTCTTTGGAAACGGGATTACGTATAAAAAGTAGACAGCAGCATCCTCAGAAACTTCCTTGTGATGTGTGCACTCAAGTCACAGAGTTGAAAATTCCCTTTCGTACAGCAGGTTTGAAACACTCTTTCTGTAGTATCTGGAAGTGAACTTTAGGAGAGCTTTCAGGTCTATAGTGAGGAAGGATATATCTTCAAATAAAAACTAGACAGAAGCATTCTCATAAACTTGTTTGTGATGTGTGAACTCAGCTAACAGAGGTGGATCTTTCTTTTGATAGAGCAGTTCTGAAAAACACTTTCTGTTGAATCTGCAAGTGGACATTTGGATAGATTTGAAGATTTCGTTGGAAACGGGAATATCTTCATATCAAATCTAGACAGAAGCATTCTCAGAAACGTCTTTGTGATGTTTGCATTCAACTCATAGAGTTGAACATTCCCTTTCAGAGAGCAGCTTTGAAGCACTTTTTGTAGCATGTGCAAGTGGACATTTGGAGCGCCCTGAGGCCTACGGGGAAAAAGCAAATATCTTCCCATAACCACTAGACAGAAACATTTTCAGAAACTCCTTTATGACGTATGCACTCACCTAACAGAGAAGAACCTTCCTTTTGACAGAGCAGTTTTGATACACTCTTTTTGTAGAATCTGCAAGTGGATATTTGGATACCTGTGAAGATTTCGTTGGAAACGGGAATATCTTCCTATAAAATCTAGACAGAAGCATTCTCAGAAACTGCTACTGTGATGTCTGCATTCAAGTCACAGAGTTGAACATTGCCTTTCATAGAGCAGGTTTGAAATGCTCTTTTTGTAGTATATGGAAGTGGACGTTTCAGACGGTTTGAGGCCCATGGTGATAAAGGGAATATCTTCCCCTACAAGCTAGAAAGAAGCATTCTGTGAAACTTGTTTGTGATGTGTGTACTCATCTAACAGAGTTGAACCTTTCTTTTTACAGAGCAGTTTTGAAACACTCTTTTTGTAGAATCTGCGAGGGGATATTTGGATAGATTTCAGGATTTCGTTGGAAACGGGAATATCTTCATATAAAATCTCGACAGAAGCATTCTCAGAAACTTCTTTGTGATATGTGCATTCAAGTCACAGAGTTGAATATTCCCTTTCACAGAGTAGGTTTGAAACACTCTTTTTGTAGTATCTGGAAGTGGACATTTGGAGCGTCCTTGGCGCCTACGGTGAAAAGGGAAATATCTTCCCATAAAAACTAGACAGCAGCAATCTCAGAATCTTCTTTGGGATATATGCACGCAGCTAACAGAGTTGAACCTTTCTATTGACAGAGCAGTTTTGAAACAGTCTTTCTGTGGAATCTGCAAGTGGATATTTGGATAGCTTGGAGGATTTCGTTGGAAACGGGATTACGTATAAAAGTAGACAGCAGCATCCTCAGAAACTTCTTTGTGATGTGTGCATTCAAGTCACAGAGTTCAACATTCCCTTTCGTACAGCAGTTTTGAAACACTCTTTCTGTAGTATCTGGAAGTGAACATTAGGACAGCTTTCAGGTCTATGGTGAGAAAGGAAATATCTTCAAATAAAAACTAGACACAAGCATTCTCATAAACTTGTTTGTGATCTGTGAACTCAGCTAAGAGACGTGGATCTTTCTTTTGATAGAGCAGTTCTGAAAAACACTTTTTGTTGAATCTGCAAGTGGACATTTGGATAGATTTGAAGATTTCTTTGGAAACGAGAATATCTTCATATCAAATCTAGACAGAAGCATTCTCAGAAACGTCTTTGTGATGTTTGCATTCAACTCATAGAGTTGAACATTCCCTTTCCGAGAGCAGCTTTGAAGCACTCTTTTTGTAGTATGTGCAAGTGGATATTTGGAGCGCTCTGAGGCCTACGGTGAAAAAGCAAATATCTTCCCATAACCACTAGACAGAAACATTCTCAGAAACTCCTTTATGACGTATGCACTCACCTAACAGAGAAGAACCTTCCTTTCGACAGAGCAGTTTTGATACACTCTTTTTGTGGAATCTGCAAGTGGATATTTGGATAGCTGTGAAGATTTCGTTGGAAACGGGAATATCTTCCTATAAAATCTAGACAGAAGCATTCTCAGAAACTGCTCTGTGATGTCTGCATTCAAGTCACAGAGTTGAACATTGCCTTTCATAGAGCACGTTTGAAACGCTCTTTTTGTAGTATATGGAAGTGGACGTTTCGGACGGTTTGTGGCCCATGGTGATAAAGGGAATATCTTCCCCTACAAGCTAGAAAGAAGCATTATGTGAAACTTGTTTGTGAGGTGTGTACTCAACTAACAGAGTTGAACCTTTCTTTTTACAGAGCAGTTTTGAAACACTCTTTTTGTAGAATCTGCGAGGGGATATTTGGATAGATTTCAGGATTTCGTTGGAAAGGGGAATATCTTCATATAAAATCTCGACAGAAGCATTCTCAGAAACTTCCTTGTGATATGTGCATTCAAGTCACAGAGTTGAATATTCCCTTTCACAGAGTAGGTTTGAAACACTCTTTTTGTAGTATCTGGAAGTGGACATTTGGAGCGCCCTGACGCCTACGGTGAAAAGGGAAATATCTTCCCATAAAAACTAGACAGAAGCAATCTCCGAATCTTCTTTGGGATATATGCACGCAGCTAATAGAGTTGAACTTTTCTATTGACAGAGCAGATTTGAAACAGTCTTTCTGTGGAATCTGCAAGTGGATATTTGGATAGCCTGGAGGATTACGTTGGAAACGGGATTACGTATAAAAAGTAGACAGCAGCATCCTCAGAAACATCCTTGTGATGTGTGCATTCAAGTCACAGAGTTGAACATTCCCTTTCATACAGCAGTTTTGAAACACTCTTTCTGTAGTATCTGGAAGTGAACTTTAGGACAGCTTTCAGGTCTATAGTGAGAAAGGATATATCTTCAAATAAAAACTAGACAGAAGCATTCTGATAAACTTGTTTGTGAAGTGTGAACTCAGCTAACAGAGGTGGATCTTTCTTTTGATTGAACAGTTCTGAAAAACACTTTTTGTTGAATCTGCAAGTGGACATTTGGATAGATTTGAAGATTTCGTTGGAAACGGGAATATCTTCATATCAAATCTAGACAGAAGCATTCTCAGAAACGTCTCTGTCATGTTTGCATTCAACTCATAGAGTTGAACATTCCCTTTCAGAGAGCAGCTTTGAAACATTCTTTTTGTAGTATGTGCAAGTGGATATTTGGAGCGCTCTGAGGCCTACGGTGAAAAAGAAAATATCTTCCCATAACCACTAGACAGAAACATTCTCAGAAACTCCTTTATGACGTAAGCACTCACCTAACAGAGAAGAACCTTCCTTTTGACAGAGCAGTTTTGTTACACTCTTTTTGTAGAATCTGCAAGTGGATATTTGGATACCTGTGAAGATTTCGTTGGAAACGGGAATATCTTCCTATAAAATCTAGACAGAAGCATTCTCAGAAACTGCTCTGTGATGTCTGCATTCAAGTCACAGAGTTGAACATTGCCGTTCATAGAGCAGGTTTGAAACACTCTTTTTGTAGGATATGGAAGTGGACGTTTCGGACGGTTTGAGGCCCATGGTGATAAAGGGAATATCTTCCCCTACAAGCTAGAAAGAAGCATTCTGTGAAACTTGTTTGTGATGTGTGTACTCAACTAACAGAGGTGAACCTTTCTTTTTACAGAGCAGTTTTGAAACACTCTTTTTGTAGAATCTGCGAGGGGATATTTGGATACATTTCAGGATTTCGTTGGAAACGGGAATATCTTCATATAAAATCTCTACAGAAGCATTCTCAGAAACTTCCTTGTGATATGTGCATTCAAGTCACAGAGTTGAATATTCCCTTTCACAGAGTAGGTTTGAAACACTCTTTTTGTAGTATCTGGAAGTGGACATTTGGAGCGCCTTGACACCTACGGTGAAAAGGGAAAAATCTTCCCATAAAAACTAGACAGAAGCAATCTCAGAATCTTCTTTGGGATATATGCACGCAGCTAACAGAGTTGAAGCTTTCTATTGACAGAGCAGTTTTGAAACAGTCTTTCTGTGGAATCTGCAAGTGGATATTTGGATAGCTTTGAGGATTTCGTTGGAAACGGGATTACGTATAAAAAGTAGACAGCAGCATCCTCAGAAACTTCTTTGTGATGTGTGCATTCAAGTCACAGAGTTGAACATTCCCTTTCGTACAGCAGTTTTGAAACACTCTTTCTGTAGTATCTGGAAGTGAACATTAGGACAGCTTTCAGCTCTATGGTAAGAAAGGAAATATCTTCAAATAAAAACTAGACAGAAGCATTCTCATAAACTTCTTTGTGATGTGTGAACTCAGCTAACCGAGGTGGATCTTTCTTTTGATAGAGCAGTTCTGAAAAACACTTTTTGTTGAATCTGCAAGTGGACATTTGGATAGATATGAAGATTTCGTTGGAAACGGGAATAACTTCATTTCAAATCTAGACAGAAGCATTCTCAGAAACGTCTTTGTGATGTTTGCATTCAACTCATAGAGTTGAACATTCCCTTTCAGAGAGCAGCTTTGAAGCACTCTTTTTGTAGTATGTGCAAGGGGATATTTGGAGCGCTCTGAGGCCTAAGGTGAAAAATCAAATATCTTCCCATAACCACTAGACAGAAACATTCTCAGAAACTCCTTTATGACGTATGCACTCAACTAACAGAGAAGAACCTTCCTTTTGACAGAGCAGTTTTGATACACTCTTTTTGTAGAATCTGCAAGTGGATATTTGGATACCTGTGAAGATTTCGTTGGAAACGGGAATATCTTCCTATAAAATCTAGACAGAAGCATTCTCAGAAACTGCTCTGTGATGTCTGCATTCAAGTCACAGAGTTCAACATTGCCTTTCATAGAGCAGGTTTGAAATGCTCTTTTTGTAGTATATGGAAGTGGACTTTTCGGACGGTTTGAGGCCCATGGTGATAAAGGGAATATCTTCCCCTACAAGCTAGAAAGAAGCATTCTGTGAAACTTGTTTGTGATGTGTGTACTCAACTAACAGAATTGAACCTTTCTTTTCACAGAGCAGTTTTGAAACACTCTTTTTGTAGAATCTGCGAGGGGATATTTGGATAGATTTCAGGATTTCGTTGGAAACGGGAATATCTTCATATAAAATCTCGACAGAAGCATTCTCAGAAACTTCTTTGTGATATCTGCATTCAAGTCACAGAGTTGAATATTCCCTTTCACAGAGTAGGTTTGAAACACTCTTTTTGTAGTGTCTGGAAGTGGACATTTGGAGCACATTGACACCTACTTTGAAAAGGGAAATATCTTCCCATAAAAACTAGACAGAAGCAATCTCAGAATCTTCTTTGGGATATTTGCACGCAGCTAACAGAGTTGAACCTTTCTATTGACAGAGCAGTTTTGAAACAGTCTTTCTGTGGAATCTGCAAGTGGATATTTGGATAGCTTGGAGGATTTCATTGGAAACGGGATTACGTATAAAAATTAGACAGCAGCATCCTCAGAAACTTCTTTGTGATGTGTGCATTCAAGTCACAGAGTTGAACATTCCCTTTCGTACAGCAGTTTTGAAACACTCTTTCTGTAGTAACTGGAAGTGAACATTAGGACAGCTTTCAGGTGTATGGTGAGAAAGGAAATATCTTCAAATAAAAACTAGACAGAAGCATTCTCATAAACTTGTTTGTGATGTGTGAACTCAGCTAACAGAGGTGGATCTTTCGTTTGATAGAGCAGTTCTGAAAAACACTTTTTGTTGAATCTGCAAGTGGACATTTGGATAGATTTGAAGATTTCGTTGGAAACGGGAATATCTTCATATCAAATCTAGACAGAAGCATTCTCAGAAACGTCTTTGTGATGTTAGCATTCAACTCATAGAGTTGAACATTCCCGTTCAGAGAGCAGCTTTGAAGCACTCTTTTTGTAGTATGTGCAAGTGGATATTTGGAGCGCTCTGAGGCCTATGGTGAAAAAGCAAATATCTTCCCATAACCACTAGACAGAAGCATTCTCAGAAACTCCTTTATGACGTATGCACTCACCTAACAGAAAAGAACCTTCCTTTTGACAGAGCAGTTTTGATACACTCTTTTTGTAGAATCTGCAAGTGGATATTTGGATAGCTGTGAAGATTTCGTTGGAAACGGGAATATCTTCCTATAAAATCTAGACAGAAGCATTCTCAGAAACTGCTCTGTGATGTCTGCATTCAAGTCACAGAGTTGAACATTGCCTTTCATAGAGCAGGTTTGAAACGCTCTTTTTGTAGTATATGGAAGTGGACGTTTCGGACGGTTTGAGGCCCATGGTGATAAAGGGAATATCTTCCCCTACTAGCTAGAAAGAAGCATTGTGTGAAACTTGTTTGTGATGTGTGTACTCAACTAACAGAGTTGAACCTTTCTTTTTACAGAGCAGTTTTGAAACACTCGTTTTGTAGAATCTGCGAGGGGATATTTGGATAGATTTCAGGATTTCGTTGGAAACGGGAATATCTTCATATAAAATCTCGACAGAAGCATTCTCAGAAACTTCTTTGTGATATCTCCATTCAAGTCACCGAGTTGAATATTCCCTTTCACAGAGTAGGTTTGAAACACTCTTTTTGTAGTATCTGGAAGTGGACATTTGGAGCGCCTTGACGCCTACGGTGAAAAGGGAAATATCTTCCCATAAAAACTAGACAGAAGCAATCTCAGAATCTTCTTTGGGATATATGCACGCAGCTAACACAGTTGAACCTTTCTATTGACAGAGCAGTTTTGAAACAGTCTTTCTGTGGAATCTGCAAGTGGATATTTGGAGAGCTTGGAGGATTTCGTTGGAAACGGGATTACGTATAAAAAGTAGACAGCAGCATCCTCAGAAACTTCTTTGTGATGTGTGCATTCAAGTCACAGAGTTGAACATTCCCTTTCGTACAGCAGTTTTGAAACACTCTTTCTGTAGTATCTGGAAGTGAACATTAGGACAGCTTTCAGGTCTATGGTGAGAAAGGAAATATCTTCAAATAAAAAGTAGACAGAAGCATTGTCATAAACTTGTTTGTGATGTGTGAACTCAGCTAACAGAGGTGGATCTTTCTTTTGATAGAGCAGTTCTGAAAAACACGTTTTGTTGAATCTGCAAGTGGACATTTGGATAGATTTGAAGATTTCGTTGGAAACGGGAATATCTTCATATCAAATCTAGACAGAAGCATTCTCAGAAACGTCTTTGTGATGTTTGCATTCAACTCATAGAGTTGAACATTCCGTTTCAGAGAGCAGCTTTGAGGCACTCTTTTTGTAGTATGTGCAAGTGGATATTTGGAGCGCTCTGAGGCCTAAGGTGAAAAAGCAAATATCTTCCCATAACCACTAGACAGAAACATTCTCAGAAACTCCTTTATGACGTATGCACTCACCTAACAGAAAAGAACCTTCCTTTTGACAGAGCAGTTTTGATACACTCTTTTTGTAGAATCTGCAAGTGGATATTTGGATAGCTGTGAAGATTTCGTTGGAAACGGGAATATCTTCCTATAAAATCTATACAGAAGCATTCTCAGAAACTGCTCTGTGATGTCTGCATTCAACTCACAGAGTTGAACATTGCCTTTCATAGAGCAGGTTTGAAATGCTCTTTTTGTAGTATATGGAAGTGGACGTTTCAGACGGTTTGAGGCCCATGGTGATAAAGGGAATATCTTCCCCTACAAGCTAGAAAGAAGCATTCTGTGAAACTTGTTTGTGATGTGTGTACTCAACCAACAGAGTTGAACCTTTCTTTTTACAGAGCAGTGTTGAAACACTCTTTTTGTAGAATCTGCGAGGGGATATTTGGATAGATTTCAAGATTTCGTTGGAAACGGGAATATCTTCATATAAAATCTCGACAGAAGCATTCTCAGAAACTTCTTTGTGATATGTGCATTCAAGTCACAGAGTTGAATATTCCCTTTCACAGAGTAGGTTTGGAACACTCTTTTTGTAGTATCTGGAAGTGGACATTTGGAGCGCCTTGACGCCTACGGTGAAAAGGGAAATATCTTCCCATAAAAACTAGACAGAAGCAATCTCAGAATCTTCTTTGGGATATATGCACGCAGCTAACAGAGTTGAACATTTCTATTGACAGAGCAGTTTTGAAACAGTCTTTCTGTGGAATCTGTAAGTGGATATTTGGATAGATTGGAGGATTTCGTTGGAAACGGGATTACGTATAAAAAGTAGACAGCAGCATCCTCAGAAACTTCTTTGTGATGTGTGCATTCAAGTCACAGAGTTGAACATTCCCTTTCGTACAGCAGTTTTGAAACACTCTTTCTGTAGTATCTGGAAGTGAACATTAGGACAGCTATCAGGTCTATGGTGAGAAAGGAAATATCTTCAAATAAAAACTAGACAGAAGCATTCTCATAAACTTGTTTGTGATGTGTGAACTCAGCTAACAGAGGTGGATCTTTCTTTTGATAGAGCAGTTCTGAAAAACACTTTTTGTTGAATCTGCAAGTGGACATTTGGATAGATTTGAAGATTTCATTGGAAACGGGAATATCTTTATATCAAATCTAGACAGAAGCATTCTCAGAAACGTCTTTGTGATGTTTGCATTCAACTCATAGAGTTGAACATTCCGTTTCAGAGAGCAGCTTTGAGGCACTCTTTTTGTAGTATGTGCAAGTGGATATTTGGAGCTCTCTGAGGCCTACGGTGAAAAAGCAAATATCTTCCCATAACCACTAGACAGAAACATTCTCAGAAACTCCTTTATGACGTATGCACTCACCTAACAGAGAAGAACCTCCCTTTTGACAGAGCAGTTTTGATACACTCTTTTTGTAGAATCTGCAAGTGGATATTTGGATACCTGTGAAGATTTTGTTGGAAACGGGAATATCTTCCTATAAAATCTAGACAGAAGCATTCTCAGAAACTGCTATGTGATGTCTGCATTCAAGTCACAGAGTTGAACATTGCCTTTCCTAGAGCAGGTTTTAAACGCTCTTTTTGTAGTATATGGAAGTGGACGTTTCGGACGGTTTGAGGCCCATGGTGATAAAGGGAATATCTTCCCCTACAAGCTAGAAAGAAGCATTCTGTGAAACTTGTTTGTGATGTGTGTACTCAACTAACAGAGTTGAACCTTTCTTTTTGCAGAGCAGTTTTGAAACACTCTTTTGTAGAATCTGCGAGGGGATATTTGGATAGATTTCAGGATTTCATTGGAAACGGGAATATCTTCATATAAAATCTCGACAGAAGCATTCTCAGAAACTTCTTTGTGATATCTGCATTCAAGTCACAGAGTTGAATATTCACTTTCACAGAGTAGGTTTGAAACACTCCTTTTGTAGTATCTGGAAGTGGACATTTGGAGCGCCTTGACGCCTACGGTGAAAAGGGAAATATCTTCCCATAAAAACTAGACAGAAGCAATCTCAGAATTTTCTTTGGGATATATGCACACAGCTAACAGAGTTGAACTTTTCTATTGACATAGCAGTTTTGAAACAGTCTTTCGGTGGAATCTGCAAGTGGATATTTGGATAGCTTGGAGGATTTCGTTGGAAATGGGATTACGTATAAAAAGTAGACAGCAGCATCCTCAGAAACTTCTTTGTGATGTGTGCATTCAAGTCACAGAGTTGAACATTTCCTTTCGTACAGCAGTTTTGAAACACTCTTTCTGTATTATCTGGAAGTGAACATTAAGACAGCTTTCAGCTCTATGGTGAGAAAGGAAATATCTTCAAATAAAAACTGGACAGAAGCATTCTCATAAACTTGTTTGTGATGTGTGAACTCAGCTAACCAGAGGGGGATCTTTCTTTTGATAGAGCAGTTCTGAAAAACACTTTTTGTTGAATCTGCAAGTGGACATTTGGATAGATTTGAAGATTTCGTTGGAAACGGGAATATCTTCATATCAAATCTAGACAGAAGCATTCTCAGAAACGTCTTTGTGATGTTTGCATTCAACTCATAGAGTTGAACAATTCCCTTTCAGAGAGCAGCTTTGAAGCACTCTTTTTGTAGTATGTGCAAGGGGATATTTGGAGCGCTCTGAGGCCTAAGGTGAAAAAGCAAATATCTTCCCATAACCACTAGACAGAAACATTCTCAGAAACTCCTTTATGACGTATGCACTCACCTAACAGAGAAGAACCTTCCTTTTGACAGAGCAGTTTTGATACACTCTTTTTGTAGGATCTGCAAGTGGATATTTGGATAGCTGTGAAGATTTCGTTGGAAACGGGAATATCTTCCTATAAAATCTAGACAGAAGCATTGTCAGAAACTGCTCTGTGATGTCTGCATTCAAGTCACAGAGTTGAACATTGCCTTTCATAGAGCAGCTTTCAAACACTCTTTTTTTAGTATATGGAAGTGGACGTTTCGGACGGTTTGAGGCCCATGGTGATAAAGGAAATATCTTCCCCTACAAGCTAGAAAGAAGCATTCTGTGAAACTTGTTTGTGATGTGTGTACTCAACTAACAGAGTTGAACCTTTCTTTTTACAGAACAGTTTTGAAACACTCTTTTGTAGAATCTGCGAGGGGATATTTGGATAGATTTCAGGATTTCGTTGGAAACGGGAATAACTTCATATAAAATCTCGACAGAAGCATTCTCAGAAACTTCTTTGTGATATCTGCCTTCAAGTCACAGAGTTGAATATTCCCTTTCACAGAGTAGGTTTGAAACACTCTTTTTGTAGTATCTGGAAGTGGACATTTGGAGCGCCTTGACGCCTACGGTGAAAAGGGTAATATCTTCCCATAAAAACTAGACAGAAGCAATCTCAGAATCTTCTTTGGGATATATGCACGCAGCTAACAGAGTTGAACCTTTCTATTGACAGAGCAGTTTTGAAACAGTCTTTCTGTGGAATCTGCAAGTGGATATTTGGATAGCTTGGAGGATTTCGTTGGAAACAGGATTACGTATAAAAAGTAGACAGCAGCATCCTCAGAAACTTCCTTGTGATGCGTGCATTCAAGTCACAGAGTTGAATATTCCCTTTCGTACAGCAGTTTTGAAACACTCTTTCTGTAGTATCTGGAAGTGAACTTTAGGAGAGCTTTCAGGTCTATAGTGAGAAAGGATATATCTTCAAATAAAAACTAGACAGAAGCATTCTCATGTGTGATGTGTGAACTCAGCTAACAGAGGTGGATCTTTCTTTTCATACAGCAGTTTTGAAAAACACTTTTTGTTGAATCTGCAAGTGGACATTTGGATAGATTTGAAGATTTCGTTGGAAACGGGAATATCTTCATATCAAATCTAGACAGAAGCTTTCTCAGAAACGTCTTTGTGATGTTTGCATTCAACTCATAGAGTTGAACATTCCGTTTCAGAGAGCAGCTTTGAGGCACTCTTTTTGTAGTATGTGCAAGTGGATATTTGGAGCGCTCTGAGGCCTACGGTGAAAAAGCAAATATCTTCCCATAACCACTAGACAGAAACATTCTCAGAAACTCCTTTATGACGTATGCACTCACCCAACAGAGAAGAACCTTCCTTTTGACAGAGCAGTTTTGATACACTCTTTTTGTAGTATCTGCAAGTGGATATTGGGATAGCTGTGAAGATTTCGTTGGAAACGGGAATATCTTCCTATAAAATCTAGACAGAAGCATTCTCAGAAACTGCTCTGTGATGTCTGCATTCAAGTCACAGAGTTGAACATTACCTTTCATAGAGCAGGTTTGAAACGCTCTTTTTGTAGTATATGGAAGTGGACGTTTCGGACGGTTTGAGGCCCATGGTGATAAAGGGAATATCTTCCCCTACAAGCTAGAAAGAAGCATTCTGTGAAACTTGTTTGTGATGTGTTTACTCAACTAACAGAGTTGAACTTTTCTTTTGATAGAGCAGTTTTCAAACATTCTTTTTTGTAGAGTCTGCAAGTGGATATTTGGCTAGCTTTGAGGATTTTGTTGGAAACGGGAATATCTTCACATAAAAACTAGGCAGAAGCATTCTCAGAAACTTCTTTGTGATATCTGCATTCAAGTCACAGAGTTGAATATTCCCTTTCACAGAGTAGGTTTGAAACACTCTTTTTGTAGTATCTGGAAGTGGACATTTGGAGCGCCTTGACGCCTAAGGTGAAAAGGGAAATATCTTCCCATAAAAACTAGACAGAAGCAATCTCAGAATCTTCTTTGGGATATATGCACGCAGCTAACAGAGTTGAACTTTTCTATTGACAGAGCAGTTTTGAAACAGTCTTTCTGTGGAATCTGCAAGTGGATATTTGGATAGATTGGAGGATTTCGTTGGAAACGGGATTACGTATAAAAAGTAGACAGCAGCATCCTCAGAAACTTCTTTGTGATGTGTGCATTCAAGTCACAGAGTTGAACATTCCCTTTCGTACAGCAGTTTTGAAACACTCTTTCTGTAGTATCTGGAAGTGAACATTAGGACAGCTTTCAGGTCTATGGTGAGAAAGGAAATATCTTCTAATAAAAACAAGACAGAAGCATTCTCATAAACTTGTTTGTGATGTGTGAACTCAGCTAACAGAGGAGGATCTTTCTTTTGATAGAGCAGTTCTGAAAAACACTTTTTGTTGAATCTGCAAGTGGACATTTGGATAGATTTGAAGATTTCGTTGGAAACGGGAATATCTTCATATCAAATCTAGACAGAAGCATTCTCAGAAACGTCTTTGTGATGTTTGCATTCAACTCATAGAGTTGAACATTCCCTTTCAGAGAGCAGCTTTGAAGCACTCTTTTTGTAGTATGTGGAAGTGGATATTTGGAGCGCTCTGAGGCCTACGGTGAAAAAGCAAATATCTTCCCATAACCACTAGACAGAAACATTCTCAGAAACTCCTTTATGACGTATGCACTCACCTAACAGAGAAGAACCTTCCTTTTGACAGAGCAGTTTTGATACACTCTTTTTGTAGAATCTGCAAGTGGATATTTTGATAGCTGTGAAGATTTCGTTGGAATCGGGAATATCTTCCTACAAAATCTAGACAGAAGCATTCTCAGAAACTGCTCTGTGATGTCTGCATTCAAGTCACAGAGTTGAACATTGCCTTTCATTTAGCAGGTTTGAAACGCTCTTTTTGTAGTATATGGAAGTGGACGTTTCGGACTGTTTGAGGCCCATGGTGATAAAGGGAATATCTTCCCCTACAAGCTAGAAAGAAGCATTCTGTGAAACTTATTTGTGATGTGTGTACTCAACTAACAGAGTTGAACCTTTCTTTTTACAGAGCAGTTTTGAAACACTCTTTTTGTAGAATCTGCGAGGGGATATTTGGATAGATTTCAGGATTTCGTTGGAAACGGGAATATCTTCATATAAAATCTCGACAGAAGCATTCTCAGAAACTTCTTTGTGATATGTGCATTCAAGTCACAGTGTTGAATATTCCCTTTCACAGAGTAGGTTTGAAACACTCTTTTTGTTGTATCTGGAAGTGGACATTTGGAGCGCCTTGACACCTACGATGAAAAGGGAAATATCTTCCCATAAAAACTAGACAGAAGCAATCTCAGAATCTTCTTTGGGATATATGCACGCAGCTAACAGAGTTGAACCTTTCTATTGACAGAGCAGTTTTGAAACAGTCTTTCTGTAGAATCTGCAAGTGGATATTTGGATAGCTTGGAGGATTTCATTGGAAACGGGATTACGTATAAAAAGTAGACAGCAGCATCCTCAGAAGCTTCTTTGTGATGTGTGCATTCAAGTCACAGAGTTGAACATTCCCTTTCGTACAGCAGTTTTGAAACACTCTTTCTGTAGTATCTGGGAGTGAACATTAGGACAGCTTTCAGGTCTATGGTGAGAAAGGAAATATCTTCAAATAAAAACTAGACAGAAGCATTCTCATAAACTTGTTTGTGATGTGTGAACTCAGCTAACAGAGGTGGATCTTTCTTTTGATAGAGGAGTTCTGAAAAACACTTTTTGTTGAATCTGCAAGTGGACATTTGGATAGATTTGAAGATTTCTTTGGAAACGGGAATATCTTCATATCAAATCTAGACAGAAGCATTCTCAGAGACGTCTTTGTGATGTTTGCATTCAACTCATAGAGTTGAACATTCCGTTTCAGAGAGCAGCTTTGAGGCACTCTTTTTGTAGTATGTGCAAGTGGATATTTGGAGCGCTCTGAGGCCTACGGTGAAAAAGCAAATATCTTCCCATAACCACTAGACAGAAACATTCTCAGAAACTCCTTTATGACGTATGCACTCACCTAACAGAGAAGAACCTTCCTTTTGACAGAGCACTTTTGATACACTCTTTTTGTAGAATCTGAAAGTGGATATTTGGATAGCTGTGAAGATTTCGTTGGAAACGGGAATATCTTCCTATAAAATACTAGACAGAAGCATTCTCAGAAACTGCTCTGTGATGTCTGCATTCAAGTCACAGAGTTGAACATTGCCTTTCATACAGCAGGTTTGAAACGCTCTTTTTGTAGTATATGGAAGTGGACGTTTCGGACGGTTTGAGGCCCATGGTGATAAAGGGAATATCTTCCCCTACAAGCTAGAAAGAAGCATTCTGTGAAACTTGTTTGTGATGTGTGTACTCAACTAACAGAGTTGAACCTTTCTTTTTAGAGAGCAGTTTTGAAACACTCTTTTTGTAGAATCTGCGAGGGGATATTTGGATACATTTCAGGATTTCGTTGGAAACGGGAATATCTTCATATAAAATCTCGACAGAAGCATTCTCAGAAACTTCTTTGTGATATGTGCATTCAAGTCACAGAGTTGAATATTCCCTTTCACAGAGTAGGTTTGAAACACTCTTTTTGTAGTATCTGGAAGTGGACATTTGGAGCGCCTTGACGCCTACGGTGAAAAGGGAAGTATCTTCCCATCAAAACTAGACAGAAGAAATCTCAGAATCATCTTTGGGATATATGCACGCAGCTAACAGAGTTGAACCTTTCTATTGACAGAGCAGATTAGAAACAGTCTTTCTGTGGAATCTGCAAGTGGATATTTGGATAGCTTGGAGGATTTCGTTGGAAACGGGATTACGTATAAAAAGTAGACAGCAGCATCCTCAGAAAGTTCTTTGTGATGTGTGCATTCAAGTCACAGAGTTGAACATTCCCTTTCGTACAGCAGTTTTGAAACACTCTTTCTGTAGTATCTGGAAGTGAACATTTGGACAGCTTTCAGCTCTATGGTGAGAAAGGAAATATCTTCAAATAAAAACTAGACAGAAGCATTCTCATAAACTTGTTTGTGGTGTGTGAACTCAGCTAACAGAGGTGGATCTTTCTTTTGATAGAGCAGTTCTGAAAAACACTTTTTGTTGAATCTGCAAGTGGACATTTGGATAGATTTGAAGATTTCGTTGGAAACGGGAATATCTTCATATCAAATCTAGACAGAAGCATTGTCAGAAACGTCTTTGTGATGTTTGCATTCAACTCATAGAGTTGAACATTCCCTTTCAGAGAGCAGATTTGAAGCACTCTTTTTGTAGTATGTGCAAGTGGATATTTGGAGCGCTCTGAGGCCTTCGGTGAAAAAGCAAATATCTTCCCATAACCACTAGACAGAAACATTCTCAGAAACCCCTTTATGACGTATGTACTCAAATAACAGAGAAGGACCTTCCTTTTGACAGAGCAGTTTTGATACACTCTTTTTGTAGAATCTGCAAGAGGATATTTGGATAGCTGTGAAGATTTCGTTGGAAACGGGAATACCTTCCTATAAAATCTAGACAGAAGCATTCTCAGAAACTGCTCTGTGATGTCTGCATTCAAGTCACAGAGTTGAACATTGCCTTTCATAGAGCAGGTTTGAAACGCTCTTTTTGTAGTATATGGAAGTGGATGTTTCGGACGGTTGGAGGCCCATGGTGATAAAGGGAATATCTTCCCCTAAAAGCTAGAAAGAAGCATTCTGTGAAACTTGTTTGTGATGTGTGTACTCAACTAACAGAGTTGAACCTTTCTTTTTACAGAGCAGTTTTGAAACTCTCTTTTTGTAGAATCTGCGAGGGGATATTTGTATAGATTTCAGGATTTCGTTGGAAACGGGAATATCTTCATATAAAATCTCGACAGAAGCATTATCAGAAACTTCTTTGTGATATGTGCATTCAAGTCACAGAGTTGAATATTCCCTTTCACAGAGTAGGTTTGAAACACTCTTTTTGTAGTATCTGGAAGTGGACATTTGGAGCGCCTTGACGCCTACGGTGAAAAGGGAAATATCTTCCCATAAAAACTAGACAGAAGCAATCTCAGAATCTTCTTTGGGATATATGCACGCAGCTAACAGAGTTGAACCTTTCTATTGACAGAGCAGTTTTGAAACAGTCTTTCTGTGGAATCTGCAAGTGGATATTTGGATAGCTTGGAGGATTTCGTTGGAAACGGGATTACGTATAAAAAGTAGACAGCACGCATCCTCAGAAACTTCTTTGTGATGTGTGCATTCAAGTCACAGTAGTTGAACATTCCCTTTCGTACAGCAGTTTTGAAACACTCTTTCTGTAGTATCTGGAAGTGAACATTAGGACAGCTTTCAGGTCTATGGTGAGAAAGGAAATATCTTCAAATAAAAACTAGACAGAAGCATTCTCATAAACTTGTTTGTGATGTGTGAACTCAGCTAACAGAGGTGGATCTTTCTTTTGATAGAGCAGTTCTGAAAAACACTTTTTGTTGAATCTGCAAGTGGACATTTGGATAGATTTGAAGATGTCGTTGGAAACGGGAATATCTTCATATCAAGTCTAGACAGAAGCATTCTCAGAAACGTCTTTGTGATGTTTGCATTCAACTCATAGATTTGAACATTCCGTTTCAGAGAGCAGCTTTGAGGCACACTTTTTGTAGTATGTGCAAGTGGATATTTGGAGCGCTCTGAGGCCTACGGTGAAAAAGCAAATATCTTCCCATAACCACTAGACAGAAACATTCTCAGAAACTCCTTTATGACTGTATGCACTCACCTAACAGAGAAGAACCTTCCTTTTGACAGAGCAGTTTTGATACACTCTTTTTGTAGAATCTGCAAGTGGATATTGGGATAGCTGTGAAGATTTCGTTGGAAACGGGAATATCTTCCTATAAAATCTAGACAGAAGCATTCTGTGAAACTTGTTTGTGATGTGTGTACTCAACTAACAGAGTTGAACCTTTCTTTTTACAGAGCAGTTTTGAAACACTCTTTTTGTAGAATCTGCGAGGGGATATTTGGATAGATTTCAGGATTTCGTTGGAAACCGGAATATCTTCATATAAAATCTCGACAGAAGCATTCTCAGAAACTTCTTTGTGATATCTGCATTCAAGTCACAGAGTTGAATATTCCCTTTCACAGAGCAGTTTTGAAACACTCTTTTTGTAGAATCTGCGAGGGGATATTTGGATAGATTTCAGGATTTCGTTGGAAACGGGAATAACTTCATATAAAATCTCGACAGAAGCATTCTCAGAAACTTCTTTGTGATATGTGCATTCAAGTCACAGAGTTGAATATTCCCTTTCACAGAGTAGGTTTGAAACACTCTTTTTGTAGTATCTGGAAGTGGACATTTGGAGCTCCTTGACACCTACGGTGGAAAGGGAAATATCTTCCCATAAAAACTAGACAGAAGCAATCTCAGAATCTTCTTTGGGATATATGCACGCAGCTAACAGAGTTGAACCTTTCTATTGACAGAGCAGTTTTGAAACAGTCTTTCTGTGGAATCTGCAAGTGGATATTTGGATAGCTTGGAGGATTTCGTTGGAAACCGGATTACGTATAAAAAGTAGACAGCAGCATCCTCAGAAAATTCTTTGTGATGTGTGCATTCAAGTCACAGAGTTGAACATTCCCTTTCGTACAGCAGTTTTGAAACACTCTTTCTGTAGTATCTGGAAGTGAACATTAGGACAGCTTTCAGCTCTATGGTGAGAAACAAAATATCTTCAAATAAAAACTAGACAGAAGCATTCTCATAAACTTGTTTGTGATGTGTGAACTCAGCTAACAGAGGTGGATCTTTCTTTTGATAGAGCAGTTCTGAAAAACACTTTTTGTTGAATCTGCAAGTGGACATTTGGATAGATTTGAAGATTTCGTTGGAAACGGCAATATCTTCATATCAAATCTAGACAGAAGTATTCTCAGAAACGTCTTTGTGATGTTTGCATTCAACTCATAGAGTTGAACATTCCGTTTCAGAGAGCAGCTTTGAGGCACTCTTTTTGTAGTATGTGCAAGTGGATATTTGGAGCGCTCTGAGGCCTACGGTGAAAAAGCAAATATCTTCCCATAACCACTAGACAGAAACATTCTCAGAAACTCCTTTATAACGTATGCACTCACCTAACAGAGAAGAACCTTCCTTTTGACAGAGCAGTTTTCATACACTCTTTTTGTAGAATCTGCAAGTGGATATTTGGATAGCTGTGAAGATTTCGTTGGAAACGGGAATATCTTCCTATAAAATCTAGACAGAAGCATTCTCAGAATCTGCTCTGTGATGTCTGCATTCAAGTCACAGAGTTGAACATTGTCTTTCATAGAGCAGGTTTGAAGCGTTCTTTTTGTAGTATATGGAAGCGGACGTTTCGGACGGTTTGAGGCCCATGGTGATAAAGGGAATATCTTCCCCTACAAGCTAGAAAGAAGCATTCTGTGAAACTTGTTTGTGATGTGTGTACTCAACTAACAGAGTTGAACCTTTCTTTTTACAGAACAGTTTTGAAACACTCTTTTTTTAGAATCTGCGAGGGGATATTTGGATAGATTTCAGGATTTCGTTGGAAACGGGAATATCTTCCTATAAAATCTCGACAGAAGCATTCTCAGAAACTTCTTTGTGATATGTGCATTCAAGTCACAGAGTTGAATATTCCCTTTCACAGAGTAGGTTTGAAACAATCTTTTTGTAGTATCTGGAAGTGGACATTTGGAGCGCCTTGACACCTACGGTGAAAAGCGAAATATCTTCCCACAAAAATTAGACAGAAGCAATCTCAGAATCTTCTTTGGGATATATGCACACAGCTAACAGAGTTGAACCTTTCTATTGACAGAGCAGTTTTGAAACAGTCTTTCTGTGGAATCTGCAAGTGGATATTTGGATAGCTTGGAGGATTTCGTTGGAAACGGGATTACGTATCAAAAGTAGACAGCAGCATCCTCAGAAACTTCTTTGTGATGTGTGCATTCAAGTCACAGAGTTGAACATTCCCTTTCGTACAACAGTTTTGAAACACTCTTTCTGTAGTATCTGGAAGTGAACATTAGGACAGCTTTCAGCTCTATGGTGAGAAAGGAAATATCTTCAAATAAAAACTAGACAGAAGCATTCTGATAAACTTGTTCGTGAAGTGTGAACTCAGCTAACAGAGGTGGATCTTTCTTTTGATAGAGCAGTTCTGAAAAACACTTTTTGTTGAATCTGCAAGTGGACATTTGGATAGATTTGAAGATTTCGTTGGAAACGGGAATATCTTCATATCAAATCTAGACAGAAGCATTCTCAGAAACGTCTTTGTGATGTTTGCATTCAACTCATAGAGTAGAACATTCCGTTTCAGAGAGCAGCTTTGAGGCACTCTTTTTGTAGTATGTGCAAGTGGATATTTGGAGCGCTCTGAGGTCTACGGTGAAAAAGCAAATATCTTCCCATAACCACTAGACAGAAGCATTCTCAGAAAATCCTTTATGACGTATGCACTCACCTAACAGAAAAGAACCTTCCTTTTGACAGAGCAGTTTTGATACACTCTTTTTGTAGAATCTGCAAGTGGATATTTGGATAGCTGTGAAGATTTCGTTGGAAACGGGAGTATCTTCCTATAAAATTTAGACAGAAGCATTCTCAGAAACTGCTCTGTGATGTCTGCATTCAAGTCACAGAGTTGAACATTGCCTTTCCTAGAGCAGGTTTGAAACGCTCTTTTTGTAGTATATGAAAGTGGACGTTTCGGACGGTTTGAGGACCATGGTGATAATGAGAATATCTTCCCCTACAAGCTAGAAAGAAGCATTCTGTGAATCTTGTTTGTGATGTGTGTACTCAACTAACAGAGTTGAACCTTTCTTTTTACAGAGCAGTTTTGAAACACTCTTTTTGTAGAATCTGCGAGGGGATATTTGGATAGATTTCAGGATTT
This sequence comes from Homo sapiens, assembly GCF_000001405.40. Classification (NCBI taxonomy): domain Eukaryota; kingdom Metazoa; phylum Chordata; class Mammalia; order Primates; family Hominidae; genus Homo; species Homo sapiens. The sequence continues at coordinate 11,476,384 of NC_000021.9, forward strand.
CGTTGGAAACCGGAATATCTTCATATAAAATCTCGACAGAAGCATCCTCAGAAACTTCTTTGTGATATGTGCATTCAAGTCACAGAGTTGAATATTCCCTTTCACAGAGTAGGTTTGAAACACTCTTTTTGTAGTATCTGGAAGTGGACATTTGGAGCGCCTTGACGCCTACGGTGAAAAGGGAAATATCTTCCCATAAAAACTAGACAGAAGCAATCTCAGAATCTTCTTTGGGATATATGCACGCAGCTAACAGAGTTGAACCTTTCTATTGACAGAGCAGTTTTGAAACAGTCTTTCTGTGGAATCTGCAAGTGGATATTTGGATAGCTAGGAGGATTTCTTTGGAAACGGGATTACGTATAAAAAGTAGACAGCAGCATCCTCAGAAACTTCTTTGTGATGTGTGCATTCAAGTCACAGAGTTGAACATTCCTTTTCGTACAGCAGTTTTGAAACACTCTTTCTGTAGTATCTGGAAGTGAACATTATGACAGCTTTCAGGTCTATGGTGAGAAAGGAAATATCTTCAAATAAAAACAAGACAGAAGCATTCTCATAAACTTGTTTGTGATGTCTGAACTCAGCTAACAGACGTGGATCTTTCTTTTGATACAGCAGTTTTGAAAAACACTTTTTGTTGAATCTGCAAGTGGACATTTGGATAGATTTGAAGATTTCGTTGGAAACGGGAATATCTTCATATCAAATCTAGACAGAAGCATTCTCAGAAACGTCTTTGTGATGTTTGCATTCAACTCATAGAGTTGAACATTCCGTTTCAGAGAGCAGCTTTGAAGCACTCTTTTTGTAGTATATGCAAGTGGATATTTGGAGCGCTCTGAGGCCTACGGTGAAAAAGCAAATATCTTCCCATAATCACTAGACAGAAACATTCTCAGAAACTCCTTTATGACGTATGTACTCACCTAACAGAGAAGAACCTTCCTTTTGACAGAGCAGTTTTGATACACTCTTTTTGTAGAATCTGCAAGTGGATATTTGGATAGCTGTGAAGATTTCGTTGGAAACGGGAATATCTTCCTATAAAATCTAGACAGAAGCATTCTCAGAAACTGCTCTGTGATGTCTGCATTCAAGTCACAGAGTTGAACACTGCCTTTCCTAGAGCAGGTTTGAAACGCTCTTTTTGTAGTATATGGAAGTGGACGTTTCGTACGGTTTGAGGCCCATGGTGATAAAGGGAATATCTTCCCCTACAAGCTAGAAAGAAGCATTCTGTGAAACTTGTTTGTGATGTGTGTACTCAACTAACAGAGTTGAACCTTTCTTTTTACAGAGCAGTTTTGAAACACTCTTTTTGTAGAATCTGCGAGGGGATATTTGGATACATTTCAGGATTTCGTTGGAAACGGGAATATCTTCATATAAAATCTTGACAGAAGCATTCTCAGAAACTTCCTTGTGATATGTGCATTCAAGTCACAGAGTTGAATATTCCCTTTCACAGTAGTAGGTTTGAAACACTCTTTTTGTAGTATCTGGAAGTGGACATTTGGAGCGCCTTGACGCCTACGGTGAAAAGGGAAATATCTTCCCATAAAAACTAGACAGAAGCAATCTCAGAATCTTCTTTGGGATATATGTACGCAGCTAATAGAGTTGAACCTTTATATTGACAGAGCAGTTTTGAAACAGTCTTTCTGTGGAATCTGCAAGTGGATATTTGGATAGCTTGGAGGATTTCGTTGGAAACGGGATTACGTATAAAAAGTAGACAGCAGCATCCTCAGAAACTTCTTTGTGATGGGTGCATTCAAGTCACAGAGTTGAACATTCCCTTTCGTACAGCAGTTTTGAAACACTCTTTCTGTAGTATCTGGAAGTGAACATTAGGACAGCTTTCAGGTCTATGGTGAGAAAGGAAATATCTTCAAATAAAAACTAGACAGAAGCATTCTCATAAACTTGTTTGTGATGTGTGAACTCAGCTAACAGAGGTGGATCTTTCTTTTGATAGAGCAGTTCTGAAAAACACTTTTTGTTGAATCTGCAAGTGGACATTTGGATAGATTTGAAGATTTCGTTGGAAACGGGAATATCTTCATATCAAGTCTAGACAGAAGCATTCTCAGAAACGTCTTTGCGTTGTTTGCATTCAACTCATAGAGTTGAACATTCCGTTTCAGAAAGCAGATTTGAGGCACTCTTTTTGTAGTATGTGCAAGTGGATATTTGGAGCGCTCTGAGGCCTACGGTGAAAAAGCAAATATCTTTCCATAACCACTAGACAGAAACATTCTCAGAAACTTCTTTATGACGTATGTACTCAACTAGCAGAGAAGAACTTTCCTTTTGACAGAGCATTTTTGATACACTCTTTTTGTACTATCTGCAAGTGGATATTTGGATAGCTGTGAAGATTTCGTTGGAAACGGGAATATCTTCCTATAAAGTCTGGACAGAAGCATTCTCAGAAACTGCTCTGTGATGTCTGCATTCAAGTCACAGAGTTGATCATTGCCTTTCATAGAGCAGGTTTGAAACGCTCTTTTTGTAGTATATGGAAGTGGACGTTTCAGACGGTTTGAGGCCCATGGTGATAAAGGGAATATCTTCCCCTACAAGCTAGAAAGAAGCATTCTGTGAAACTTGTTTGTGAGGTGTGTACTCAACTAACAGAGTTGAACCTTTCTTTTTACAGAGCAGTTTTGAAACACTCTTTTTGTAGAATCTGCGAGGGCATATTTGGATAGATTTCAGAATTTCGTTGGAAAGGGGAATATCTTCATATAAAATCTCGACAGAAGCATTCTCAGAAACTTCTTTGTGATATGTGCATTCAAGTCACAGAGTTGAATATTCCCTTTCACAGAGTAGGTTTGAAACACTCTTTTTGTAGTATCTGGAAGTGGACATTTGGAGCGCCTTGATGCCTACGGTGAAAAGGGAAATATCTTCCCATAAAAATTCGACAGAAGGAATCTCAGAATCTTCTTTGGGATATATGCACGCAACTAACAGAGTTGAACCTTTCTATTGACAGAGCAGTTTTGAAACAGTCTTTCTGTGGAATCTGCAAGTGGATATTTGGATAGCTTGGAGGATTTCGTTGGAAACGGGATTACGTATAAAAAGTAGACAGCAGCATCCTCAGAAACTTCTTTGTGATGTGTGCATTCAAGTCACAGAGTTGAACATTCCTTTTCGTACAGCAGTTTTGAAACACTCTTTCTGTAGTATCTGGAAGTGAACATTAGGACAGCTTTCAGCTCTATGGTGAGAAAGGAAATATCTTCAAATAAAAACTAGACAGAAGCATTCTCATAAACTTGTTTGTGATGTGTCAACTCAGCTAACAGAGGTGGATCTTTCTTTTGATAGAGCAGTTCTGAAAAACACTTTTTGTTGAATCTGCAAGTGGAGATTTGGATAGATTTGAAGATTTCGTTGGAAACGGGAATATCTTCATATCAAATCTAGACAGAAGCATTCTCAGAAACGTCTTTGCGATGTTTGCATTCAACTCATAGAGTTGAACATTCCCTTTCAGAGAGCAGCTTTGAGGCACTCTTTTTGTAGTATGTGCAAGTGGATATTTGGAGCGCCCTGAGGCCTACGGGGAAAAAGCAAATATCTTCCCATAACCACTAGACAGAAACATTCTCAGAAACTGCTTTATGACGTATGCACTCACCTAACAGAGAAGAACCTTCCTTTTGACAGAGCAGTTTTGATACACTCTTTTTGTAGAATCAGCAAGTGGATATTTGGATAGCTGTGAAGATTTCGTTGGAAACGGGAATATCTTCCTATAAAATCTAGACAGAAGCATTCTCAGAAACTGCCCTGTGATGTCTGCATTCAAGTCACAGAGTTGAACATTGCCTTTCATAGAGCAGGTTTGAAACGCTCTTTTTGTAGTATATGGAAGTAGACGTTTCGGACGGTTTGAGGCCCATGGTGATAAAGGGAATATCTTCCCCTACAAGCTAGAAAGAAGCATTCTGTGAAACTTGTTTGTGATGTGTATACTCAACTAACAGAGTTGAACCTTTCTTTTTACAGAGCAGTTTTGAAACACTCTTTTTGTAGAATCTGCGAGGGGATATTTGGATAGATTTCAGGATTTCGTTGGAAACGGGAATATCTTCATTTAAAATCTCGACAGAAGCATTCTCAGAAACTTCTTTGTGATATCTGCCTTCAAGTCACAGAGTTGAATATTCCCTTTCGCAGAGTAGGTTTGAAACACTCTTTTTGTAGTATCTGGAAGTGGACAATTGGAGCTCCTTGACACCTACGGTGAAAAGGGAAATATCTTCCCATAAATACTAGACAGAAGCAATCTCAGAATCTTCTTTGGGATATGTGCACGCAGCTAACAGAGTTGAACCTTTCTATTGACAGAGCAGTTTTGAAACAGTCTTTCTGTGGAATCTGCAAGTGGATATTTTGATAGATTGGAGGATTTCGTTGGAAACGGGATTACGTATAAAAAGTAGACAGCAGCATCCTCAGAAACTTCTTTGTGATGTGCGCATTCAAGTCACAGAGTTGAATATTCCCTTTCGTACAGCATTTTTGAAACACTCTTTCTGTAGTATCTGGAAGTGAACATTAGGACAGCTTTCAGGTCTATGGTGAGAAAGGAAATATCTTCAAATAAAAACTAGACAGAAGCATTCTCATAAACATGTTTGCGATGTCTGAACTCAGCTAACAGAGGTGGATCTTTCTTTTGATAGAGCAGTTCTGAAAAACACTTTTCGTTGAATCTGCAAGTGGACATTTGGATAGATTTGAAGATTTCGTTGGAAACGGGAATATCTTCATATCAAATCTAGACAGAAAGCATTCTCGGAAACGTCTTTGTGATGTTTGCATTCAACTCATAGTATTTGAACATTCCGTTTCAGAGAGCAGCTTTGAGGCACTCATTTTGTAGTATGTGCAAGTGGATATTGGGAGCGCTCTGAGGCCTTCGGTGAAAAAGCAAATATCTTCCCATAACCACTAGACAGAAACATTCTCAGAAACTCGTTTATGACGTATGCACTCACCTAACAGAGAAGAACCTTCCATTTGACAGAGCAGTTTTGATGCACTCTTTTTGTAGAATCTGCAAGTGGATATTTGGATAGCTGTGAAGATTTTGCTGGAAACGGGAATATCTTCCTATAAAATCTAGACAGAAGCATTCTCAGAAACTGCTCTGTGATGTCTGCATTCAAGTCACAGAGTTGAACATTGCCTTTCATGGAGCAGGTTTGAAACGCTCTTTTTGTAGTATATGGAAGTGGACGATTCGGATGGTTTGAGGCCCATGGTGATAAAGGGAATATCTTCCCCTACGAGCTAGAAAGAAGCATTCTGTGAAACTTGTTTGTGATGTGTGTACTCAACTAACAGAGTTGAACCTTTCTTTTTACAGAGCAGTTTTGAAACACTCTTTTTGTAGAATCTGCGAGGGGAAGTTTGGATAGATTTCAGGATTTAGTTGGAAACGGGAATATCTTCATATAAAATCTCGACAGAAGCATTCTCATAAGCTTCTTTGTGATATGTGCATTCAAGTCACAGAGTTGAATATTCCCTTTCACAGAGTAGGTTTGAAACACTCTTTTTGTAGTATCTGAAGTGGACATTTGGAGCGCCTTGACGCCTACGGTGAAAAGGGAAATACCTTCTCATAAAAAGTAGACAGAAGCAATCTCAGAATCTTCTTTGGGATATATGCACGCAGCTAACAGAGTTGAACCTTTCTATTGACAGAGCAGTTTTGAAACAGTCTTTCTGTGGAATCTGCAAGTGGATATTTGGATAGCTTGGAGGATTTCGTTGGAAACGGGATTACGTATAAAATGTAGAAAGCCGCATCCTCAGAAACTTCTTTGTGATGTGTGCATTCAAGTCACAGAGTTGAATATTCCCTTTCGTACAGCAGTTTTGAAACACTCTTTCTGTAGTATCTGGAAGTGAACATTAGGACAGCTTTCAGGTCTATGGTGAGAAAGGAAATATCTTCAAATAAAAACTAGACAGAAGCAGTCTGATAAACTTGTTTGTGAAGTGTGAACTCAGCTAACAGAGGTGGATCTTTCTTTTGATACAGCAGTTTTGAAAAACACTTTGTTGAATCTGCAAGTGGACATTTGTATAGATTTGAAAATTTCGTTGGAAACGGGAATATCTTCATATCAAATCTAGACAGAAGCATTCTCAGAAACGTCTTTGTGATGTTTGCATTCAACTCATAGAGTTGAACATTCCGTTTCAGAGAGCAGCTTTGAAGCACTCTTTTTGTAGTATGTGCAAGTGGACATTTGGAGCGCTTTGAGGCCTACGGTGAAAAAGCAAATATGCTTCCCATAACCACTAGACAGAAACATTCTCAGAAACTCCTGTATGACGTATGCACTCACCTAACAGAGAAGAACCTTCCTTTTGACAGAGCAGTTTTGATACACTCTTTTTGTAGAATCTGCAAGTGGATATTTGGATAGCTGTGAAGGTTTCGTTGGAAACGGGAATATCTTCCTATAAAATCTAGACAGAAGCATTCTCAGAAACTGCTGCTGTGATGTCTGCATTCAAGTCACAGAGTTGAACATTGCCTTTCATAGAGCAGGTTTGAAACGCTCTTTTTGTAGTATATGGAAGTAGACGTTTCGGACGGTTTGAGGCCCATGGTGATAAAGGGAATATCTTCCCCTACAAGCTAGAAAGAAGCATTCTGTGAAACTTGTTTGTGATGTGTGTACTCAACTAACAGAGTTGAACCTTCCTTTTTACAGAGCAGTTTTGAAACACTCTTTTTGTAGAATCTGCGAGGGGATATTTGGATAGATTTCAGGATTTCGTTGGGAACGGGAATATCTTCATATAAAATCTCGACAGAAGCATTCTCAGAAACTTCTTTGTGATATGTGCATTCAAGTCACAGAGTTGAATATTCCCTTTCACAGAGTAGGTTTGAAACACTCTTTTTGTAGTATCTGGAAGTGGACATTTGGAGCGCCTTGACGCCTACGGTGAAAAGGGAAATATCTTCCCATAAAAACGAGACAGAAGCAATCTCAGAATCTTCTTTGGGATATATGCACGCAGCTAACAGTGTTGAACCTTTCTATTGACAGAGCAGTTTTGAAACAGTCTTTCTGTGGAATCTGCAAGTGGATATTTGGATAGCTTGGAGGATTTCGTTGGAAACGGGATTACGTATAAAAAGTAGACAGCAGCATCCTCAGAAACTTCTTTGTGATGTGTGCATTCAAGTCACAGAGTTGAACATTCCCTTTCGTACACCAGTTTTGAAAGACTCTTTCTGTAGCATCTGGAAGTGAACATTAGGACAGCTTTCAGGTCTATGGTGAGAAAGGAAATATCTTCAAATAAAAACTAGACAGAAGCATTCTCATAAACTTGTTTGTGATGTGTGAACTCAGCTAACAGAGGTGGATCTTTCTTTTGATAGAGCAGTTCTGAAAAACACTTTTTGTTGAATCTGCAAGGGGACATTTGGATAGATTTGAAGATTTCGTTGGAAACGGGAATATCTTCATATCAAATGTAGACAGAAGCATTCTCGGAAACGTCTTTGTGATGTTTGCATTCAACTCATAAAGTTGAACATTCCGTTTCAGAGAGCAGCTTTGAGGCACTCTTTTTGTAGTATGTGCAAGTGGATATTTGGAGCGCTCTGAGGCCTTCTGTGAAAAAGCAAATATCTTCCCATAACCACTAGACAGAAAACATTCTCAGAAACTCCTTTATGACGTATGCACTCACCTAACAGAGAAGAACCTTCCTTTTGACAGAGCAGTTTTGATACACTCTTTTTGTAGAATCTGCAAGAGGATATTGGGATAGCTGTGAAGATTTCGTTGGAAACGGGAATATCTTCCTATAAAATCTAGACAGAAGCATTCTCAGAAACTGCTCTGTGATGTCTGCATTCAAGTCACAGAGTTGAACATTGCCTTTCATAGAGCAGGTTTGAAACGCTCTTTTTGTAGTATATGGAAGTGGACGTTTCGGACGGTTTGAGGCCCATGGTGATAAAGGGAATATCTTGCCCTACAAGCTAGAAAGACAAGCATTCTGTGAAACTTGTTTGTGATGTGTGTACTCAACTAACAGAGTTGAACCTTTCTTTTTACAGAGCAGTTTTGAAACACTCTTTTTGTAGAATCTGCGAGGGGATATTTGGATAGATTTCAGGATTTCGTTGGAAAGGGGATTATCTTCATATAAAATCTCGACAGAAGCATTCTCAGAAACTTCTTTGTGATATCTGCATTCAAGTCACAGAGTTGAATATTCCCTTTCACAGAGTCGGTTTGAAACACTCTTTTTGTAGTATCTGGAAGTGGACATTTGGAGCGCCTTGACGCCTACAGTGAAAAGGGAAATATCTTCCCATAAAAACTAGACAGAAGAAATCTCAGAATCATCTTTGGGATATATGCACGCAGCTAACAGAGTTGAACCTTTCTATTGACAGAGCAGTTTTGAAACAGTCTTTCTGTGGAATCTGCAAGTGGATATTTGGATAGCTTGGAGGATTTCGTTGGAAACGGGATTACGTATAAAAAGTAGACAGCAGCATCCTCAGAATCTTCTTTGTGATGTGTGCATTCAAGTCAAAGAGTTGAACATTCCCTTTCGTACAGCAGTTTTGAAACACTCTTTCTGTAGTATCTGGAAGTGAACATTAGGACAGCTTTCAGGTCTATGGTGAGAAAGGAAATATCTTCAAATAAAAACTAGACAGAAAGCATTCTCAAGAACTTGTTTGTTATGTGTGAACTCAGCTAACAGAGGTGGATGTTTCTTTTGATAGAGCAGTTCTGAAAAACACGTTTTGTTGAATCTGCAAGTGGACATTTGGATAGATTTGAAGATGTCGTTGGAAACGGGAATATCTTCATATCAAATCTAGACAGAAGCATTCTCAGAAACGTCTTTGTGATGTTGGCATTCAACTCATAGAGTTGAACATTCCGTTTCAGAGAGCAGCTTTGAGGCACTCTTTTTGTAGTATGTGCAAGTGGATATTTTGAGCGCTCTGAGGCCTACGGTGAAAAAGCAAATATCTTCCCATAACCACTAGACAGAAACATTCTCAGAAACTCCTTTATGACGTATGTACTCAACTAACAGAGAAGAACCTTCTTTTTGACAGAGCATTTTTGATACACTCTTTTTGTAGAATCTCCAAGTGGATATTTGGATAGCTGTGAAGATTTCGTTGGAAACGGGAATATCTTCCTATAAAATCTAGACAGAAGCATTCTCAGAAACTGCTCTGTGATGTCTGCATTCAAGTCACAGAGTTGAACATTGCCTTTCATAGAGCAGGTTTGAAACGCTCTTTTTTTAGTATATGGAAGTTGACGTTTCGGACGGTTTGAGGCCCATGGTGATAAAGGGAATATCTTCCCCTACAAGCTAGAAAGAAGCATTCTGTGAAACTTGTTTGTGATGTGTGTACTCAACTAACAGAGTTGAACCTTTCTTTCTACAGAGCAGTTTTGAAACACTCTTTTTGTAGAATCTGCGAGGGGATATTTGGATAGATTTCAGGATTTCGTTGGAAAGGGGAATATCTTCATATAAAATCTCGACAGAAGCATTCTCAGAAACTTCTTTGTGATATGTGCATTCAAGTCACAGAGTTGAATATTCCCTTTCACAGAGTAGGTTTGAAACACTCTTTTTGTAGTATCTGGAAGTGGACATTTGGAGCGCCTTGACGCTTACGGTGAAAAGGGAAATATCTTCCCATAAAAACTAGACAGAAGCAATCTCAGAATCTTCTTTGGGATATATGCACGGAGCTAACAGAGTTGAACCTTTCTATTGACAGAGCAGTTTTGAAACAGTCTTTCTGTGGAATCTGCAAGTGGATATTTGGATAGCTTGGAGGATTTCGTTGGAAACGGGATTACGTATAAAAAGTAGACAGCAGCATCCTCCGAAACTTCTTTGTGATGTGTGCATTCAAGTCACAGAGTTGAACATTCCCTTTCGTACAGCAGTTTGGAAACACTCTTTCTGTAGTATCTGGAAGTGAACATTAGGACAGCTTTCAGCTCTATGGTGAGAAAGGAAATATCTTCAAATAAAAACTAGACAGAAGCATTCTCATAAACTTGTTCGTAATGTGTGAACTCAGCTAACACACGTGGATCTTTCTTTTGATAGAGCAGTTCTGAAAAACACTTTTTGTTGAATCTGCAAGTGCACATTTGGATAGATTTGAAGATTTCGTTGGAAACGGGAATATCTTCATATCAAATCTAGACAGAAGCATTCTCAGAAACGTCTTTGCGATGTTTGCATTCAACTCATAGATTTGAACATTCCGTTTCAGAGAGCAGCTGTGAGGCACTCTTTTTGTAGTATGTGCAAGTGGATATTTGGAGCGCTCTGAGGCCTACGGTGAAAAAGCAAATATCTTCCCATAACCACTAGACAGAAGCATTCTCAGAAACTCCTTTATGAAGTATGTACTCAACTAACAGAGAAGAACCTTCCTTTTGACAGAGCAGTTTTGATACACTCTTTTTGTAGAATCTGCAAGTGGATATTTGGATAGCTATGAAGATTTCGTTGGAAACGGGAATATCTTCCTATAAAATCTAGACAGAAGCATTCTCAGAAACTGCTCTGTGATGTCTGCATTCAAGTCACAGAGTTGAACATTGCCTTTCATAGAGCAGGTTTGAAACGCTCTTTTTGTATTATATGGAAGTGGACTTATCGGACGGTTTGAGGCCCATGGTGATAAAGGGAATATCTTCCCCTACAAGCTAGAAAGAAGCATTCTATGAAACTTGTTTGTGATGTGTGTACTCAACTAACAGAGTTGAACCTTTCTTTTTACAGAGCAGCTTTGAAACACTCTTTTTGTAGAATCTGCGAGGGGATATTTGGATAGATTTCAGGATTTCGTTGGAAACGGGAATATCTTCATATAAAATCTCGACAGAAGCATTCTCAGAAACTTCTTTGTGATATGTGCATTCAAGTCACAGAGTTGAATATTCGCTTTCACAGAGGAGGTTTGAAACACTCTTTTTGTAGTATCTGGAAGTGGACATTTGGAGCGCCTTGACGCCTACGGTGAAAAGGGAAATATCTTCCCATAAAAACTAGACAGAAGCAATCTCAGAATCTTCTTTGGGATATATGCACGCAGCTAACAGAGTTGAACCTTTCTATTGACAGAGCAGTTTTGAAACAGTCTTTCTGTGGAATCTGCAAGTGGATATTTGGATAACTTGGAGGATTTCGTTGGAAACGGGATTAAGTATAAAAAGTAGACAGCAGCATCCTCAGAAACTTCTTTGAGATGTGTGCATTCAAGTCACAGAGTTGAACATTCCCTTTCGTACAGCAGTTTTGAAACACTCTTTCTGTAGTAACTGGAAGTGAACATTAGGACAGCTTTCAGGTCTATGGTGAGAAAGGAAATATCTTCAAATAAAAACTAGACAGAAGCTTTCTGATAAACTTGTTTGTGAAGTGTGAACTCAGCTAACAGAGGTGGATCTTTCTTTTGATACAGCAGTTTTGAAAAACACTTTGTTGAATCTGCAAGTGGACATTTGGATAGATTTGATGATTTCGTTGGAAACGGGAATATCTTCATATCAAATCTAGACAGAAGCATTCTCAGAAACGTCTTTGTGATGTTTGCATTCAACTCATAGAGTTGAACATTCCGTTTCAGAGAGGAGGTTTGAAGCACTCTTTTTGTAGTATGTGCAAGTGGATATTTGGAGCGCTCTGAGGCCTACGGTGAAAAAGCAAATATCTTCCCATAACCACTAGACAGAAACATTCTCAGAAACTCCTTTATGACGTATGCACTCACCTAACAGAAAAGAACCTTCCTTTTGACAGAGCAGTTTTGATACACTCTTTTTGTGGAATCTGCAAGTGGATATTTGGATAGCTGTGAAGATTTCGTTGGAAACGGGAATATCTTCCTATAAAATCTAGACAGAAGCATTCTGTGAAACTTGTTTGTGATGTGTGTACTCAACTAACAGAGTTGAACCTTTCTTTTTACAGAGCAGTTTTGAAACACTCTTTTTGTAGAATCTGCGAGGGGATATTTGGATACATTTCAGCATTTCGTTGGAAACGGGAATATCTTCATATAAAATGCTCGACAGAAGCATTCTCAGAAACTTCTTTTTGATATGTGCATTCAAGTCACAGAGTTGAATATTCCCTTTCACAGAGTAGGTTTGAAACACTCTTTTTGTAGTATCTGGAAGTGGACATTTGGAGCGCCTTGACGCCTACGGTGAAAAGGGAAATATATTCCCATAAAAACTAGACAGAAGCAATCTCAGAATCTTCTTTGGGATATATGCACGCAGCTAACAGAGTTGAACCTTTCTATTGACAGAGCAGTTTTGAAAAAGTCTTTCTGTGGAATCTGCAAATGGATATTTGGATAGCTTGGAGGATTTCGTTGGAAACGGGATTACGTATAAAAAGTAGCCAGCAGCATTCTCAGAAACTTCGTTGTGATGTGTGCATTCAAGTCACAGAGTTCAACATTCCCTTTCGTAGAGCAGGTTTGAAACACTCTTTCTCTAGTATCTGGAAGTGAACGTTACGAGAGCTTTCAGGTCTATGGTGAGAAAGAAAATATCTTCAAATAAAAACTAGACAGAAGCATTCTCATAAACTTGTTTGTGATGTGTGAACTCAACTAACAGAGGTGGATCTTTCTTTTCATATAGCAGTTTTGAAAAACACTTTTTGTTGAATCTGCAAGTGGACATTTGGATAGATTTGAAGATTTCGTTGGAAACGGGAATATCTTCATATCAAAACTAGACAGAAGCATTCTCAGAAACGTCTTTGTGATGTTTGCATTCAACTCATAGAGTTGAACATTCCCTTTCAGAGAGCAGCTGTGAAGCACTCTTTTTGTAGTATGTGCAAGTGGATATTTGGAGCGCTACTGAGGCCTACGGTGAAAAAGCAAATATCTTCCCATAACCACTAGACAGAAACATTCTCAGAAACTCCTTTATGATGTATGCACTCACCTAACAGAGAAGAACCTTCCTTTTGACAGAGCAGTTTTGATACACTCTTTTTGTAGAATCTGCAAGTGGATATTTGGATAGCTGTGAAGATTTCGTTGGAAACGGGAATATCTTCCTATAAAATCTAGACAGAAGCATTCTCAGAAACTGCTCTGTGATGTCTGCATTCAAGTCACAGAGTTGAACATTGCCTTTCATAGAGCAGGTTTGAAATGCTCTTTTTGTAGTATATGGAAGTGGACGTTTCACACGGTTTGAGGCCGATGGTGATAAAGGGAATATCTTCCCCTACAAGCTAGAAAGAAGCATTCTGTGAAACTTGTTTGTGATGTGTGTACTCAACTAACAGAGTTGAACCTTTCTTTTTACAGAGCAGTTTTGAAACACTCTTTTTGTAGAATCTGCGAGGGGATATTTGGATAGATTTCAGGATTTCGTTGTAAACGAGAATATCTTCATATAAAATCTCGACAGAAGCATTCTCAGAAACTTCTTTGTGATATGTGCATTCAAGTCACAGAGTTGAATATTCCCTTTCACAGAGTAGGTTTGAAACACTCTTTTTGTAGTATCTGGAAGTGGACATTTGGAGCGCCTTGACGCCTACGGTGAAAAGGGAAATATCTTCCCATACAAACTAGACCGAAGCAATCTCAGAATCTTCTTTGGGATATATGCACGCAGCTAACAGAGTTGAACCTTTCTATTGACAGAGCAGTTTTGAAACAGTCTTTCTGTGGAATCTGCAAGTGGATATTTGGATAGATTCGAGGATTTCGTTGGAAACGGGATTACGTATAAAAAGTAGACAGCAGCATCCTCAGAAACTTCTTTGTGATGTGTGCATTCAAGTCACAGAGTTGAACATTCCCTTTCGTACAGCAGTTTTGAAACACTCTTTCTGTAGTATCTGGAAGTGAACATTAGGACAGCTTTCAGGTCTATGGTGAGAAAGGAAATATCTTCAAATAACAACTAGACAGAAGCATTCTCATCAACTTGTTTGTGATGTGTGAACTCAGCTAACAGAGGTGGATCTTTCTTTTGATAGAGCAGTTCTGAAAAACACGTTTTGTTGAATCTGCAAGTGGACATTTGGATAGATTTGAAGATTTCGTTGGAAACGGGAATATCGTCATATCAAATCTAGACAGAAGCATTCTCAGAAACGTCTTTGTGATGTTTGCATTCAACCCATAGAGTTGAACATTCCGTTTCAGAGAGCAGCTTTGAGGCACTCTTTTTGTAGTATGTGCAAGTGGATATTTGGTGCGCTGTGAGGCCTACGGTGAAAAAGCAAATATCTTCCCAAAACCACTAGACAGAAACATTCTCAGAAACTCCTTTATGACGTATGCACTCACCTAACAGAGAAGAACCTTCCTTTTGACAGACCAGTTTTGATACACTCTTTTTGTAGAATCTGCAAGTGGATATTTGGATAGCTGTGAAGATTTCGTTGGAAACGGGAATATCTTCCTATAAAATCTAGACAGAAGCATTCTCAGAAACTGCTCTGTGATGTCTGCATTCAAGTCACAGAGTTGAACATTGCGTTTCATAGAGCAGGTTTGAAACTCTCTTTTTGTAGTATATGGAAGTGGACGTTTCGGACGGTTTGAGGCCCATGGTGATAAAGGGAATATCTTCCCCTACAAGCTAGAAAGAAGCATTCTGTGAAACTTGTTTGTGATGTGTGTACTCAAGTAACAGAGTTGAACCTTTCTTTTTACAGAGCAGTTTTGAAACGCTCTTTCTGTAGAATCTGCGAGGGGATATTTGGATAGATTTCAGGATTTCGTTGGAAACTGGAATATCTTCATATAAAATCTCGACAGAAGCATTCTCAGAAACTTCTTTGTGATATGTGCATTCAAGTCACAGAGTTGAATATTCCCTTTCACAGAGTAGGTTTGAAACACTCTTTTTGTAGTATCTGGAAGTGGACATTTGGAGCGCCTTGACGCCTACGGTGGAAAGGGAAATATCTTCCCATAAAAACTAGACAGAAGCAATCTCAGAATCTTCTTTGGGATATATGCACGCAGTTAACAGAGTTGAACCTTTCTATTGACAGAGCAGTTTTGAAACAGTCTTTCTGTGGAATCTGCAAATGGATATTTGGATAGCTTGGAGGATTTCGTTGGAAACGGGATTATGTATAAAAAGTAGACAGCAGCATCCTTAGAAACTTCTTTGTGATGTGTGCATTCAAGTCACAGAGTTGAACATTCCCTTTCGTACAGCAGTTTTGAAACACTCTTTCTGTAGTATCTGGAAGTGAACATTAGGACAGCTTTCAGCTCTATGGTGAGAAAGGAAATATCTTCAAATAAAAACTAGACAGAAGCATTCTCATAAACTTGTTTGTGATGTGTGATCTCAACTAACAGAGGTGGGTCTTTCTTTTGATACACCAGTTATGAAAAACCCTTTTAATTGAATCTGCAAGTGGACATTTGGATAGATTTGAAGATTTCGTTGGAAACGGGAATATCTTCATATCAAATCTAGACAGAAGCATTCTCAGAAACGTCTTTGTCATGTTTGCATTCAACTCATAGAGTTGAACATTCCGTTTCAGAGAGCAGCTTTGAAGCACTCTTTTTGTAGTATGTGCAAGTGGATATTTGGAGCACTCTGAGGCCTACGGTGAAAAAGCAAATATCTTCCCATAACCACTAGACAGAAACAATCTCAGAAACTCCTTTATGACGTATGCACTCACCTAACAGAGAAGAACCTTCCTTTTCACAGAGCAGTTTTGATACACTCTTTTTGTAGAATCTGCAAGTGGATATTTGGATAGCTGTGAAGATTTCGTTGGAAACGAGAATATCTTCCTATAAAATCTAGACAGAAGCATGCTCAGAAACTGCTCTGTGATGTCTGCATTCAAGTCACAGAGTTCAACATTGCCTTTCATAGAGCAGGTTTGAAACGCTCTTTTTGTAGTATATGGAAGTGGAAATTTCGAGCCGTTTGAGGCCCATGGTGATAAAGGAAATATCTTCCCCTACAAGCTAGAAAGAAGCATTCTGTGAAACTTGTTTGTGATGTGTGTACTCAACTAACAGAGTTGAACCTTTCTTTTTACAGAGCAGTTTTGAAACACTCTTTTTGTGGAATCTGCGAGGGGATATTTGGATAGATTTCAGGATTTCGTTGGAAACGGGAATATCTTAATATAAAATCTCGACAGAAGCATTCTCAGAAACTTCTTTGTGATATCTGCATTCAAGTCACAGAGTTGAATATTCCCTTTCACAGAGTAGGTTTGAAACACTCTTTGTAGTATCTGGAAGTGGACATTTGGAGCACCTTGACACCTACGGTGAAAAGGGAAATATCTTCCCATAAAAACTAGACAGAAGCAATCTCAGAATCTTCTTTGGGATATATGCACGCAGCTAACCGAGTTGAACCTTTCTATTAACAGAGCATTTTTGAAACAGTCTTTCTGTGGAATCTGCAAGTGGATATTTGGATAGCTTGGAGGATTTCGTTGGAAACGGGATTACGTATAAAAAGTAGACAGCAGCATCCTCAGAAACTTCTTTGTGATGTGTGCATTCAAGTCACAGATTTGAACATTCCCTTTCGTACAGCAGTTTTGAAACACTCTTTCTGTAGTATCTGGAAGTGAACATTAGGACAGCTTTCAGCTCTATGGTGAGAAAGGAAATATCTTCAAATAAAAACTAGACAGAAGCATTCTCATAAACTTGTTTGTGATGTGTGAACGCAGCTAACAGAGGTGGATCTTTCTTTTGATACAGCAGTTTTGAAAAACACTTTTTGTTGAATCTGCAAGTGGACATTTGGATAGATTTGAAGATTTCTTTGGAAACGGGAATATCTTCATATCAAATCTAGACAGAAGCATTCTCAGAAACGTCTTTGTGATGTTTGCATTCAACTCATAGCAGTTGAACATTCCGTTTCAGAGAGCAGCTTTGAAGCACTCTTTTTGTAGTATGTGCAAGTGGATATTTGGAGCGCTCTGAGGCCTACGGTGAAAAAGCAAATATCTTCCCATAACCACTAGACAGAAACATTCTCAGAAACTCCTTTATGACGTATGCACTCACCTAACAGAGAAGAACCTTCCTTTTGACAGAGCAGTTTTGATACACTCTTTTTGTAGAATCTGCAAGTGGATATTGGGATAGCTGTGAAGATATCGTTGGAAACGGGAATATCTTCCTATAAAATCTAGACAGAAGCATTCTCAGAAACTGCTCTGTGATGTCTGCATTCAAGTCACAGAGTTGAACATTGCCTTTCCTAGAGCAGGTTTGAAACGCTCTTTTTGTAGTATATGGAAGTGGACGTTTCGGACGGTTTGAGGACCATGGTGATAAAGGGAATATCTTCCCCTGCAAGCTAGAAAGAAGCATTCTGTGAAACTTGTTTGTGATGTGTGTACTCAACTAACAGAGTTGAACCTTTCTTTTTACAGAGCAGTTTTGAAACACTCTTTTTGTAGAATCTGCGAGGGGATATTTGGATAGATTTCAGGATTTCGTTGGAAACGGGAATATCTTCATATAAAAGATCGACAGAAGCATTCTCAGAAACTTCTTTGTGATATGTGCATTCAAGTCACAGAGTTGAACATTCCCTTTCGTACAGCAGTTTTGAAACACTCTTTCTGTAGTATCTGGAAGTGAACATTAGGACAGCTTTCAGCTCTATGGTGAGAAAGGAAATATCTTCAAATAAAAACTAGACAGAAGCATTCTCGTAAACTTGTTTGTGATGTGTGAGCTCAGCTAACAGAGGTGGATCTTTCTTTTGATAGAGCAGTTCTGAAAAACACTTTTTGTTGAATCTGCAAGTGGACATTTGGATAGATTTGAAGATTTCGTTGGAAACGGGAATATCTTCATATCAAATTTTGACAGAAGCATCCTCAGAAACTTCTTTTTGATGTGTGCATTCAAGTCACAGAGTTGAACATTCCCTTTCGTACAGCAGTTTTGAAACACTCTTTCTGTAGTATCTGGAAGTGAACATTAGGACAGCTTTCAGGTCTATGGTGAGAAAGGAAATATCTTCAAATAAAAACTAGACAGAAGCATTCTAATAAACTTGTTTGTGATGTGTGAACTCATCTAACACAGGTGGATCTTTCTTTTGATAGAGCAGTTCTGAAAAACACTTTTTGTTGAATCTGCAAGTGGACATTTGGATAGATTTGAAGATTTCGTTGGAAACGGCAATATCTTCATATCAAATCTAGACAGAAGCATTCTCAGAAACGTCTTTGCGATGTTTGCATTCAACTCATAGAGTTGAACATTCCGTTTCAGAGAGCAGCTTTGAGGCACTCTTTTTGTAGTATGTGCAAGTGGATATTTGGAGCGCTACTGAGGCCTACGGTGAAAAAGCAAATATCTTCCCATAACCACTAGACAGAAACATTCTCAGAAACTCCTTTATGATGTATGCACTCACCTAACAGAGAAGAACCTTCCTTTTGACAGAGCAGTTTTGATACACTCTTTTTGTAGAATCTGCAAGTGGATAGTTGGATAGCTGTGAAGATTTCGTTGCAAACGGGAATATCTTCCTATAAAATCTAGACAGAAGCATTCTCAGAAACTGCTCTGTGATGTCTGCATTCAAGTCACAGAGTTGAACACTGCCTTTCCTAGAGCAGGTTTGAAACGCTCTTTTTGTAGTATATGGAAGTGGACGTTTCGGACGGTTTGAGGCCCATGGTGATAAAGGGAATATCTTCCCCTACAAGCTAGAAAGAAGCATTCTGTGAAACTTGTTTGTGATGTGTGTACTCAACTAACAGAGTTGGACCTTTCTTTTTACAGAGCAGTTTTGAAACACTCTTTTTGTAGAATCTGTGAGGGGATATTTGGATAGATTTCAGGATTTCGTTGGAAACGAGAATATCTTCATATAAAATCTCGACAGAAGCATTCTCAGAAACTTCTTTGTGATATGTGCATTCAAGTCACAGAGTTGAATATTCCCTTTCACAGAGTAGGTTTGAAACACTCTTTTTGTAGTATCTGGAAGTGGACATTTGGAGCGCCTCGACGCCTACGGTGAAAAGGGAAATATCTTCCCATAAAAACTAGACAGAAGCAATCTCAGAATCTTCTTTGGGATATATGCACGCAGCTAACAGAGTTGAACCTTTCTATTGACAGAGCAGTTTTGAAACAGTATTTCTGTGGAATCTGCAAGTGGATATTTGGATAGCTTGGAGGATTTCGTTGGAAACGGGATTACGTATAAAAAGTAGACAGCAGCATCCTCAGAAACTTCTTTGTGATGTGGGCATTCAAGTCACAGAGTTGAACATTCCCTTTCGTACATCAGTTTTGAAACGCTCTTTCTGTAGTATCTGGAAGTGAACATTAGGACAGCTTTCAGGTCTATGGTGAGAAAGGAAATATCTTCAAATAAAAACTAGACAGAAGCATTCTCATCAACTTCTTTGTGATGTGTGAACTCAGCTAACAGAGGTGGATCTTTCTTTTGATAGAGCAGTTCTGAAAAACACTTTTTGTTGAATCTGCAAGTGGACATTTGGATAGATTTGAAGATTTCGTTGGAAACGGGAATATCTTCATATCAAATCTAGACAGAAGCATTCTCAGAAACGTCTTTGTGATGTTTGCATTCAACTCATAGATTTGAACATTCCGTTTCAGAGAGCAGCTTTGAGGCACTCTTTTTGTAGTATGTGCAAGTGGATATTTGGAGCGCTCTGAGGCCTACGGTGAAAAAGCAAATATCTTCCCATAACCACTAGACAGAAACATTCTCAGAAACTCCTTTGTGACGTATGCACTCAAGTAACAGAGAAGAACCTTCCTTTTGACAGAGCAGTTTTGATACACTCTTTTTGTAGAATCTGCAAGTGGATATTTGGATAGCTGTGAAGATTTCGTTGGAAACGGGAATATCTTCCTATGAAATCTAGACAGAAGCATTCTCAGAAACTGCTCTGTGATGTCTGCATTCAAGTCACAGAGTTGAACATTGCCTTTCATAGAGCAGGTTTGAAACGCTCTTTTTGTAGTATATGGAAGTGGATGTTTCGGACGGTTGGAGGTCCATGGTGATAAAGGGAATATCTTCCCCTACAAGCTAGAAAGAGAAGCATTCTGTGAAACTTGTTTGTGATGTGTGTACTCAACTAACAGAGTTGAACCTTTCTTTTTACAGAGCAGTTTTGAAACACTCTTTTTGTAGAATCTGCGAGGGGATATTTCGATAGATTTCAGGATTTCGTTGGAAACGGGAATATCTTCATATAAAATCTCGACAGAAGCATTCTCAGGAACTTCTTTGTGATATCTGCATTCAAGTCACAGAGTTGAATATTCCCTTTCACAGAGTAGGTTTGAAACACTCTTTTTGTAGTATCTGGAAGTGGACATTTGGAGCGCCTTGACGCCTACGGTGAAAAGGGAAATATCTTCCCATAAAAACTAGACAGAAGCAATCTCAGAATCTTCTTTGAGATATATGCACGCAGCTAATAGAGTTGAACCTTTCTATTGACAGAGCAGTTTTGAAACAGTCTTTCTGTGGAATCTGCAAGTGGATATTTGGATAGCTTGGAGGATTTCGTTGGAAACGGGATTACGTATAAAAAATAGACAGCAGCATCCTCAGAAACTTCTTTGTGATGTGTGCATTCAAGTCACAGAGTTGAACATTCCCTTTCGTGCAGCAGTTTTGAAACACTCTTTCTGTAGTATCTGGAAGTGAACATTAGGACAGCTTTCAGGTCTATGGTGAGAAAGGAAATATCTTCAAATAAAAACTAGACAGAAGCATACTCATAAACTTGTTTGTGATGTGTGAACTCAGCTAACAGGGGTGGATCTTTCTTTTGATAGAGCAGTTCTGAAAAACACTTTTTGTTGAATCTGCAAGTGGACATTTGGATAGATTTGAAGATTTCGTTGGAAACGGGAATATCTTCATATCAAATCTAGACAGAAGCATTCTCAGAAACGTCTTTGTGATGTTAGCATTCAACTCATAGAGTTGAACATTCCCTTTCAGAGAGCAGCTTTGAAGCACTCTTTTTGTAGTATGTGCAAGTGGACATTTGGAGCGCTTTGAGGTCTACGGGGAAAAAGCAAATATCTTCCCATAACCACTAGACAGGAACATTCTCAGAAACTCCTTTATGACGTATGCACACACCTAACAGAAAAGAACCTTCCTTTTGACAGAGCAGTTTTGATACACTCTTTTTGTAGAATCTGCAAGTGGATATTTGGATAGCTGTGAAGATTTCGTTGGAAACGGGAATATCTTCCTATAAAATCTAGACAGAAGCATTCTCAGAAACTGCTCTGTGATGTCTGCATTCAAGTCACAGAGTTGAACATTGCCTTTCATAGAGCAGGTTTGAAACGCTCTTTTTGTAGTATATGGAAGTGGACTTTTCGGACGGTTTGAGGCCCATGGTGATAAAGGGAATATACTTCCCCTACAAGCTAGAAAGAAAGCATTCTGTGAAACTTGTTTGTGAGGTGTGTACTCAACTAACAGAGTTGAACCTTTCTTTTTACAGAGCAGTTTTGAAACACTCTTTTTGTAGAATATGTGAGGGGATATTTGGATAGATTTCAGGATTTCGTTGGAAACGGGAATATCTTCATATAAAATCTCGACAGAAGCATTCTCAGAAACTTCTTTGTGATATGTGCATTCACGTCACAGAGTTGAATATTCCCTTTCACAGAGTAGGTTTGAAACACTCTTTTTGTAGTATCTGGAAGTGGACATTTGGAGCGCCTTGACACCTACGGTGAAAAGGGAAATATCTTCCCATAAAAACTAGACAGAAGCAATCTCAGAATCTTCTTTGGGATATATGCCCGCAGCTAACAGAGTTGAACCTTTCTATTGACAGAGCAGTTTTGAAACAGTCTTTCTGTGGAATCTGCAAGTGGATATTTGGATAGCTTGGAGGATTTCGTTGGAAACGGGATTACGTATAAAAAGTAGACAGCAGCATCCTCAGAATCTTCTTTGTGATGTGTGCATTCAAGTCACAGAGTTGAACATTCCCTTTCGTACAGCAGTTTTGAAACACTCTTTCTGTAGTATCTGGGAGTGAACATTAGGACAGCTTTCAGGTCTATGGTGAGAAAGGAAATATCTTCAAATAAAAACTAGACAGACAAGCATTCTCATAAACTTGTTTGTGATGTGTGAACTCAGCTAACAACGGTGGATCTTTCTTTTGATAGAGCAGTTCTGAAAAACACTTTTTGTTGAATCTGCAAGTGGACATTTGGATAGTTTTGAAGATTTCCTTGGAAAAGGGAATATCTTCATATCAAATCTAGACAGAAGCATTCTCAGAAACGTCTTTGCGATGTTTGCATTCAACTCATAGAGTTGAACATTCCGTTTCAGAGAGCAGTTTGAGGCACTCTTTTTGTAGTATGTGCAAGTGGATATTTGGAGCGCTCTGAGGCCTACGGTGAAAAAGCAAATATCTTCCCATAACCACTAGACAGAAACATTCTCAGAAACTCCTTTATGACGTATGCACTCACCTAACAGAGAAGAACCTTCCTTTTGACAGAGCAGTTTTGATACACTCTTTTTGTAGAATCTGCAAGTGGATATTTGGATACCTGTGAAGATTTTGTTGGAAACGGGAATATCTTCCTATAAAATCTAGACAGAAGCATTCTCAGAAACTGCTCTCTGATGTCCGCATTCAAGTCACAGGAGTTGAACATTGCCTTTCCTAGAGCAGGTTTGAAACGCTCTTTTGGTAGTATATGGAAGTGGACGTTTCGGACGGTTTGAGGCCCATGGTGATAAAGGGAATATCTTCCCCTACAAGCTAGAAAGAAGCATTCTGTGAAATTGTTTGTGATGTGTGTACTCAACTAACAGAGTTGAACCTTTCTTTTTACAGAGCAGTTTTGAAACACTCTTTTTGTAGAATCTGCGAGGGGATATTTGGATAGATTTCAGGATTTCGTTGGAAACGGGAATATCTTCATATAAAATCTCGACAGAAGCATTCTCAGAAACTTCTTTGTGATATGTGCATTCAAGTCACAGAGTTGAATATTCCCTTTCACAGAGTAGGTTTGAAACAATCTTTTTGTAGTATCTGGAAGTGGACATTTGGAGCGCCTTGACGCCTACGGTGAAAAGGGAAATATCTTCTCATAAAAAGTAGACAGAAGCAATCTCAGAATCTTCTCTGGGATATATGCACGCAGCTAACAGAGTTGAACCTTTCTATTGACAGAGCAGTTTTGAAACAGTCTTTCTGTGGAATCTGCAAGTGGATATTTGGATAGCTTGGAGGATTTCGTTGGAAACGGGATTACGTATAAAAAGTAGACAGCAGCATCCTCAGAAACTTCTTTGTGATGTGTGCATTCAAGTCACAGAGTTGAACATTCCCTTTCGTACAGCAGTTTTGAAACACTCTTTCTGTAGTATCTGGAAGTGAACATTAGGACAGCTTTCAGCTCTATGGTGAGAAAGGAAATATCTTCAAATAAAAACCAGACAGAAGCATTCTCATAAACTTGTTTGTGATGTGTGAACTCAGCTAACAGACGTGGATCTTTCTTTTGATACAGCAGTTCTGAAAAACACTTTTTGTTGAATCTGCAAGTGGACATTTGGATAGATATGAAGATTTCGTTGGGAAACGGGAATATCTTCATATCAAATCTAGACAGAAGCATTCTCAGAAACGTCTTTGTGATGATTGCATTCAACTCATAGAGTTGAACATTCCGTTTCAGAGAGCAGCTTTGAAGCACTCTTTTTGTAGTATGTGCAAGTGGATATTTGGAGCGCTCTGGGGCCTACGGTGAAAAAGCAAATATCTTCCCATAACCACTAGACAGAAACATTCTCAGAAACTCCTTTATGACGTATGTACTCAACTAACAGAGAAGAACCTTCCTTTTGACAGAGCAGTTTTGATCCACTCTTTTTGTAGAATCTGCAAGTGGATATTTGGATAGCTGTGAAGGTTTCGTTAGAAACGGAAATATCTTCCTATAAAATCTAGACAGAAAGCATTCTCAGAAACTGCTCTGTGATGTCTGCATTCAAGTCACAGAGTTGAACATTGCCTTTCATAGAGCAGGTTTGAAACGCTCTTTTTGTAGTATATTGAAGTGGACGTTTCGGACGGTTTGAGGCCCATGGTGATAAAGGGAATATCTTCCCCTACAAGCTAGAAAGAAGCATTCTGTGAAACTTGTTTCTGATGTGTGTACTCAAGTAACAGAGTTGAACCTTTCTTTTTACAGAGCAGTTTTGAAACACTCTTTCTGTAGAATCTGCGAGGGGATATTTGGATAGATTTCAGGATTTCGTTGGAAACGGGAATATCTTCATATAAAATCTCGACAGAAGCATTCTCAGAAACTTCTTTGTGATATGTGCATTCAAGTCACAGAGTTGAATATTCCCTTTCACAGAGTAGGTTTGAAACACTCTTTTTGTAGTATCTGGAGGTGGACATTTGGAGCGCCTTGACGCCTACGGTGAAAAGGGAAATATCTTCCCATAAAAACTAGACAGAAGCAATCTCAGAATCTTCTTTGTGATATATGCACGCAGCTAACAGAGTTGAACCTTTCTATTGACAGAGCAGTTTTGAAACAGTCTTTCTGTGGAATCTGCAAGTGGATATTTGGATAGCTTGGAGGATTTCGTTGGAAACGGGATTACGTATAAAAAGTAGACAGCAGCATCCTCAGAAACTTCTTTGTGATGTGTGCATTCAAGTCACAGAGTTGAACATTCCCTTTTGTACAGCAGTTTTGAAACACTCTTTCTGTAGTATCTGGAAGTGAACATTAGGACAGCTTTCAGGTCTATGGTGAGAAAGGCAATATCTTCAAATAAAAACTAGACAGAAGCATTCTCATAAACTTGTTTGTGATGTGTGAACTCACCTAAGAGACGTGGATCTTTCTTTTGATAGAGCAGTTCTGAAAAACACTTTTTGTTGAATCTGCAAGTGGACATTTGGATAGATTTGAAGATTTCGTTGGAAACGGGAATATCTTCATATCAAATCTAGACAGAAGCATTCTCAGAAACGTCTTTGTCATGTTTGCATTCAACTCATAGAGTTGAACATTCCCTTTCAGAGAGCAGCTTTGAAGCACTCTTTTTGTAGTATGTGCAAGTGGACATTTGGAGCGCTTTGAGGCCTACGGGGAAAAAGCAAATATCTTCCCATAACCACTAGACAGGAACATTCTCAGAAACTCCTTTATGACGTATGTACTCAACTAAGAGAGAAGAACCTTCCTTTTGACAGAGCAGTTTTGATACACTCTTTTTGTAGAATCTGCAAGTGGATATTTGGATAGCTGTGAAGATTTCGTTGGAAACGGGAATATCTTCCTATAAAATCTAGACAGAAGCATTCTCAGTAAACTGCTCTGTGATGTCTGCATTCAAGTCACAGAGTTGAACATTGCCTTTCATAGAGCAGGTTTGAAACGCTCTTTTTGTAGTATATGGAAGTTGACGTTTCGGACGGTTTGAGGCCCATGGTGATAAAGGGAATATCTTCCCCTACAAGCTAGAAAGAAGCATTCTGTGAAACTTGTTTGTGATGTGTGTACTCAAGTAACAGAGTTGAACCTTTCTTTTTACAGAGCAGTTTTGAAACACTCTTTTTGTAGAATCTGCGAGGGGATATTTGGATAGATTTCAGGATTTCGTTGGAAACGGGAATATCTTCACATAAAATCTCGAAGGAAGCATTCTCAGAAACTTCTTTGTGATATGTGCATTCAAGTCACAGAGTTGAATATTCCCTTTCACAGAGTAGGTTTGAAACACTCTTTTTGTAGTATCTGGAAGTGGACATTTGTAGCGCCTTGACACCTACGGTGAAAAGGGAAATATCTTCCCATAAAAACTAGACAGAAGCAATCTCAGAATCTTCTTTGGGATGTATGCACCCAGCTAACAGAGTTGAACCTTTCTATTGACAGAGCAGTTTTGAAACAGTCTTTTTGTGGAATCTGCAAGTGGATATTTGGATAGCTTGGAGGATTTCGTTGGAAACGGGATTACGTATAAAAAGTAGACAGCAGCATCCTCAGAATCTTCTTTGTGATGTGTGCATTCAAGTCAAAGAGCTGAACATTCCCTTTCGTACAGCAGTTTTGAAACACTCTTTCTCTAGTATCTGGAAGTGAACATTAGGACAGCTTTCAGGTCTATGGTGAGAAAGGAAATATCTTCAAATAAAAACTAGACAGAAGCATTCTCATAAACTTGTTTGTGATGTGTGAACTCAGCTAACAGAGGTGGATCTTTCTTTTGATAGAGCAGTTCTGAAAAACACATTTTGTTGAACCTGCAAGTGGACATTTGGATAGATTTGAAGATTTCGTTGGAAACGGGAATATCTTCATATCAAATCTAGACAGAAGCATTCTCAGCAAACGTCTTTGTGATGTTTGCATTCAACTCATAGAGTTGAACATTCCGTTTCAGAGAGCAGCTTTGAAGCACTCTTTTTGTAGTATGTGCAAGTGGATATTTTGAGCGCTCTGAGGCCTACGGTGAAAAAGCAAATATCTTCCCATAACCACTAGACAGAAACATTCTCAGAAACTTCTTTATGACGTATGTACTCAACTAGCAGAGAAGAACTTTCCTTTTGACAGAGCACTTTTGATACACTCTTTTTGTAGTATCTGCAAGTGGATATTTGGATAGCTGTGAAGATTTCGTTGGAAACGGGAATATCTTCCTATAAAGTCTGGACAGAAGCATTCTCAGAAACTGCTCTGTGATGTCTGCATTGAAGTCACAGAGTTGAACATTGCCTTTCATAGAGCAGGTGTGAGACGCTCTTTTTGTAGTATATGGAAGTGGACGTTTCGGACGGTTTGAGGCCCATGGTGATAAAGGGAATATCTTCCCCTACAAGCTAGAAAGAAGCATTCTGTGAAACTTGTTTGTGATGTGTGTACTCAACTAACAGAGTTGAACCTTTCTTTTTACAGAGCAGTTTTGAAACACTCTTTTTGTAGAATCTGCGAGGGGATATTTGGATAGATTTCAGGATTTCGTTGGAAACGGGGATATCTTCATATAAAATCTCGACAGAAGCATTCTCAGAAACTTCTTTGTGATATCTGCCTTCAAGTCACAGAGTTGAATATTCCCTTTCACAGAGTAGGTTTGAAACACTCTTTTTGTAGTATCCGGAAGTGGACATTTGGAGCGCCTTGACGCCTACGGTGAAAAGGGATATATCTTCCCATAAAAACTAGACAGAAGCAATCTCAGAATCTTCTTTGGGATATATGCACGCAGCTAACAGAGTTGAACCTTTCTATTGACAGAGCAGTTTTGAAACAGTCTTTCTGTGGAATCTGCAAGTGGATATTTGGATAGCTTGGAGGATTTCGTTGGAAACGGGATTACGTATAAAACGTAGACAGCAGCATCCTCAGAAACTTCTTTGTGATGTGTGCATTCAAGTCACAGAGTTGAACATTCCCTTTCGTACAGCAGTTTTGAAACGCTCTTTCTGTAGTATCTGGAAGTGAACTTTAGGACAGCTTTCAGGTCTATGGTGAGAAAGGAAATATCTTCAAATAAAAACTAGACAGAAGCATTCTCATAAACTTGTTTGTGATGTGTGAACTCAGCTAACAGAGGTGGATCTTTCTTTTGAGAGAGCAGTTCTGAAAAACACTTTTTGTTGAATCTGCAAGTGGACATTTGGATAGATTTGAAGATTTCGTTGGAAACGGGAATATCTTCATATCAAATCTAGACAGAAGCATTCTCAGAAACGTCTTTGTGATGTTTGCATTCAACTCATAGAGTTGAACATTCCGTTTCAGAGAGCAGCTTTGAAGCACTCTTTTTGTAGTATGTGCAAGTGGATATTTGGATCGCTGTGAGGCCTAAGGTGAAAAAGCAAATATCTTCCCATAACCACTAGACAGAAACATTCTCAGAAACTCCTTTATGACGTATGCACTCACCTAACAGAAAAGAACCTTCCTTTTGACAGAGCAGTTTTGATACACTCTTTTTGTAGAATCTGCAAGTGGATATTTGGATAGCTGTGAAGGTTTCGTTGGAAACGGGAATATCTTCCTATAAAATCTAGACAGAAGCATTCTCAGAAACTGCTCTGTGATATCTGCATTCAAGTCACAGAGTTGAACATTGCCTTTCCTAGAGCAGGTTTGAAACGCTCTTTTTGTAGTATATGGAAGTGGACGTTTCGGACGGTTTGAGGCCCATGGTGATAAAGGGAATATCTTCCCCTACAAGCTAGAAAGAAGCATTCTGTGAAACTTGTTTGTGATGTGTGTACTCAACTAAGAGAGTTGAACCTTTCTTTTCACAGAGCAGTTTTGAAACACTCTTTTTGTAGAATCTGCGAGGGGATATTTGGATAGATTTCAGGATTTCATTGGAAACGGGAATATCTTCATATAAAATCTCGACAGAAGCATTCTCAGAAACTTCTTTGTGATATGTGCATTCAAGTCACAGAGTTGAATATTCCCTTTCACAGAGTAGGTTCGAAACACTCTTTTTGTAGTATCTGGAAGTGGACATTTGGAGCGCCTTGACGCCTACGGTGAAAAGGGAAATATCTTCCCATAAAAACTAGACAGAAACAATCTCAGAATCTTCTTTGGGATATATGCACGCAGCTAACAGAGTTGAACCTTTCTATTGACAGAGCAGTTTTGAAACAGTCTTTCTGCGGAATCTGCAAGTGGATATTTGGATAGCTTGGAGGATTTCGTTGGAAACGGGATTAGGTATAAAAAGTAGACAGCAGCCTCCTCAGAAACTTCTTTGTGATGTGTGCATTCAAGTCACACAGTTGAACATTCCCTTTCGTACAGCAGTTTTGAAACACTCTTTCTGTAGTATCTGGAAGTGAACATTAGGACAGCTTTCAGGTCTATGGTGAGAAAGGCAATATCTTCAAATAAAAACTAGACAGAAGCATTCTCATAAACTTGTTTGTGATGTGTGAACTCAGCTAACAGAGGTGGATCGTTCTTTTGATAGAGCAGTTCTGAAAAACACTTTTTGTTGAATCTGCAAGTGGACATTTGGATAGATTTGAAGATTTCGTTGGAAACGGGAATATCTTCATATCAAATCTAGACAGAAGCATTCTCAGAAACGTCTTTGTGATGTTTGCATTCAACTCATAGAGTTGAACATTCACTTTCAGAGAGCAGCTTTGAAGCACTCTTTTTGTAGTATGTGCAAGTGGATATTTTGATCGCTCTGTGGCCTACGGTGAAAAAGCAAATATCTTCCCATAACCACTAGACAGAAACATTCTCAGAAACTAATTTATGACGTATATACTCAACTAACAGAGAAGAACCTTCCTTTTGACAGAGCAGTTTTGATACACTCTTTTTGTAGGATCTGCAAGTGGATATTTGGATAGCTGTGAAGATTTCGTTGGAAACGGGAATATCTTCCTATAAAATCTAGACAGAAGCATTCTCAGAAACTGCTCTGTGATGTCTGCATTCAAGTCACAGAGTTGAACATTGCCTTTCATAGAGCAGGTTTGAAATGCTCTTTTTGAAGTATATGGAAGTGGACGTTTCAGACGGTTTGAGGCCCATGGTGATAAAGGGAATATCTTCCCCTACAAGCTAGAAAGAAGCATTCTGTGAAACTTGTTTGTGATGTGTGTACTCAACTAACAGAGTTGAACCTTTCTTTTCACAGAGCAGTTTTGAAACACTCTTTTTGTAGAATCTGCGAGGGGATATTTGGATAGATTTCAGCATTTGGTTGGAAACGGGAATATCTTCATGTAAAATCTCGACAGAAGCATTCTCAGAAACTTCCTTGTGATATGTGCATTCAAGTCACAGACTTGAATATTCCCTTTCACAGAGTAGGTTTGAAACACTCTTTTTGAAGTATCTGGAAGTGGACATTTGGAGCGCCTTGACGCCTACGGTGAAAAGGGAAATATCTTCCCATAAAAACTAGACAGAAGCAATCTCAGAATCTTCTTTGGGATATATACACGCAGCTAACAGAGTTGAACCTTTCTATTGACAGAGCAGTTTTGAAACAGTCTTTCTGTGGAATCTGCAAGTGGATATTTGGATAGCTTGGAGGATTTCGTTGGAAACGGGATTAAGTATAAAAAGTAGACAGCAGCATCCTCAGAAACTTCTTTGTGATGTGTGCATTCAAGTCACAGAGTTGAACATTCCCTTTCGTACAGCAGTTTTGAAACACTCTTTCTGTAGTAACTGGAAGTGAACATTAGGACAGCTTTCAGGTCTATGGTGAGAAACGAAATATCTTCAAATAAAAACTAGACAGAAGCATTCTCGTAAACTTGTTTGTGATGTGTGAACCCAGCTAAAAGAGGTGGATCTTTCTTTTGATAGAGCAGTTCTGAAAAACACTTTTTGTTGAATCTGCAAGTGGACATTTGGATAGATTTGAAGATTTCGTTGGAAACGGGAATATCTTCATATCAAATCTAGACAGAAGCATTCTCAGAGACGTCTTTGTGATGTTTGCATTCAACTCATAGAGTTGAACATTCCCTTTCAGAGAGCAGCTTTGAAGCACACTTTTTGTAGTATGTGCAAGTGGATATTTGGAGCGCTATGAGGCCTACGGTGAAAAAGCAAATATCTTCCCATAACCACTAGACAGAAACATTCTCAGAAACTCCTTTATGACGTATGTACTCAACTAACAGAGAAGAACCTTCCTTTTGACAGAGCAGTTTTGATAGACTCTTTTTGTAGAATCTGCAAGTGGATATTTGGATAGCTGTGAAGATTTCGTTGGAAACGGGAATATCTTCCTATAAAATCTAGACAGAAGCATTCTCAGAAACTGCTCTGTGATGTCTGCATTCAAGTCACAGAGTTGAACATTGCCTTTCATAGAGCAGGTTTGAAACGCTCTTTTTGTAGTATATGGAAGTAGACGTTTCAGACGGTTTGAGGCCCTTGGTGATAAAGGGAATATCTTCCCCTACAAGCTAGAAAGAAGCATTCTGTGAAACTTGTTTGTGATGTGTGTACTCAACTAACAGAGTTGAACCTTTCTTTTTACAGAGCAGTTTTGAAACACTCTTTTTGTAGAATCTGCGAGGGGATATTTGGATAGATTTCAGGAATTTGTTGGAAACCGTAATATCTTTATATAAAATCTCGACAGAAGCATTCTCAGAAACTTCTTTGTGATATCTGCCTTCAAGTCACAGAGTTGAATATTCCCTTTCGCAGAGTAGGTTTGAAACACTCTTTTTGTAGTATCTGGAAGTGGACATTTGGAGCTCCTTGACACCTACGGTGAAAAGGGAAATATCTTCCCATAAATACTAGACAGAAGCAATCTCAGAATCTTCTTTGGGATATATGCACGCAGCTAACAGAGTTGAACCTTTCTATTGACAGAGCAGTTTTGAAACAGTCTTTCTGTGGAATCTGCAAGTGGATATTTGTATAGCTTGGAGGATTTTGTTGGAAACGGGATTACGTATAAAAAGTAGACAGCAGCATCCTCAGAAACTTCTTTGTGATGTGTGCATTCAAGTCACAGAGTTGAACATTCCCTTTCATGCAGCAGTTTTGAAACACTCTTTCTGTAGTATCTGGAAGTGAACATTAGGACAGCTTTCAGGTCTATGGTGAGAAAGGAAATATCTTCAAATAAAAACTAGACAGAAGCATTCTCATAAAGTTCTTTGTGATGTGTGGACTCAACTAACAGAGGTGGATCTTTCTTTTGATACAGCACTTTTGAAAAACACTTTTTGTTGAATCTGCAAGTGGACATTTGGATAGATTGGAAGATTTCGTTGGAAACGGGAATATCTTCATATCAAATCTAGACAGAAGCATTCTCAGAAACGTCTTTGTGATGTTTTCATTCAACTCATAGAGTTGAACATTCCGTTTCAGAGAGCAGCTTTGAGGCACTCTTTTTGTAGTATGTGCAAGTGGATATTTGGAGCGCTCTGAGGCCTACGGTGAAAAAGCAAATATCTTCC
Source organism: Homo sapiens (assembly GCF_000001405.40). Classification (NCBI taxonomy): domain Eukaryota; kingdom Metazoa; phylum Chordata; class Mammalia; order Primates; family Hominidae; genus Homo; species Homo sapiens. Next base: position 11,508,478 of record NC_000021.9, read on the forward strand.
CATAACCACTAGTCAGAAACATTCTTAGAAACTCCTTTATGACGTATGTACTCAACTAACAGAGAAGAACCTTCCTTTTGACAGAGCAGTTTTGATACACTCTTTTTGTAGAATCTGCAAGTGCATATTTGGATAGCTGTGAAGATTTCGTTGGAAACGGGAATATCTTCCTATAAAATCTAGACAGAAGCATTCTCAGAAACTGCTCTGTGATGTCTGCATTCAAGTCTCAGAGTTGAACATTGCCTTTCATAGAGCAGGTTTGAAACGCTCTTTTTGTAGTATATGGAAGTAGACGTTTCGGACGGTTTGAGGCCCATGGTGATAAAGGGAATATCTTCCCCTACAAGCTAGAAAGAAGCATTCTGTGAAACTTGTTTGTGATGTGTGTACTCAACTAAGATAGTTGAACCTTTCTTTTCACAGAGCAGTTTTGAAACACTCTTTTTGTAGAATCTGCGAGGGGATATTTGGATAGATTTCAGGATTTCGTTGGAAACGGGAATATCTTCATACAAAATCTCGACAGAATCATTCTCAGAAACTTCTTTGTGATATCTGCATTCAAGTCACAGAGTTGAATATTCCCTTTCACAGAGTAGGTTTGAAACACTCTTTTTGTAGTATCTGGAAGTGGACATTTGGAGCGCCTTGACACCTACGGTGAAAAGGGAAATATCTTCCCATAAAAACTAGACAGAAGCAATCTCAGAATCTTCTTTGGGATATATGCACGCAGATAACAGAGTTGAACCTTTCTATTGACAGAGCAGTTTTGAAACAGTCTTTCTGTGGAATCTGCAAGTGGATATTTGGATAGCTTGGAGGATTTCGTTGGAAACGGGATTACGTATAAAAAGTAGACAGCAGCATCCTGAGAAACTTCTTTGTGATGTGTGCATTGAAGTCACAGAGTTGAACATTCTCTTTCGTACAGCAGTTTTGAAACACTCTTTCTGTAGTATCTGGAAGTGAACATTAGGACAGCTTTCAGGTCTATGGTGAGAAAGGAAATATCTTCAAATAAAAACTAGACAGAAGCATTCTCATAAACTTGTTTGTGATGTGTTAACTCAGCTAACAGAGGTGGATCTTTCTTTTGATAGAGCAGTTCTGAAAAACACTTTTTGTTGAATCTGCAAGTGGACATTTGGATAGATTTGAAGATTTCGTTGGAAACGGGTATATCTTCATATCAAATCTAGACAGAAGCATTCTCAGAAACGTCTTTGTCATGTTTGCATTCAACTCATAGAGTTGAACATTCCGTTTCAGAGAGCAGCTTTGAAGCACTCTTTTTGTAGTATGTGCAAGCGGATATTTGGAGCGCTACTGAGGCCTACGGTGAAAAAGCAAATATCTTCCCATAACCACTAGACAGAAAACATTCTCAGAAACTTCTTTATGACGTATGTACTCAACTAGCAGAGAAGAACTTTCCTTTTGACAGAGCATTTTTGATACATTCTTTTTGTAGTATCTGCAAGTGGATATTTGGATAGCTGTGAAGATTTCCTTGGAAACGGGAATATCTTCCTATAAAGTCTGGACAGAAGCATTCTCAGAAACAGCTCTGTGATGTCTGCATTCAAGTCACAGAGTTGAACATTGCCTTTCATAGAGCAGGTTTGAAACGCTCTTTTTGTAGTATATTGAAGTGGACTTTTCGGACGGTTTGAGGCCCATGGTGATAAAGGGAATATCTTCCCCTACAAGCTAGAAAGAAGCATTCTGTGATACTTGTTTGTGATGTGTGTACTCAACTAACAGAGTTGAACCTTTCTTTTTAAAGAACAGTTTTGAAACACTCTTTTTGTAGAATCTGCGAGGGGATATTTGGATAGATTTCAGGATTTCGTTGGAAACGGGAATATCTTCATATAAAATCTCGACAGAAGCATTCTCAGAAACTTCCTTGTGATATGTGTATTCAAGTCACAGAGTTGAATATTCCCTTTCACAGAGTAGGTTTGAAACACTCTTTTTGTAGTATCTGGAAGTGGACATTTGGAGCGCCTTGACGCCTACGGTGAAAAAGGAAATATCTTCCCATAAAAACTAGACAGAAGCAATCTCAGAATCTTCTTTGGGATATATGCACGGAGCTAACAGAGTTGAACCTTTCTATTGACAGAGCAGTTTTGAAACAGTCTTTCTGTGGAATCTGCAAGTGGATATTTGGATAGCTTGGAGGTTTTCTTTGGAAACGGGATTACGTATAAAAAGTAGACTGCAGCATCCTCAGAAACTTCTTTGTGATGTGTGCATTCAAGTCACAGTGTTGAACATTCCCTTTCGTACAGCAGTTTTGAAACACTCTTTCTGTAGTATCTGGAAGTGAACATTAGGACAGCTTTCAGGTCTATGGTGAGAAAGGAAATATCTTCAAATAAAAACAAGACAGAAGGCATTCTCATAAACTTGTTTGTGATGTGTGAACTCAGCTAACAGAGGTGTATCTTTCCTTTGATAGAGCAGTTCTGAAAAACACGTTTTGTTGAATCTGCAAGTGGACATTTTGATAGATTTGAAGATTTCGTTGCAAACGGGAATATCTTCATATCAAAGCTAGACAGAAGCATTCTCAGAAACGTCTTTGCGATGTTTGCATTCAACTCATAGTGTTGAACATTCCCTTTCAGAGAGCAGCTTTGAGGCACTCTTTTTGTAGTATGTGCAAGTGGATATTTGGAGCGCTCTGAGGCCTACGGTGAAAAAGCAAATATCTTCCCATAACCACTAGACAGAAACATTCTCAGAAACTCCTTTATGACGTATGCACTCACCTAACAGAGAAGAACCTTCCTTTTGACAGAGCAGTTTTGATACACTCTTTTTGTAGAATCTGTAAGTGGATATTTGGATAGCTGTGAAGATTTTGTTGGAAACGGGAATATCTTCCTATAAAATCTAGACAGAAGCATTCTCAGAAACTGCTCTGTGATGTCTGCATTCAAGTCACAGAGTTGAACATTGCCTTTCATAGAGCAGGTTTGAAACGCTCTTTTTGTAGTATATGGAAGTGGACGTTTCGGACGGTTTGAGGCCCATGGTGATAAAGGGAATATCTTCTCTCTACAAGCTAGAAAGAAGCATTCTGTGAAACTTGTTTGTGATGTGTGTACTCAACTAACAGAGTTGAACCTTTCTTTTTACAGAGCAGTTTTGAAACACTCTTTTTGTAGAATCTGCGATGGGATATTTGGATAGATTTCAGGATTTCGTTGGAAAGGGGAATATCTTCATATAAAATCTCGACAGAAGCATTCTCAGAAACTTCTTTGTGATATGTGCATTCAAGTCACAGAGTTGAATATTCCCTTTCACAGAGTAGGTTTGAAACACTCTTTTTGTAGTATCTGGAAGTGGACATTTGGAGCGCCTTGACGCCTACGGTGAAAAGGAAAATATCTTCCCATAAAAACTAGACAGAAGCAATCTCAGAATCTTCTTTGGGATATATGCACGTAGCTAACAGAGTTGAACCTTTCTATTGACAGAGCAGGTTTGAAACAGTCTTTCTGTGGAATCTGCAAGTGGATATTTGGATAGCTTCGAGGATTTCGTTGGAAACAGGATTACGTAGAAAAAGTAGACAGCAGCATCCTCAGAAACTTCCTTGTGATGTGTGCATTCAAGTCACAGAGTTGAACTTTCCCTTTCGTACAGCAGTTTTGAAACACTCTTTCTGTAGTATCTGGAAGTGAACATTAGGAGAGCTTTCAGGTCTATAGTGAGAAAGGATATATCTTCAAATAAAAACTAGACAGAAGCATTCTCATAAACTTGTTTGTGATGTGTGAACTCAGCTAACAGAGGTGGATCTTTCTTTTGATAGAGCAGTTGTGAAAAACACTTTTTGTTGATTATGCAAGTGGACATTTGGATAGATTTGAAGATTTCGTTGGAAACGGGAATATCTTCATATCAAATCTAGACAGAAGCATTCTCAGAAACGTCTTTGTGATGTTTGCATTCAACTCATAGAGTTGAACATTCCGTTTCAGAGAGCAGCTTTGAGGCACTCTTTTTGTAGTATGTGCAAGTGGATATTTGGAGCGCTCTGAGGCCTACGGTGAAAAAGCAAATATCTTCCCATAGCCACTAGACAGAAACATTCTCAGAAACTCCTTTATGACGTATGCACTCAACTAACAGAGAAAAACCTTCCTTTTGACAGAGCAGTTTTGATACACTCTTTTTGTAGAATCTGCAAGTGGATATTTGGATAGCTGTGAAGTTTTCGATGGAAACGGGAATATCTTCCTATAAAATCTAGACAGAAGCATTCTCAGAAACTGCTCTGTGATGTCTGCATTCAAGTCACAGAGTTGAACATTGCCTTTCCTAGAGCAGGTTTGAAATGCTGTTTTTGTAGTATATGGAAGTGGACGTTTCGGACGGTTTGAGGCCCATGGTGATAAAGGGAATATCTTCCCCTACAAGCTAGAAAGAAGCATTCTGTGAAACTTGTTTGTGATGTGTGTACTCAACTAACAGAGTTGAACCTTTCTTTTTACAGAGCAGTTTTGAAACACTCTTTTTGTAGAATCTGCGAGGGGATATTCGGATAGATTTCAGGATTTCGTTGGAAACGGGAATATCTTCATATAAAATCTCGACAGAAGCATTCTCAGAAACTTCTTTGTGATATGTGCATTCAAGTCACAGAGTTGAATATTCCCTTTCACAGAGTAGGTTTAAAACACTCTTTTTGTAGTATCTGGAAGTGGACATTTGGAGCGCCTTGACACCTACGGTGAAAAGGGAAATATCTTCCCATAAAAACTAGACAGAAGCAATCTCAGAATCTTCTTTGGGATATATGCACGCAGCTAACAGAGTTGAACCTTTCTATTGACTGAGCAGATTTGAAACAGTCTTTCTGTGGAATCTGCAAGTGGATATTTGGATAGCTTGGAGGATTTCGTTGGAAACGGGATTACGTATAAAAAGTAGACAGCAGCATCCTCAGAAACTTCTTTGTGATGTGTGCATTCAATTCACAGAGTTGAACATTCCCTTTCATACAGCAGTTTTGAAACACTCTTTCTGTAGTATCTGGAAGTGAACATTAGGACAGCTTTCAGGTCTATGGTGAGAAAGGAAATATCTTCAAATAAAAACTAGACAGAAGCATTCTCATAAACTTGTTTGTGATGTGTGAACTCAGCTTACAGAGGTGGATCTTTCTTTTGATAGAGCAGTTCTGAAAAACTCTTTTGTTGAATCTGCAAGTGGACATTTGGATAGATTTGAAGATTTCGTTGGAAACGGGAATATCTTCATATCAAATCTAGACAGAAGCATTCTCGGAAACGTCTTTGTGATGTTTGCATTCAACTCATAGAATTGAACATTCCGTTTCAGAGAGCAGCTTTGAGGCACTCATTTTGTAGTATGTGCAAGTGGATATTTGGAGCGCTCTGAGGCCTTCGGTGAAAAAGCAAATATCTTCCCATAACCACTAGACAGAAACTTTCTCAGAAACTCCTTTATGACGTATGCACTCACCTAACAGAGAAGAACCTTCCTTTTGACAGAGCAGTTTTGATACACTCTTTTTGTAGAATCTGCAAGTGGATATTTGGATAGCTGTGAAGATTTCGTTGGAAACGGGAATATCTTCCTATAAAATCTAGACAGAAGCATTCTCAGAAACTGCTCTGTGATGTCTGCATTCAAGTCACAGAGTTGAACATTCCCTTTCCTAGAGCAGGTTTGAAACGCTCTTCTTGTAGTATATGGAAGTGGACGTTTCGGATGGTTTGAGGCCCATGGTGATAAAGGGAATATCTTCCCCTACAAGCTAGAAAGAAACATTCTCAGAAACTCCTTTATGACGTATGCACTCACCTAACAGAGAAGAACCTTCCTTTTGACAGAGCAGTTTTGATACACTCTTTTTGTAGAATCTGCAAGTGGATATTTGGATAGCTGTGAAGATTTTGTTGGAAACGGGAATATCTTCCTATAAAATCTCGACAGAAGCATTCTCAGAAACTTCTTTGTGATATCTGCCTTTAAGTCACAGAGTTGAATATTCCCTTTCACAGAGTAGGTTTGAAACACTCTTTTTGTAGTATCTGGAAGTGGACATTTGGAGCTCCTTGACACCTACGGTGAAAAGGGAAATATCTTCCCATAAAAACTAGACAGAAGCAATCTCAGAATCTTCTTTGGGATATATGCACGCAGCTATCAGAGTTGAACCTTTCTATTGACAGAGCAGTTTTGAAACAGTCTTTCTGTGGAATCTGCAAGTGGATATTTGGATAGCTTGGAGGATTTCGTTGGAAAAGGGATTATGTATAAAAAGTAGACAGCAGCATCCTCAGAAACTTCTTTGTGATGTGTGCATTGAAGTCACAGAGTTGAACATTCCCTTTCGTACAGCAGTTTTGAAACACTCTTTCTGTAGTACCTGGAAGTGAACATTAGGACAGCTTTCAGGTCTATGGTGAGAAAGGAAATATCTTCAAATAAAAACTAGACAGAAGCATTCTCATAAACTTGTTCGTGATGTGTGAACTCAGCTAACACACGTGGATCTTTCTTTTGATAGAGCAGTTCTGAAAAACACTTTTTGTTGAATCTGCAAGTGGACATTTGGATAGATTTGAAGATTTCGTTGCAAACGGGAATATCTTCATATCAAATCTAGACAGAAGCATTCTCAGAAACGTCTTTGTGATGTTTGCATTCAACTCATAGATTTGAACATTCCGTTTCAGAGAGCAGCTTTGAAGCACTCTTTTTGTAGTATGTGCAAGGGGATATTTGGAGCGCTCTGAGGCCTATGGTGAAAAAGCAAATATCTTCCCATAACCACTAGACAGAAACATTCTCAGAAACTCCTTTATGACGTATGCACTCACCTAACAGAAAAGAACCTTCCTTTTGACAGAGCAGTTTTGATACACTCTTTTTGTAGAATCTGCAAGTGGATATTTGGATAGCTGTGAAGATTTCGTAGGAAACGGGAATATCTTCCTATAAAATCTAGACAGAAGCATTCTCAGAAACTGCTCTGAGATGTCTGCATTCAAGTCACAGAGTTGAACATTGCCTTTCCTAGAGCAGGTTTGAAACGCTCTTTTTGTAGTATATGGAAGTGGACGTTTCGGACGGTTTGAGGCCCATGGTGATAAAGGGAATATCTTCCCCTACAAGCTAGAAATAAGCATTCTGTGAAACTTGTTTGTGATGTGTGTACACAACTAACAGAGTTGAACCTTTCTTTTTACAGAGCAGTTTTGAAACACTCTTTTTGTAGAATCTGCGAGGGGATATTTGGATAGATTTCAGGATTTCGTTGGAAACGGGACTATCTTCATATAAAATCTCGACAGAAGCATTCTCAGGAACTTCTTTGTGATATCTGCACTCAAGTCACAGAGTTGAATATTCCCTTTCACAGAGTAGGTTTGAAACACTCTTTTTGTAGTATCTGGAAGTGGACATTTGTAGCTCCTTGACACCTACGGTGAAAAGGGAAATATCTTCCCATAAAAACTAGACAGAAGCAATCTCAGAATCTTCTTTGGGATATATGCACGCAGCTAACAGAGTTGAACCTTTCTATTGACAGAGCAGTTTTGTAACAGTCTTTCTGTGGAATCTGCAAGTGGATATTTGGATAGCTTGGAGGATTTCGTTGGAAACGGGATTACGTATAAAAAGTAGACAGCAGCATCCTCAAAAACTTCTTTGTGATGTGTGCATTCAAGTCACAGAGTTGAACATTCCCTTTCGTACAGCAGTTTTGAAACACTCTTTCTGTAGTAACTGGAAGTGAACATTAGGACAGCTTTCAGGTCTATGGTGAGAAAGGAAATATCTTCAAATAAAAACTAGACAGAAGCATTCTCATAATCTTGTTTGTGATGTGTGAACTCAGCTAACACACGTGGATCTTTCTTTTGATACAGCAGTTTTGAAAAACACTTTTTGTTGAATCTGCAAGTGGACATTTGGATAGATATGAAGATTTCGTTGGAAACGGGAATATCTTCATATCAAATCTAGACAGAAAGCATTCTCAGAAACGTCTTTGTGATGTTTGCATTCAACCCATAGAGTTGAACATTCCGTTTCAGAGAGCAGCTTTGAGGCACTCTTTTTGTAGTATGTGCAAGTGGATATTTGGTGCGCTGTGAGGCCTACGGTGAAAAAGCAAATATCTTCCCAAAACCACTAGACAGAAACATTCTCAGAAACTCCGTTATCACGTATGCACTCACCTAACAGAGAAGAACCTTCCTTTTGACTGAGCAGTTTTGATACACTCTTTTTGCAGAATCTGCAAGTGGATATTTGGATAGCTGTGAAGATTTCGTTGGAAACGGGAATATCTTCCTATAAAATCTAGACAGAAGCATTCTCAGAAACTGCTCTGTGATGTCTGCATTCAAGTCACAGAGTTGAACATTGCCTTTCATAGAGCAGGTTTGAAACGCTCTTTTTGTACTATATGGAAGTGGATGTTTCGGACGGTTGGAGGCCCATGGTGATAAAGGGAATATCTTCCCCTACAAGCTAGAAAGAAGCATTCTGTGAAACTTGTTTGTGATGTGTGTACTCAACTAACAGAGTTGAACCTTTCTTTTTACAGAGCAGTTTTGAAACACTCTTTTTGTAGAATCTGCGAGGGGATATTTGGATAGATTTCAGGATTTCGTTGGAAACTTGAATATCTTCATATAAAATCTCGACAGAAGCATTCTCAGAAACTTCTTTGTGATATGTGCATTAAAGTCACAGAGTTGAATATTCCCTTTCACAGAGTAGGTTTGAAACACTCTTTTTGTAGTATCTGGAAGTGGACATTTGGAGCGCCTTGACGCCTACGGTGAAAAGGGAAATATCTTCCCATAAAAACTAGACAGAAGCAATCTCAGAATCTTCTTTGGGATATATGCACGCAGCTAACAGAGTTGAACCTTTCTATTGACAGAGCAGTTTTGAAACAGTCTTTCTGTGGAATCTGCAAGTGGATATTTGGATAGCTTCGAGGATTTCGTTGGAAACGGGATTACGCATAAAAAGTAGACAGCAGCATCCTCAGAAACTTATTTGTGAGGTGTGCATTCAAGTCACAGAGTTGAACATTCCCTTTCGTACAGCAGTTTTGAAACACTGTTTCTGTAGTATCTGGAAGTCAACATTAGGACAGCTTTCAGGTCTATGGTGAGAAAGGAAATATCTTCAAATAAAAACTAGACAGAAGCATTCTCATAAACTTGTTTGTGATGTCTGAACTCAGCTAACAGAGGTGGATCTTTCTTTTGATAGAGCAGTTCTGAAAAACACTTTTTGTTGAATCTGCAAGTGGACATTTGGATAGATTTGAAGATTTCGTTGGAAACGGGAAGATCTTCATATCAAATCTAGACAGAAGCGTTCTCAGATACGACTTTGTGATGTTTGCATTCAACTCATAGAGGTGAACACTCCCTTTAAGAGAGCAGCTTTGAAGAACTCTTTTTGTAGTATGTGGAAGTGGACATTTGGAGCGCTATGAGGCCTATGGTGAAAAAGCAAATATCTTCCCATAAACACTAGACAGAAACATTCTCAGAAACTCCTTTATGACGTATGCACTCACCTAACAGAAAAGAACCTTCCTTTTGACAGAGCAGTTTTGATACACTCTTTTTGTAGAATCTGCAAGTGGATATTTGGATAGCTGTGAAGATTTCGTTGGAAACGTGAATATCTTCCTATAAAATCTAGACAGAAGCATTCTCAGAAACTGCTCTGTGATGTCTGCATTCACGTCACAGAGTTGAACATTGCCTTTCATAGAGCAGGTTTGAAACACTCTTTTTGTAGTATATGGAAGTGGACGTTTCGGACGGTTTGAGGCCCATGGTGATAAAGGGAATATCTTCCCCTACAAGCTAGAAAGAAGCATTCTGTGAAACTTGTTTGTGATGTGTGTACTCAACTAACAGAGTTGAACCTTTCTATTTACAGAGCAGTTTTGAAACACTCTTTTTGTAGAATCTGCGAGGGGATATTTGGATAGATTTCAGGATTTCGTTGGAAACGGGAATATCTTCATATAAAATCTCGACAGAAGCATTCTCAGAAACTTCATTGTGATATGTGCATTCAAGTCACAGAGTTGAATATTCCCTTTTACAGAGTAGGTTTGAAACACTCTTTTTGTAGTATCTGGAAGTGGACATTTGGAGCGCTTTGACGCCTACGGTGAAAAGGGAAATATCTTCTCATAAAAACTAGACAGAAGCAATCTCAGAATCTTCTTTGGGATATATGCACGCAGCTAACAGAGTTGAACCTTTCTATTGACAGAGCAGTTTTGAAACAGTCTTTCTGTGGAATCTGCAAGTGGATATTTGGATAGATTGGAGGATTTCTTTGGAAACGGGATTACGTATAAAAAGTAGACAGCAGCATCCTCAGAAACTTCTTTGTGATGTGTGCATTCAAGTCACAGAGTTGAACATTCCCTTTCGTACAGCAGTTTTGAAACACTCTTTCTGTAGTATCTGGAAGTGAACGTTAGGACAGCTTTCAGGTCTATGGTGAGAAAGGAAATATCTTCAAATAAAAACTAGACAGAAGCATTCTCATAAACTTGTTTGTGATGTGTGAACTCAGCTAACAGACGTGGATCTTTCTTTTGATACAGCAGTTTTGAAAAACACTTTTTGTTGAATCTGCAAGTGGACATTTGGATATATTTGAAGATTTCGTTGGAAACGGGAATATCTTCATATCAAATCTAGACAGAAGCATTCTCAGAAACGTCTTTGTCATGTTTGCATTCAACTCATAGAGTTGAACATTCCCTTTCAGAGAGCAGCTTTGAAACACTCTTTTTGTCGTATGTGCAAGTGGATATTTGGAGCGCTCTGAGGCCTACGGTGAAAAAACAAATATCTTCCCATAACCACTAGACAGAAACATTCTCAGAAACTCCTTTATGACGTATGCACTCACCTAACAGAGAAGAACCTTCCTTTTGACAGAGCAGTTTTGATACACTCTTTTTGTAGAATCTGCAAGTGGATATTTGGATAGCTGTGAAGATTTCGTTGGAAACGGGAATATCTTCCTATAAAATGTAGACAGAAGCATTCTCAGAAACTGCTCTGTGATGTCTGCATTCAAGTCACAGAGTTGAACATTGCCTTTCATAGAGCAGGTTTGAAACGCTCTTTTTGTAGCATATGGAAGTGGACGTTTCGGACGGTTTGAGGCCCATGGTGATAAAGGGAATATCTTCCCCTACAAGCTAGAAAGAAGCATTCTGTGAAACTTGTTTGTGATGTGTGTACTCAACTAACAGAGTTGAACCTTTCTTTTTACAGAGCAGTTTTGAAACACTCTTTTTGTAGAATCTGCGAGGGGATATTTGGATAGATTTCAGGATTTCGTTGGAAACGGGCATATCTTCATATAAAATCTCGACAGAAGCATTCTCAGAAACTTCTTTGTGATATGTGCATTCAAGTCACAGAGTTGAATATTCCCTTTGACAGAGTAGGTTTGAAACACTCTTTTTGTAGTATCTGGAAGTGGACATTTGGAGCGCCTTGACACCTACGGTGAAAAGGGAAATATCTTCCCATAAAAACTAGACAGAAGCAATCTCAGAAACTTCTTTGGGATATATGCACGCAGCTAACAGAGTTGAACCTTTCTATTGACAGAGCAGTTTTGAAACAGTCTTTCTGTGGAATCTGCAAGTGGATATTTGGATAGCTTGGAGGATTTCGTTGGAAACGGGATTACGTATAAAAAGTAGACAGCAGCATCCTCAGAAACTTCTTTGTGATGTGTGCATTCAAGTCACAGAGTTGAATATTCCCTTTCACAGAGTAGGTTTGAAACACTCTTTTTGTAGTATCTGGAAGTGGACATTTGGAGCGCCTTGACGCCTACGGTGAAAAGGGAAATATCTTCCCATAAAAACTAGACAGAAGCATTCTCATAAACTTGTTTGTGATGTGTGAACTCAGCTAACAGAGGTGGATCTTTCTTTTGATAGAGCAGTTCTGAAAAACACTTTTTCTTGAATCTGCAAGTGGACATTTGGATAGATTTGAAGATTTCGTTGGAAACGGGAATATCTTCATATCAAATCTAGACAGAAGCATTCTCGGAAACGTCTTTGTCATGTTTGCATTCAACTCATGGAGTTGAACATTCCGTTTCAGAGAGCAGCTTTGAAGCACTCTTTTTGTAGTATGTGCAAGGGGATATTTGGAGCGCTCTGAGGCCTAAGGTGAAAAAGCAAATATCTTCCCATAACCACTAAACAGAAACAATCTCAGAAACTTCTTTATGACGTATGTACTCAACTAGCAGAGAAGAACTTTCCTTTTGACAGAGCATTTTTGATACACTCTTTTTGTAGTATCTGTAAGTGGATATTTGGATAGCTGTGAAGATTTCGTTGGAAACGGGAATATCTTCCTATAAAGTCTGGACAGAAGCATTCTCAGAAACTGCTCTGTGATGTCTGCATTCAACTCACAGAGTTGAACATTGCCTTTCATGGAGCAGGTTTGAAATGCTCTTTTTGTAGTATATGGAAGTGGACGTTTCAGACGGTTTGAGGCCCATGGTGATAAAGGGAATATCTTCCCCTACAAGCTAGAAAGAAGCATTCTGTGAAACTTGTTTGTGATGTGTGTACTGAACTAACAGAGTTGAACCTTTCTTTTTACAGAGCAGTTTTGAAACACTCTTTTTGTAGAATCTGCGAGGGGATATTTGGATAGATTTCAGGATTTCGTTGGAAACGGGAATATCTTCACATAAAATCTCGACAGAGGCATTCTCAGAAGCTTCTTTGTGATATGTGCATTCAAGTCACAGAGTTGAATATTCCCTTTCACAGAGTAGGTTTGAAACACTCTTTTTCTAGTATCTGGAAGTGGACATTTGGAGCGCCTTGACACCTACGGTGAAAAGGGAAATATCTTCTCATAAAAAGTAGACAGAAGCAATCTCAGAATCTTCTTTGGGATATATGCACGCAGCTAACAGAGTTGAACCTTTCTATTGACAGAGCAGTTTTGAAAGAGTCTTTCTGTGGAATCTGCAAGTGGATATTTGGATAGCTTGGAGGATTTCGTTGGAAACGGGATTACGTATAATAAGTAGACAGCAGCATCCTCCGAAACTTCTTTGTGATGTGTGCATTCAAGTCACAGAGTTGAACATTCCCTTTCGTACAGCAGTTTTGAAACACTCTTTCTGTAGTATCTGGAAGTGAACATTAGGACAGCTTTCAGCTCTATGGTGAGAAAGGAAATATCTTCAAATAAAAACTAGAGAGAAGCATTCTCATAAACTTGTTTGTGATGTCTGAACTCAGCTAACAGACGTGGATCTTTCTTTTGATAGAGCAGTTCTGAAAAACACGTTTTGTTGAATCTGCAAGTGGACATTTGGATAGATTTGAAGATTTCGTTGGAAACGGGAATATCTTCATATCAAATCTAGACAGAAGCATTCTCAGAAACGTCTTTGTGATGTTTGCATTCAACTCATAGAGTTGAACATTCCGTTTCAGAGAGCAGCTTTGAAGCACTCTTTTTGTAGCATGTGCAAGTGGATATTTGGAGCGCTCTGAGGCCTACGGTGAAAAAGCAAATATCTTCCCATAACCACTAGACAGAAACATTCTCAGAAACTCCTTTATGACGTGTGCACTCACCTAACAGAGAAGAACCTTCCTTTTTACAGAGCAGTTTTGATACACTCTTTTTGTAGAATCTGCAAGTGGATATTGGGATAGCTGTGAAGATTTCGTTGGAAACGGTAATATCTTCCTATAAAATCTAGACAGAAGCATTCTCAGAAACTGCTCTGTGATGTCTGCATTCAAGTCACAGAGTTGAACATTGCCTTTCATAGAGCAGGTTTGAAACGCTCTTTTTGTAGTATATGGAAGTGGATGTTTCGGACGGTTGGAGGCCCATGGTGATAAAGGGAATATCTTCCCCTCCAAGCTAGAAAGAAGCATTGTGTGAAACTTGTTTGTGATGTGTGTACTCAACTAACAGAGTTGAACCTTTCTTTTTACAGAGCAGTTTTGAAACACTCTTTTTGTAGAATCTGCGAGGGGATATTTGGATAGATTTCAGGATTTCGTTGGAAACGGGAATATCTTCATATAAAATCTCGACAGAAGCATTCTCAGAAACTTCTTTGTGATATGTGCATTCAAGTCACAGAGTTGAATATTCCCTTTCACAGAGTAGGTTTGAAACACTCTTTTTGTAGTATCTGGAAGTGGACATTTGGAGCGCCATGACACCTACAGTGAAAAGGGAAATATCTTCCCATAAAAACTAGACAGAAGTAATCTCAGAATCTTCTTTGGGATATATGCACGCAGCTAACAGAGTTGAACCTTTCTATTGACAGAGCAGTTTTGAAACAGTCTTTCTGTGGAATCTGCAAGTGGATATTTGGATAGCTTGGAGGATTTCGTTGGAAACGGGATTACGTATAAAAAGTAGACAGCAGCATCCTCAGAAACTTCTTTGTGATGTGTGCATTCAAGTCACAGAGTTGAACATTCCCTTTCGTACAGCAGTTTTGAAACACTCTTTCTGTAGTATCTGGAAGTGAACATTAGGACAGCTTTCAGGTCTATGGTGAGAAAGGAAATATCTTCAAATAAAAACTAGACACAAGAATTCTGATAAACTTGTTTGTGAAGTGTGAACTCCGCTAACAGAGTTTGATCTTTCTTTTGATACAGCAGTTTTGAAAAACACTTTGTTGAATCTGCAAGTGGACATTTGGATAAATTTGAAGATTTCGTTGGAAACGGGAATATCTTCATATCAAATGTAGACAGAAACATTCTCAGAAACGTCTTTGTGATGTTTGCATTCAACTCATAGAGTTGAACATTCACTTTCAGAGAGCAGCTTTAAAGCACTCTTTTTGTAGTATGTGCAAGTGGATATTTGGAGCGCTCTGAGGCCTACGGGGAAAAAGCAAATATCTTCCCATAACCACTAGACAGAAACATTCTCAGAAACTCCTTTATGACGTATGTACTCAACTAACAGAGAAGAACCTTCCTTTTGACAGAGCAGTTTTGATACACTCTTTTTGTAGAATCTGCAAGTGGATATTTGGATAGCTGTGAAGATTTCGTTGGAAATGGGAATATCTTCCTATAAAATCTAGACAGAAGCATTCTCAGAAACTGCTCTGTGATGTCTGCATTCAAGTCACAGAGTTGAACATTGCCTTTCATAGAGCAGGTTTGAAACGCTCTTTTTGTAGTATATGGAAGTAGACGTTTCGGACGGTTTGAGGCCCATGGTGATAAAGGGAATATCTGCCCCTACAAGCTAGAAAGAAGCATTCTGTGAAACTTGTTTGTGATGTGTGTACTCAACTAACAGAGTTGAACCTTTCTTTTTACAGAGCAGTTTTGAAACACTCTTTTTGTAGAATCTGCGAGGGGATATTTGGATAGATTTCAGGATTTCGTTGGAAACGCGAATATCTTCATCGAAAATCTCGACAGAAGCATTCTCAGAAACTTCCTTGTGATATGTGCATTCAAGTCACAGAGTTGAATATTCCCTTTCACAGAGTAGGTTTGAAACACTCTTTTTGTAGTATCTGGAAGTGGACATTTGGAGCGCCTTGACGCCTACGGTGAAAAGGAAAATATCTTCCCATAAAAACTAGACAGAAGCAATCTCAGAATCTTCTTTGGGATATATGCACACAGCTAACAGAGTTGAACCTTTCTATTGACAGAGCAGTTTTGAAACAGTCTTTCTGTGGAATCTGCAAGTGGATATTTGGATAGATTGGAGGATTTCGTTGGAAACGGGATTACGTATAAAAAGTAGACAGCAGCATCCTCAGAAACTTCCTTGTGATTTGTGCATTCCAGTCACAGAGTTGAACTTTCCCTTTCGTACAGTAGTTTTGAAACACTCTTTCTGTAGTATCTGGAAGTGAACATTAGGAGAGCTTTCAGGTCTATAGTGAGAAAGGATATATCTTCAAATAAAAATTAGACAGAAGAATACTGATAAACTTGTTTGTGAAGTGTGAACTCAGCTAACACAGGTGGATCTTTCTTTTGATACAGCAGTTTTGAAAAACACTTTGTTGAATCTGCAAGTGGACATTTGTATAGATTTGAAGATTTCGTTGGAAACGGGAATATCTTCATATCAAATCTAGACAGAAGCAGTCTCAGAAACGTCTTTGTGATGTTTGCATTCAACTCATAGAGTTGAACATTCCCTTCCAGAGAGTAGCTTTGAAGCACTCTTTTTGTAGCATGTGCAAGTGGACATTTGGAGCGCCCTGAGGCCTACGGGGAAAAAGCAAATATCTTCCCATAACCACTAGACAGAAACATTCTCAGAAACTCCTTTATGATGTATGCACTCAACTAACAGAAAAGAACCTTCCTTTTGACAGAGCAGTTTTGATACACTCTTTTTGTAGAATCTGCAAGTGGATATTTGGGTAGCTGTGAAGATTTCGTTGGAAACGGGAATATCTTCCTATAAAATCTAGACAGAAGCATTCTCAGAAACCGCTCTGTGATGTCTGCATTCAAGTCACAGAGTTGAACATTGCCTTTCATAGAGCAGGTTTGAAACGCTCTTTTTGTAGTATATGGAAGTGGACGTTTCGGACGGTTTGAGGCCCATGGTGATAAAGGGAATATCTTCCCCTACAAGCTAGAAAGAAGCATTCTGTGAAACTTGTTTGTGATGTGTGTACTCAACTAACAGAGTTGAACCTTTCTTTTTACAGAGCAGTTTTGAAACACTCTTTCTGTAGAATCTGCGAGGGGATATTTGGATACATTTCAGGATTTCGTTGGAAACGGGAATATCTTCATATAAAATCTCGACAGAAGCATTCTCAGAAACTTCATTGTGATATCTGCATTCAAGTCACAGAGCGGAATATTCCCTTTCACAGAGTAGGTTTCAAACACTCTTTTTGTAGTATCTGGAAGTGGACATTTGGAGCGCATTGACACCTACGGTGAAAAGGGAAATATCTTCCCGTAAAAACTAGACAGAAGCAATCTCAGAATCTTCTTTGGGATATATGCACGCAGCTAACAGAGTTGAACCTTTCTATTGACTGAGCAGATTTGAAACAGTCTTTCTGTGGAATCTGCAAGTGGATATTTGGATAGATTGGAGGATTTCGTTGGAAACGGGATTACGTATCAAAAGTAGACAGCAGCATCCTCAGAAACTTCTTTGTGATGTGTGCATTCAAGTCACAGAGTTGAACATTCCCTTTCCTACAGCAGTTTTGAAACACTCTTTCTGTAGTATCTGGAAGTGAACATTAGGACAGCTTTCAGCTCTATGGTGAGAAAGGAAATATCTTCAAATAAAAACTAGACAGAAGCATTCTCAGAAACTTGTTTGTGATGTGTGAACTCAGCTAACAGAGGTGGATCTTTCTTTTGATAGAGCAGTTCTGAAAAACACTTTTTGTTGAATCTGCAAGTGGGCATTTGGATAGATTTGAAGATTTCGTTGGAAACGGGAATATCTTCATATCAAATCTAGACAGAAGCATTCTCAGAAACGTCTTTGTGATGTTTGCATTCAACTTATAGAGTTGAACATTCCGTTTCAGAGAGCAGGTTTGAAGCACTCTTTTTGTAGTATGTGCAAGTGGATATTTGGAGCGATCTGAGGCCTACGGTGAAAAAGCAAATATCTTCCCATAACCACTAGACAGAAACATTCTCAGAAACTTCTTTATGATGTATGTACTCAAGTAGCAGAGAAGAACTTTCCTTTTGACAGAGCACTTTGGATACACACTTTTTGTAGTATCTGCAAGTGGATATGTGGATAGCTGTGAAGATTTCGTTGGAAACGGGAATATCTTCCTATAAAGTCTGGACAGAAGCATTCTCAGAAACTGCTCTGTGATGTCTGGATTCAAGTCACAGAGTTGAACATTGCCTTTCATAGAGCAGGTTTCAAACACTCTTTTTTTAGTATATGGAAGTGGACGATTCGGACGGTTTGAGGACCATGGTGATAAAGGAAATATCTTCCCCTACAAGCTAGAAAGAAGCATTCTGTGAAACTTGTTTGTGATGTGTGTACTCAAGTAACAGAGTTGAACCTTTCTTTTTACAGAGCAGTTTTGAAACACTCTTTTTGTAGAATCTGCGAGGGGATATTTGGATACATTTCAGGATTTCGTTGGAAACGGGAATATCTTCATATAAAATCTCGACAGAAGCATTCTCAGAAACTTCTTTGTGATATGTGCATTCAAGTCACAGAGTTGAATATTCCCTTTCACAGAGTAGGTTTGAAACACTCTTTTTGTAGTATCTGGAAGTGGACATTTGGAGCGCCTTGACACCTACGGTGAAAAGGGAAATAACTTCTCATAAAAAGTAGACAGAAGCAATCTCAGAATCTTCTTTGGGATATATGCACGCAGCTAACAGAGTTGAGCCTTTCTATTGACAGAGCAGTTTTGAAACAGTCTTTCTGTGGAATCTGCAAGTGGATATTTAGATAGCTTGGAGGATTTCATTGGAAACGGGATTACGTATAAAAAGTAGACAGCAGCATCCTCAGAAACTTCTTTGTGATGTGTGCATTCAAGTCACAGAGTTGAACATTCCCTTTCATACAGCAGTTTTGAAACACTGTTTCTGTAGTATCTGGAAGTGAACATTAGGACAGCTTTCAGGTCTATGGTGAGAAAGGAAATATCTTCAAATAAAAACTAGACAGAAGCATTCTCATAAACTTGTTCGTGATGCGTGAACTCAGCTAACACACGTGGATCTTTCTTTTGATAGAGCAGTTCTGAAAAACACTTTTTGTTGAATATGCAAGAGGACATTTGGATAGATTTGAAGATTTCGTTGGAAACGGGAATATCTTCATATCAAATCTAGACAGAAGCATTCTCAGAAACGTCTTTGTGATGTTAGCATTCAACTCATAGAGTTGAACATTCCCTTTCAGAGAGCAGCTTTGAAGCACTCTTTTTGTAGTATGTGCAAGTGGATATATGGAGCCCTCTGAGGCCTATGGTGAAAAAGCAAATATCTTCCCATAACCACTAGACAGAAACATTCTCAGAAACTCCTTTATGACGTATGCACTCACCTAACAGAGAAGAACCTTCCTTTTGACAGAGCAGTTTTGATACACTCTTTTTGTAGAATCTGCAAGTGGATATTTGGATAGCTGTGAAGATTTCGTTGGAAACGGGAAATTCTTCCTATAAAATCTAGACAGAAGCATTCTCAGAAACTGCTCTGTGATGTCTGCATTCAAGTCACAGAGTTGAACATTGCCTTTCCTAGAGCAGGTTTGAAACGCTCTTTTTGTACTATATGGAAGTGGACGTTTCGGACGGTTTGAGGCCCATGGTGATAAAGGGAATATCTTCCCCTACAAGCTAGAAAGAAGCATTCTGTGAAACTTGTTTGTGATGTGTGTACTGAAGTAACAGAGTTGAACCTTTCTTTTTACAGAGCAGTTTTGAAACACTCTTTTTGTAGAATCTGCGAGGGGATATTTGGATAGATTTCAGGATTTCGTTGGAAACGGGAATATCTTCATATAAAATCTCGACAGAAGCATTCTCAGAAACTTCTTTGTGATATGTGCATTCAAGTCACAGAGTTGAATATTCCCTTTCACAGAGTAGGTTTGAAACACTCTTTTTGTAGTATCTGGAAGTGGACATTTGTAGCGCCTTGACGCCTACGGTGAAAAGGGAAATATCTCCCCATAAAAACTAGACAGAAGCAATCTCAGAATCTTCTTTGGGATATATGCACGCAGCTAACAGAGTTGAACCTTTCTATTGACAGAGCAGTTTTGAAACAGTCTTTCTGTGGAATCTGGAAGTGGATATTTGGATAGCTTGGAGGATTTCGTTGGAAACGGGATTATGTATAAAAAGTAGACAGCAGCATCCTCAGAAACTTCTTTGTGATGTGTGCATTCAAGTCACAGAGTTGAACATTCCCTTTCGTACAGCAGTTTTGAAACACTCTTTCTGTAGTATCTGGAAGTGAACATTAGGACAGCTTTCGGGTCTATGGTGAGAAAGGCAATATCTTCAAATAAAAACTAGACAGAAGCATTCTCATAAACTTGTTTGTGATGTGTGAACTCAGCTAACAGAGGTGGATCTTTCTTTTGATAGAGCAGTTCTGAAAAACACTTTTTGTTGAATCTGCAAGTGGACATTTGGATAGATTTGAAGATTTCGTTGGAAACGGGAATATCTTCATATAAAATCTAGACAGAAGCATTCTCAGAAACGTCTTTGTCCTGTTTGCATTCAACTCATAGAGTTGAACATTCCCTTTCAGAGAGCAGCTTTGAAACACTCTTTTTGTAGTATGTGCAAGTGGATATTTGGAGCGCTCTGAGGCCTACGGTGAAAAAGAAAATATCTTCCCATAACCACTAGACAGAAACATTCTCAGAAACTCCTTTATGACGTATGTACTCAACTAACAGAGAAGAACCTTCCTTTAGACAGAGCAGTTTTGATACACTCTTTTTGTAGAATCTGCAAGTGGATATTTGGATAGCTGTGAAGATTTCGTTGGATACGGGAATATCTTCCTATAAAATCTAGACAGAAGCATTCTCAGAAACTGCTCTGTGATGTCTGCATTCAAGTCACAGAGTTGAACATTGCCTTTCATAGAGCAGGTTTGAAACGCTCTTTTTGTAGTATATGGAAGTGGACTTTTCGGAAGGTTTGAGGCCCATGGTGATAAAGGGAATATCTTCCCCTACAAGCTAGAAAGAAGCATTCTGTGAAACTTGTTTGTGATGTGTGTACTCAACTAACAGAGTTGAACCTTTCTTTTTACAGAGCAGTTTTGAAACACTCTTTTTGTAGAATCTGCGAGGGGATATTTTGATAGATTTCAGGGTTTCGTTGGAAACGGGAATATCTTCATATAAAATCTCGACAGAAGCATTCTCAGAAACTTCTTTGTGATATCTGCATTCCAGGCACAGAGTTGAATATTCCCTTTCACAGAGTAGGTTTGAAACACTCTTTTTGCAGTATCTGGAAGTGGACATTTGGAGCGCCTTGACGCCTACGGTGAAAAGGGAAATATCTTCCCATCAAAACTAGACAGAAGCAATCTCAGAATCTTCTTTGGGATATATGCGCGCAGCTAGCAGAGTTGATCCTTTCTATTGGCAGAGTAGTTTTGAAACAGTCTTTCTGTGGAATCTGCAAGTGGATATTTGGATAGCTTGGAGGATTTCGTTGGAAACGGGATTACGTATAAAAATTAGACAGCAGCATCCTCAGAAACTTCTTTGTGATGTGTGCATTCAAGTCACAGAGTTGAACATTCCCTTTCGTACAGCAGTTTTGAAACACTCTTTCTGTAGTATCTGGAAGTGAACATTAGGACAGCTTTCAGGTCTATGGTGAGAAAGGTAATATCTTCAAATAAAAACTAGACAGAAGCATTCTCATAAACTTGTTTGTGATGTGTGAACTCAGCTAACAGATGTGGATCTTTCTTTTGATAGAGCAGTTCGGAAAAACACTTTTTGTTGAATCTGCAAGTGGACATTTGGATAGATTTGAAGATTTCGTTGGAAACGGGAATATCTTCATATCAAATCTAGACAGAAGCATTCCCAGATACGTCTTTGTGATGTTTGCATTCAACTCATAGATTTGAACATTCCGTTTCAGGGAGCAGCTTTGAAACACTCTTTTTGTAGTATGTGCAAAAGGATATTTGGAGCACTCTGAGGCGTAAGGTGAAAAAGCAAATATCTTCCCATAACCACTAGACAGAAACATTCTCAGAAACTCCTTTATGACGTATGCACTCACCTAACAGAGAAGAACCTTCCTTTTGACAGAGCAGTTTTGATACACTGTTTTTGTAGAATCTGCAAGTGGATATTTGGATAGCTGTGAAGATTTCGTTGGAAACGGGAATATCTTCCTATAAAATCTAGACAGAAGCATTCTCAGAAACTGCTCTGTGATGGCTGCATTCAAGTCACAGAGTTGAACATTGCCTTTCATAGAGCAGGTTTGAAATGCTCTTTTTGTAGTATATGGAAGTGGACTTTTCGGACGGTTTGAGGCCCATGGTGATAAAGGGAATATCTTCCCCTACAAGCTAGAAAGAAGCATTCTGTGAAACTTGTTTGTGATGTGTTTACTCAACTAACAGAGTTGAACCTTTCTTTTTACAGAGCAGTTTTGAAACACTCTTTTTGTAGAATCTGCGAGGGGATATTTGGATAGATTTCAGGATTTCGTTGGAAAGGGGAATATCTTCATATAAAATCTCGACAGAAGCATTCTCAGAAACTTCTTTGTGATATGTGCATTCAAGTCACAGAGTTGAATATTCGCTTTCACAGAGTATGTTTGAAACACTCTTTTTGTAGTATCTGGAAGTGGACATTTGGAGCGCCTTGACGCCTACGGTGAAAAGGGAAATATCTTCCCATAAAAACTAGACAGAAGCAATCTCAGAATCTTCTTTGGGATATATGTACGCAGCTAATAGAGTTGAACCTTTCTATTGACAGAGCAGTTTTGAAACAGTCTTTCTGTGGAATCTGCAAGTGGATATTTGGATAGCTTGGGGGATTTCGTTGGAAACGGGATTACGTATAAAAAGTAGACAGCAGCATCCTCAGAAACATCCTTGTGATGTGTGCATTCAAGTCACAGAGTTGAACATTCCCTTTCGTACAGCAGTTTTGAAACACTCTTTCTGTAGTATCTGGAAGTGAACTTTAGGACAGATTTCAGGTCTATAGTGAGAAAGGATATATCTTCAAATAAAAACTAGACAGAAGCATTCTCATAAATTGTTTGTGATGTGTGAACTCAGCTAACAGAGGTGGATCTTTCTTTTGATAGAGCAGTTCTGAAAAACACTTTTTGTTGAATCTGCAAGTGGACATTTGGATAGATTTGAAGATTTCGTTGGAAACGGGAATATCTTCATATCAAATCTAGACAGAAGCATTCTCAGAAACGTCTTTGTGATGTTTGCATTCAACTCATAGAGTTGAACATTCCGTTTCAGAGACCAGATTTGAAGCACTCTTTTTGTAGTATGTGCAAGTGGATATTTGGAGCGCTCTGAGGCCTACGGTGAAAAAGCAAATATCTTCCCATAACCACTAGACAGAAACATTCTCAGAAACTCCTTTATGACGTATGCATTCACCTAACAGAGAAGAACCTTCCTTTTGACAGAGCAGTTTTGATACACTCTTTTTGTAGAATCTGCAAGTGGATATTTGGATAGCTGTGAAGATTTCGTTGGAAACGGGAATATCTTCCTATAAAATCTAGAGAGAAGCATTCTCAGAAACTGCTCTGTGATGTCTGCATTCAAGTCACAGAGTTGAACATTGCCTTTCATAGAGCAGGTTTGAAACGCTCTTTTTGTAGTATATGGAAGTGGATGTTTCGGACGGTTGGAGGCCCATGGTAATAAAGGGAATATCTTCCCCTACAAGCTAGAAAGAAGCATTCTGTGAAACTTGTTTGTGATGTGTGTACTCAACTAACAGAGTTGAACCTCTCTTTTTACAGAGCAGTTTTGAAACACTCTTTTTGTAGAATCTGCGAGGGGATATTTGATACATTTCAGCATTTCGTTGGAAACGGGAATATCTTCATATAAAATCTCGACAGAAGCATTCTCAGAAACTTCTTTGTAATATGTGCATTCAAGTCACAGAGTTGAATATTCCCTTTCACAGAGTAGGTTTGAAACACTCTTTTTGTAGTATCTGGAAGTGGACATTTGGAGCGCCTTGACACCTACGGTGAAAAGGGAAATATCTTCCCATAAAAACTAGACAGAAGCAATCTCAGAATCTTCTTTGGGATATATGCATGCAGCTAACAGAGTTGAACCTTTCTATTGACAGAGCAGTTTTGAAACAGTCTTTCTGTGGAATCTGCAAGTGGATATTTGGATAGCTTGGAGGATTTCCGTTGGAAACGGGATTACGTATAAAAAGTAGACAGCAGCATCCTCAGAAACTACTTTGTGATGTGTGCATTCAAGTCACAGAGTTGAACATTCCCTTTCGTACAGCAGTTTTGAAACACTCTTTCTGTAGTATCTGGAAGTGAACATTAGGACAGCTTTCAGGTCTATGGTGAGAAAGGCAATATCTTCAAATAAAAACTAGACAGAAGCATTCTCATAAACTTGTTTGCGAAGTGTGAACTCAGGTAACAGAGGTGGATCTTTCTTTTGATACAGCAGTTTTGAGAAACACTTTGTTGAATCTGCAAGTGGACATTTGGATAGATTTGAAGATTTCGTTGGAAACGGGAATATCTTCATATCAAATCTAGACAGAAGCATTCCCAGAAACGTCTTTGTGATGTTTGCATTCAACTCATAGATTTGAACATTCCGTTTCAGAGAGCAGCTTTGAAGCACTCTTTTTGTAGTATGTGCAAGGGGATATTTGGAGCGCTCTGAGGCCTACGGTGAAAAAGCAAATATCTTCCCATAACCACTAGACAGAAACATTCTCAGAAACTCCTTTATGACGGTATGCACTCACCTAACAGAGAAGAACCTTCCTTTTGACAGAGCAGTTTTGATACACTCTTTTTGTAGAATCTGCAAGTGGATATTGGGATAGCTGTGAAGATATCGTTGGAAACGGGAATATCTTCCTATAAAATCTAGACAGAAGCATTCTCAGAAACTGCTCTGTGATGTCTGTATTCAAGTCACAGAGTTGAACATTGCCTTTCATAGAGCAGGTTTGAAATGCTCTTTTTGTAGTATATGGAAGTGGACGTTTCAGACGGTTTGAGGCCCATGGTGATAAAGGGAATATCTTCCCCTACAAGCTAGAAAGAAGCATTCTGTGAAACTTCTTTGTGATGTGTGTACTCAACTAACAGAGTTGAACCTTTCTTTTTACAGAGCAGTTTTGAAACACTCTTTTTGTAGAATCTGCGAGGGGATATTTGGATAGATTTCAGGATTTCGTTGGAAAGGGGAATATCTTCATATAAAATCTCGACAGAAGCATTCTCAGCAAACTTCTTTGTGATATCTGCATTCAAGTCACAGGAGTTGAATATTCCCTTTCACAGAGTAGGTTTGAAACACTCTTTTTGTAGTATCTGGAAGTGGACATTTGGAGCGCCTTGACGCCTACAGTGAAAAGGGAAATATCTTCCCATAAAAACTAGACAGAAGCAATCTCAGAATCTTCTTTGGGATATATGCACGCAGCTAACGGAGTTGAACCTTTCTATTGACAGAGCAGTTTTGAAACAGTCTTTCTGTGGAATCTGCAAGTGGATATTTGGATAGCTTGGAGGATTTTGTTGGAAACGGGATTACGTATAAAAAGTAGACAGCAGCATCCTCAGAAACTTCTTTGTGATGTGTGCATTCAAGTCACAGAGTTGAACATTCCCTTTCGTAGAGCAGTTTTGAAACACTCTTTCTGTAGTATCTGGAAGTGAACATTAGGACAGCTTTCAGGTCTATGGTGAGAAAGGAAATATCTTCAAATAAAAACTAGACAGAAGCATTCTCATAAACTTGTTTTTGATGTGTGAACTCAGCTAACAGAGGTGGATATTTCTTTTGATAGAGCAGTTCTGAAAAACACTTTTTGTTGAATCTGCAAGTGGACATTTGGATAGATTTGAAGATTTCGTTGGAAACGGGAATATCTTCCTATCAAATCTAGACAGAAGCATTCTCAGAAACGTCTTTGTGATGTTTGAATTCAACTCATAGAGTTGAACATTCCGTTTCAGAGAGCAGCTTTGAGGCACTCTTTTTGTAGTATGTGCAAGTGGATATTTGGAGCGCTCTGAGGCCTACGGTGAAAAAGCAAATATCTTCCCATAACCACTAGACAGAAACATTCTCAGAAACTCCTTTATGACGTATGTACTCAACTAACAGAGAAGAACCTTCCTTTTGACAGAGCAGTTTTGATACACACTTTTTGTAGAATCTGCAAGTGGATATTTGGATAGCTGTGAAGATTTCGTTGGAAACGGGAATATCTTCCTATAAAACCTAGACAGAAGCATTCTCAGAAACTGCTCTGTGATGTCTGCATTCAAGTCACAGAGTTGAACATTGCCTTTCCTAGAGCAGGTTTGAAACGCTCTTTTTGTAGTATATGGAAGTGGACGTTTCGGACGGTTTGAGGCCCATGGTGATAAAGGGAATACCTTCCCCTACAAGCTAGAAAGAAGCATTCTGTGAAACTTGTTTGTGATGTGTGTACTCAACTAACAGAGTTGAACCGTTCTTTTTACAGAGCAGTTTTGAAACACTCTTTTTGTAGAATCTGCGAGGCGATATTTGGATAGATTTCAGGATTTCGTTGGAAACGGGAATATCTTCATATAAAATCTCGACAGAAGCATTCTCAGAATCTTCTTTGTGATATCTGCATTCAAGTCACAGAGTTGAATATTCCCTTTCACAGAGTAGGTTTGAAACACTCCTTTTGTAGTATCTGGAAGTGGACATTTGGAGCGCCTTGACACCTACGGTGAAAAGGGAAATATCTTCCCATAAAAACTAGACAGAAGCAATCTCAGAATCTTCTTTGGGATATATGTACGCAGCTAATAGAGTTGAACCTTTCTATTGACAGAGCAGTTTTGAAACAGTCTTTCTGTGGAATCTGCAGGTGGATATTTGGATAGCTTGGAGGATTTCGTTGGAAACGGGATTACGTATAAAAAGTAGACAGCAGCATCCTCAGAAACTTCTTTGTGATGTGTGCATTCAAGTCACAGAGTTGAACATTCCCTTTCGTACAGCAGTTTTGAAACACTCTTTCTGTAGTATCTGGAAGTGAATATTAGGACAGCTTTCAGCTCTATGGTGAGAAAGGAAATATCTTTAAATAAAAACTAGACAGAAGCATTCTCATAAACTTGTTTGTGATGTGTGAACTCAGCTAACAGAGGTGGATCTTTCCTTTTGATAGAGCAGTTCTGAAAAACACTTTTTGTTGAATCTGCAAGTGGACATTTGGATAGATTTGAAGATTTCGTTGGAAACGGGAATATCTTCATATCAAATCTAGACAGAAGCATTCTC
The DNA here is from genome assembly GCF_000001405.40 of Homo sapiens. Lineage (NCBI taxonomy): Eukaryota > Metazoa > Chordata > Mammalia > Primates > Hominidae > Homo > Homo sapiens. Next base: position 11,535,614 of record NC_000021.9, read on the forward strand.
AGAAACGTCTTTGTGATGTTTGCATTCAACTCAGAGTTGAACATTCCGTTTCAGAGAGCAGGTTTGAAGCACTCTTTTTGTAGTATGTGCAAGTGGATATTTGGAGGGCTCTGAGGCCTACGGTGAAAAAGCAAATATCTTCCCATAACCACTAGACAGAAACATTCTCAGAAATTCCTTTATGACGTATGCACTCACCTAAAAGAGAAGAACCTTCCTTTTGACAGAGCAGTTTTGATACACTCTTTTTGTAGAATCTGCAAGTGGATATTTGGATAGCTGTGAAGATTTCGTTGGAAACGGGAATATCTTCCTGTAAAATCTAGACAGAAGCATTCTCAGAAACTGCTCTGTGATGTCTGCATTCAAGTCACAGAGTTGAACATTGTCTTTCATAGAGCAGGTTTGAAGCGTTCTTTTTGTATTATATGGAAGTGGACGTTTCGGACGGTTTGAGGCCCATGGTGATAAAGGGAATATCTTCCCCTACAAGCTAGAAAGAAGCATTCTGTGAAACTTGTTTGTGATGTGTGTACTCAACTAACAGAGTTGAACCTTTCTTTTTACAGAGCACTTTTGAAACACTCTTTTTGTAGAATCTGCGAGGGGATATTTGGATAGATTTCAGGATTTCGTTGGAAACGTGAATATATTCATATAAAATCCCGACAGAAGCATTCTCAGAAACTTCTTTGTGATATGTGCATTCAAGTCACAGAGTTGAATATTCCCTTTCACAGAGTAGGTTTGAAACACTCTTTTTGTAGTATCTGGAAGTGGACATTTGGAGCGCCTTGACACCTACCGTGAAAAGGGAAATATCTTCTCATAAAAAGTAGACAGAAGCAATCTCAGAATCCTCTTTGAGATATATGGACGCAGCTAACAGAGTTGAACCTTTCTATTGACAGAGCAGTTTTGAAACAGTCTTTCTGTGGTATCTGCAAGTGGATATTTGGATAGCTTGGAGGATTTCTTTGGAAACGGGATTACGTATAAAAAGTAGACAGCAGCATCCTCAGAAACTTCTTTGTGATGTGTGCATTCAAGTCACAGAGTTGAACATTCCCTTTCGTACAGCAGTTTTGAAACACTCTTTCTGTAGTATCTGGAAGTGAACATTAGGACAGCTTTCAGCTCTATGGTGAGAAAGGAAATATCTACAAATAAAAACTAGACAGAAGCATTCTCATAAACTTTTTTGTGATGTGTGAACTCAGCTAACAGAGGTGGATCTTTCTTTTGATAGAGCAGTTCTGAAAAACACGTTTTGTTGAATCTGCAAGTGGACATTTGGATAGATTTGAAGATGTCATTGGAAACGGGAATATCTTCATATCAAATCTAGACAGAAGCATTCTCAGAAACGTCTTTGTCATGTTTGCATTCAACTCATAGAGTTGAACATTCCGTTTCAGAGAGCAGCTTTGAAGCACTCTTTTTGTAGTATGTGCAAGCGGATATTTGCAGCGCTCTGAGGCCTACGGTGAAAAAGCAAATATCTTCCCATAACCACTAGACAGAAACATTCTCAGAAACTCCTTTATGACGTATGTACTCAACTAACAGAGAAGAACCTTCCTTTTGACAGAGCAGTTTTGATACACTCTTTTTGTAGAATCTGCCAGTGGATATTTGGATAGCTGTGAAGATTTCGTTGGAAACGGGAATATCTTCCTATAAAATCTAGACAGAAGCATTCTCAGAAACTGCTATGTGATGTCTGCATTCAAGTCACAGAGTTGAACATTGCCTTTCCTAGAGCAGGTTTGAAACGCTCTTTTTGTAGTATATGGAAGTGGACGTTTCGGACGGTTTGAGGCCCATGGTGATAAAGGGAATATCTTCCCCTACAAGCTAGAAAGAAACATTCTGTGAAACTTGTTTGTGATGTGTGTACTCAACTAACAGAGTTGAACCTTTCTTTTTACAGAGCAGTTTTGAAACACTCTTTTTGTAGAATCTGCGAGGGGATATTTGGATAGATTTCAGGATTTCGTTGGAAACGGGAATATCTTCATATAAAATCTCGACAGAAGCATTCTCAGAAACTTCTTTGTGATATGTGCATTCAAGTCACAGAGTTGAATATTCCCTTTCACAGAGTAGGTTTGAAACACTCTTTTTGTAGTATTTGGAAGTGGACATTTGGAGCGCCTTGACGCCTACGGTGAAAAGGGAAATATCTTCCCATAAAAACTAGACAGAAGCAATCTCAGAATCTTCTTTGGGATATATGCACGCAGCTAACAGAGTTGAACCTTCCTATTGACAGAGCAGTTTTGACACAGTCTTTCTGTGGAATCTGCAAGTGGATATTTGGATAGCTTGGAGGATTTCGTTGGAAACGGGATTACGTATAAAAAGTAGACAGCAGCATCCTCAGAAACTTCTTTGTGATGTGTGCATTCAAGTCACAGAGTTGAACATTCCCTTTCGTACAGCAGTTTTGAAGCACTCTTTCTGTAGTATCTGGAAGTGAACATTAGGACAGCTTTCAGGTCTATGGTGAGAAAGGAAATATCTTCAAATAAAAACTAGACAGAAGCATTCTCATAAACTTGTTTGTGATGTGTGAACTCAGCTAACAGAGGTGGATCTTTCTTTTGATACAGCAGTTTTGAAAAACACTTTTCGTTGAATCTGCAAGTGGACATTTGGATAGATTTGAAGATTTCATTGGAAACGGGAATATCTTCATATCAAATCTAGACAGAAGCATTCTCAGAAACGTCTTTGTGATGTTTGCATTCAACTCATAGAGTTGAACATTCCGTTTCAGAGAGCAGCTTTGAAGCACTCTTTTTGTAGTATGTGCAAGTGGATATTTGGAGCGCTCTGAGGCCTACGGGGAAAAAGCAAATATCTTCCCATAACCACTACACAGAAACATTCTCAGAAACTCCTTTATGACGTATGCACTCATCTAACAGAGAAGAACCTTCCTTTTGACAGAGCAGTTTTGATACACTCTTTTTGTAGAATCTGCAAGTGGATATTTGGATAGCTGTGAAGATTTCGTTGGAAACGGGAATATCCTCCTATAATATCTAGACAGAAGCATTCTCAGAAACTACTCTGTGATGTCTGCATTCAAGTCACAGAGTTGAACATTGCCTTTCCTAGAGCAGGTTTGAAACGCTCTTTTTGTAGTATATGGAAGTGGACGTTTCGGACGCTTTGAGGCCCATGGTGATAAAGGGAATATCTTTCCCTACAAGCTAGAAAGAAGCATTCTGTGAAACTTGTTTGTGGTGTGTGTACTCATCTTACAGAGTTGAACCTTTCTTTTTACAGAGCAGTTTTGAAACACTCTTTTTGTAGAATCTGCGAGGGGTTATTTGGATAGATTTCAGGATTTCGTTGGAAACGGGAATATCTTCCTATAAAATCTCGACAGAAGCATTTTCAGAAACTTCTTTGTGATATCTGCATTCAAGTCACAGAGTTCAATATTCCCTTCCATAGAGAAGGTTTGAAACACTCTTTTTGTAGTATCTGGAAGTGGACATTTGGAGCGCCTTGACACCTACGGTGAAAAGGGAAATATCTTCCCATAAAAACTAGACAGAAGCAATCTCAGAATCTTCTTTGGGATATATGCATGCAGCTAACAGAGTTGAACCTTTCTATTGACAGAGCAGTTTTGAAACAGTCTTTCTGTGGAATCTGCAAGTGGATATTTGGATAGCTTGGAGGATTTCGTTGGAAATGGGATTACGTATAAAAAGTAGACAGCAGTATCCTCAGAAACTTCTTTGTGATGTGTGCATTCAAGTCACAGAGTTGAACATTCCCTTTCGTACAGCAGTTTTGAAACACTCTTTCTGTAGTATCTGGAAGTGAACATTAGGACAGCTTTCAGGTCTATGGTGAGAAAGGAAATATCTTCAAATAAAAACTAGACAGAAGCATTCTCATAAACTTGTTTGTGATGTGTGAACTCAGCTAACAGAGGTGGATCTTTCTTTTGATAGAGCAGTTCTGAAAAACACTTTTTGTTGAATCTGCAAGTGGACATTTGGATAGATTTGAAGATTTCGTTGGAAACGGGAATATCTTCATATCAAACCTAGACAGAAGCATTCTCAGAAACGTCTTTGTGATGTTTGCATTCAACTCATAGAGTTGAACATTCCCTTCCAGAGAGTAGCTTTGAAGCACTCTTTTTGTAGCATGTGCAAGTGGACATTTGGAGTGCCCTGAGGCCTACGGGGAAAAAGCAAATATCTTCCCATAACCACTAGACAGAAACATTCTCAGAAACTCCTTTATGACGTATGCACTCACCTAACAGAAAAGAACCTTCCTTTTGACAGAGCAGTTTTGATACACTCTTTTTATAGAATCTGCAAGTGGATATTTGGATAGCTGTGAAGATTTCGTTGGAAACGGGAATATCTTCCTATAAAATCTAGACAGAAGCATTCTCAGAAACTGCTCTGTGATGTCTGCATTCAAGTCACAGAGTTGAACGTTGTCTTTCATAGAGCAGGTTTGAAACGCTCTTTTTGTAGTATATGGAAGTGGACTTATCGGACGGTTTGAGGCCCATGGTGATAAAGGGAATATCTTCCCCTACAAGCTAGAAAGAAGCATTCTGTGAAACTTGTTTGTGATGTGTGTACTCAACTAACAGAGTTGAACCTTTCTTTTTAAAGAGCAGTTTTGAAACACTCTTTTTGTAGAATCTGCGAGGGGATATTTGGATAGATTTCAGGATTTCGTTGGAAACGGGAATATCTTCATATAAAATCTCGACAGAAGCATTCTCAGAAACTTCTTTGTGATATCTACATTCAAGTCACAGAGTTGAATATTCCCTTTCACAGAGTAGGTTTGAAACACTCTTTTTGTAGTATCTGGAATTGGACATTTGGAGCACCTTGACACCTACGGTGAAAAGGGAAATATCTTCCCATAAAAACTAGACAGAAGCAATCTCAGAATCTTCTTTGGGATATATGCACACAGCTAACAGAGTTGAACTTTTCTATTGACATAGCAGTTTTGAAACAGTCTTTCTGTGGAACCTGCAAGTGGATATTTGGATAGCTTGGAGGATTTCGTTGGAAACGGGATTACGTATAAAAAGTAGACAGCAGCATCCTCAGAAACTTCTTTGTGATGTGTGCATTCAAGTCACAGAGTTGAACATTCCCTTTCATACAGCAGTTTTGAAACACTCTTTCTGTAGTATCTGAAAGTGAATATTAGGACAGCTTTCAGGTCTATATTGAGAAAGGAAATATCTTCAAATAAAAACTAGACAGAAGCATTCTCATAAACTTGTTTGTGATGTGTGAACTCAGCTAACAGAGGCGGATCTTTCTTTTGATAGAGCAGTTCGGAAAAACACATTTTGTTGAATCTGCAAGTGGACATTTGGATAGATTTGAAGATTTCGTTGGAAACGGGAATATCTTCATATCAAATCTAGACAGAAGCATTCTCAGAAACGTCTTTGTGATGTTTGCATTCAACTCATAGAGTTGAACATTCCGTTTCAGAGAGCAGCTTTGAAGCACTCTTTTTGTAGTATGTGCAAGTGGATATTTGGAGCGTTCTGAGGCCTACGGGGAAGAAGCAAATATCTTCCCATAACCACTAGACAAAAGCATTCTCAGAAAATCCTTTATGACGTATGCACTCACCTAACAGAAAAGAACCTTCCTTTTGACAGAGCAGTTTTGATACACTCTTTTTGTAGAATCTGCAAGTGGATATTTGGATAGCTGTGAAGATTTCGTTGGAAACGGGAATATCTTCCTATAAAATCTATACAGAAGCATTCTCAGAAACTGCTCTGTGATGTCTGCATTCAAGTCACAGAGTTGAACATTGCCTTTCATAGAGCAGGTTTGAAACGCTCTTTTTGGAGTATATGGAAGTGGATGTTTCGGACGGTTGGAGGCCCATGGTGATAAAGGGAATATCTTCCCCTACAAGCTAGAAAGAAACATTCTCAGAAACTTCTTTATGACGTATGTACTCAACTAGCAGAGAAGAACTTTCCTTTTGACAGAGCATTTTTGATACACTCTTTTTGTACTATCTGCAAGTGGATATTTGTATAGCTGTGAAGATTTCGTTGGAAACGGGAATATCTTCCTATAAAATCTAGACAGAAGCATTCTCAGAAACTTCTTTGTGATATGTGCATTCAAGTCACAGAGTTGAATATTCCCTTTCACAGAGTAGGTTTGAAACACTCTTTTTGTAGTATCTGGAAGTGGACATTTGGAGCGCCTTGACGTCTACGGTGAAAAGGGAAATATCTTCCCATAAAAACTAGACAGAAGCAATCTCAGAATCTTCTTTGGGATACATGCACGCAGCTAACAGAGTTGAACCTTTCTATTGACAGAGCAGTTTTGAAACAGTCTTTCTGTGGAATCTGCAAGTGGATATTTGGATAGCTTGGAGGATTTCGTTGGAAACGGGATTACGTATAAAAAGTAGACAGCAGCATCCTCAGAATCTTCTTTGTGATGTGTGCATTCAAGTCACAGAGTTGAACATTCCCTTTCGTACAGCAGTTTTGAAACACTCTTTCTGTAGTATCTGGAAGTGAACATTAGGACAGCTTTCAGGTCTATGGTGAGAAAGGAAATATCTTCAAATATAAACTAGACAGAAGCATTCTCATAAACTTGTTTGTGATGTGTGAACTCAGCTAACAGAGGTGGATCTTTCTTTTGATAGAGCAGTTCTGAAAAACATTTTTTGTTGAATCTGCAAGTGGACATTTGGATAGATTTGAAGATTTCGTTGGAAACGGGAATATCTTCATATCAAATCTAGACAGAAGCATTCTCAGAAACGTCTTTGTGATGTTTGCATTCAACTCATAGAGTTGAACATTCCCTTTCAGAGAGCAGCTTTGAAGCACTCTTTTTGTAGTATGTGCAAGTGGACATTTGGAGCGCTTTGAGGCCTACGGGGAAAAAGCAAATATCTCCCATAACCACTAGACAGAAACATTCTCAGAAACTCCTTTATGACGTATGCACTCACCTAACACAGAAGAACCTTCCTTTTGACAGAGCAGTTTTGATACACTCTTTTTGTAGAATCTGCAAGTGGATATTTGGATAGCTGTGAAGATTTCGTTGGAAACGGGAATATCTTCCTATAAAATCTAGACAGAAGAATTCTCAGAAACTGCTCTGTGATGTCTGCATTCAAGTCACAGAGTTGAACATTGCCTTTCATAGAGCAGGTTTGAAACCCTCTTTTTGTAGTATATGGAAGTGGACGTTTCGGGCGGTTTGAGGCCCATGGTGATAAAGGGAATATCTTCCCCTACAAGCTAGAAAGAAGCATTCTGTGAAACTTGTTTGTGATGTGTGTACTCAACTAACAGAGTTGAACCTTCCTTTTTACAGAGCAGTTTTGAAACACTCTTTTTGTAGAATCTGCGAGGGGATATTTGGATAGATTTCAGCATTTCGTTGGAAACGGGAATATCTTCATATAAAATCTCGACAGAAGCATTCTCAGAAACTTCATTGTGATATCTGCATTCAAGTCACAGAGTTGAATATTCCCTTTCAGAGAGTAGGTTTGAAACACTCTTTTTGTAATATCTGGAAGTGGACATTTGGAGCGCCTTGACACCTACGGTGAAAAGGGAAATATCTTCCCATAAAAACTAGACAGAAGCAATCTCAGAATCTTCTTTGGGATATATGCACACAGCTAACAGAGTTGAACTTTTCTATTGACATAGCAGTTTTGAAACAGTCTTTCTGTGGAATCTGCAAGTGGATATTTGGATAGCTTGGAGGATTTCGTTGGAAACAGGATTACGTATAAAAAGTAGACAGCAGCATTCTCAGAAACTTCTTTGTGATGTGTGCATTCAAGTCAAAGAGTTGAACATTCCCTTTCGTACAGCAGGTTTGAAACACTCTTTCTCTAGTACCTGGAAGTGAACGGGACGAGAGCTTTCAGGTCTATTGTGAGAAAGGAAATATCTTCAAATAAAAACTAGACAGAAGCATTCTCATAAACTTGTTTTGATGTGTGAACTCAACTAACAGAGGTGGATCTTTCTTTTTATACAGCCCTTTTGAAAAACACTTTTTGTTGAATCTGCAAGTGGACACTTGAATAGATTTGAAGATTTCATTGGAAACGGAAATATCTTCATATCAAATCTAGACAGAAGCATTCTCAGAAAACGTCTTTGTGATGTTTGCATTCAACTCACAGAGTTGAACATTCCCTTTCAGAGCGCAGCTTTGAAGCACTCTTTTTGTAGTATGTGCAAGGGGATATTTGGAGCGCTCTGAGGCCTACGGTGAAAAAGCAAATATCTTCCCATAACCACTAGACAGAAACATTCTCAGAAACTCCTTTATGACGTATGTACTCAACTAACAGAGAAGAACCCTCCTTTTGACAGAGCAGTTTTGATACACTCTTTTTGTAGAATCTGCAAGTGGATATTTGGATAGCTGTGAAGATTTCGTTGGAAACGGGAATATCTTCCTATAAAATCTAGACAGAAGCATTCTCAGAAACTGCTCTGTGATGTCTGCATTCAAGTCACAGAGTTGAACATTGCCTTTGATAGAGCAGGTTTGAAACGCTCTTTTTGTAGTATATGGAAGTGGACGTTTCGGACGGTTTGAGGCCCATGATGATAAAGGGAATATCTTCCCCTACAAGCTAGAAAGAAGCATTCTGTGAAACTTGTTTGTGAGGTGTGTACTCAACTAACAGAGTTGAACCTTTCTTTTTACAGAGCAGTTTTGAAACACTCTTTTTGTAGAATCTGCGAGGGGATATTTGGATAGATTTCAGGATGTCGTTGGAAACGGGAATATCTTCATATAAAATCTCGACAGAAGCATTCTCAGAAACTTCTTTGTGATATCTGCCTTCAAGTCACAGGAGTTGAATATTCCCTTTCACAGAGTAGGTTTGAAACACTCTTTTTGTAGTATCTGGAAGTGGACATTTGGAGCGCCTTGACGCCTACGGTGAAAAGGGAAATATCTTCCCATAAAAACTAGACAGAAGGAATCTCAGAATCTTCTTTGGGATATATGCACGCAGCTAACAGAGTTGAACCTTTCTATTGACAGAGCAGTTTAGAAACAGTCTTTCTGTGGAATCTGCAAGTGGATATTTGGATAGCTTGGAGGATTTCGTTGGAAACGGGATTACGTATAAAAAGTAGACAGCAGCATCCTCAGAAACTTCTTTGTGATGTGTGCATTAAAGTCACAGAGTTGAACATTCCCTTTCGTACAGCAGTTTTGAAACACTCTTTCTGTAGTATCTGGAAGTGAACATTAGGACAGATTTCAGCTCTATGGTGAGAAAGGAAATATCTTCAAATAAAAACTACACAGAAGCATTCTCATAAAGTTGTTTGTGATGTGTGAACTCAGCTAACAGATGTGGATCTTTCTTTTGATAGAGCAGTTCTGAAAAACACTTTTTGTTGAATCTGCAAGTGGACATTTGGATAGATTTGAAGATTTCGTTGGAAACGGGAATATCTTCATATCAAATCTAGACAGAAGCATTCTCAGAAACGTCTTTGTGATGTTTGCATTCAACTCATAGAGTTGAACATTCCCTTTCAGAGAGCAGCTTTGAAGCACTCTTTTTGTAGTATGTGCAAGGGGATATTTGGAGCACTCTGAGGCCTAAGGTGAAAAAGCAAATATCTTCCCATAACCACTAGACAGAAACATTCTCAGAAACTCCTTTATGACGTATGCACTCACCTAACAGAGAAGAACCTTCCTTTTGACAGAGCAGTTTTGATACACTCTTTTTGTAGAATCTGCAAGTGGATATTTGGATAGCTGTGAAGATTTCGTTGGAAACGGGAATATCTTCCTATACAATCTAGACAGAAGCATTCTCAGAAACTGCTCTGTGATGTCTGCATTCAAGTCACAGAGTTGAACATTGCCTTTCCTAGAACAGGTTTGAAACGCTCTTTTTGTAGTATATGGAAGTGGACGTTTCGGACGGTTTGAGGCCCATGGTGATAAAGGGAATATCTTCCCCTACAAGCTAGAAAGAAGCATTCTGTGAAACTTGTTTGTGATATGTGCACTCAACTAACAGAGTTGAACCTTTCTTTTTACAGAGCAGTTTTGAAACACTCTTTTTGTAGAATCTGCGAGGGGATATTTGGATAGATTTCAGGATTTCGTTGGAAACGGGAATATCTTCATATAAAATCTCGACAGAAGCATTCTCAGAAAACTTCCTTGTGATATGTGCATTCAAGTCACAGAGTTGAATATTCCCTTTCACAGAGTAGGTTTGAAACACTCTTTTTGTAGTATCTGGAAGTGGACATTTGGAGCGCCTTGACGCCCACGGTGAAAAGGGAAATATCTTCCCATAAAAACTAGACAGAAGCAATCTCAGAATCTTCTTTGGGATATATGCACGCAGCTAACAGAATTGAACCTTTCTATTGACAGAGCAGTTTTGAAACAGTCTTTCTGTGGAATCTGCAAGTGGATATTTGGATAGCTTGGAGGATTTCGTTGGAAACGGGATTAAGTATAAAAAGTAGACAGCAGCATCCTCAGAAACTTCTTTGTGATGTGTGCATTCAAGTCACAGAAGTTGAACATTCCCTTTCGTACAGCAGTTTTGAAACACTCTTTCTGTAGTAACTGGAAGTGAACATTAGGACAGCTTTCAGGTCTATGGTGAGAAAGGAAATATCTTCAAATAAAAACTAGACAGAAGCATTCTCATAAACTTGTTTGTGATGTGTGAACTCAGCTAACAGAGGTGGATCTTTCTTTTGATAGAGCAGTTCTGAAAAACACTTTTTGTTGAATCTGCAAGTGGACATTTGGATAGATTTGAAGATTTCGTTGGAAACGGGAATATCTTCATATCAAATCTAGAGAGAAGCATTCTCAGAAACGTCTTTGTGATGTTTGCATTCAACTCATACAGTTGAACATTCCGTTTCAGAGAGCAGCTTTGAAGCACTCTTTTTGTAGTATGTGCAAGGGGATATTTGGAGCGCTGTGAGGCCTAAGGTGAAAAAGCAAATATCTTCCCCTAACCACTAGACAGAAACATTCTCAGAAACTCCTGTATGACGTATGCACTCACCTAACAGAGAAGAACCTTCCTTTTGACAGAGCAGTTTTGATACACTCTTTTTGTAGAATCTGCAAGTGGATATTTGGATAGCTGTGAAGCTTTCGTTGGAAACGGGAATATCTTCCTATAAAATCTAGACAGAAGCATTCTCAGAAACTGCTCTGTGATGTCTCCATTCAAGTCACAGAGTTGAACATTGCCTTTCATAGAGCAGGTTGGAAACGCTCTTTTTGTAGTATATGGAAGTGGATGTTTCGGACGGTTTGAGGCCCATGGTGATAAAGGGAATATCTTCCCCTACAAGCTAGAAAGAAGCATTCTGTGAAACTTGTTTGTGATGTGTGTACTCAACTAACAGAGATGAACCTTTCTTTTTACAGAGCAGTTTTGAAACACTCTTTTTGTAGAATCTGCGAGGGGATATTTGGATACATTTCAGCATTTCGTTGGAAACGGGAATATCTTCATATAAAATCTCGACAGAAGCATTCTCATAAACTTCTTTGTGATATCTGCATTCAAGTCACAGAGTTGAATATTCCCTTTCACAGAGTAGGTTTGAAACACTCTTTTTGTAGTATCTGGAAGTGGACATTTGGAGCGCCTTGACGCCTACGGTGAAAAGGGAAATATCTTCCCATAAAAACTAGACAGAAGCAATCTCAGAATCTTCTTTGGGATATATGCACGCAGCTAACAGAGTTGAACCTTTCTATTGACAGAGCAGTTTTGAAACAGTCTTTCTGTGGAATCTGCAAGTGGATATTTGGATAGCTTGGAGGATTTCGTTGGAAACGGCATTACGTATAAAAAGTAGACAGCAGCATCCTCAGAAACTTCTTTGTGATGTGTGCATTCAAGTCACACAGTTGAACATTCCCTTTCGTACAGCAGTTTTGAAACACTCTTTCTGTAGTATCTGGAAGTGAACATTAGGACAGCTTTCAGGTCTATGGTGAGAAAGGAAATATCTTCAAATAAAAACTAGACAGAAGCATTCTCATAAACTTGTTTGTGATGTGTGAACTGAGCTAACAGACGTGGATCTTTCTTTTGATACAGCAGTTTTGAAAAACACTTTTTGTTGAATCTGCAAGTAGACATTTGGATAGATTTGAAGATTTCGTTGGAAACGGGAATATCTTCATATCAAATCTAGACAGAAGCATTCTCGGAAACGTCTTTGTGATGTTTGCATTCAACTCATAGAGTTGAACATTCACTTTCAGAGAGCAGCTTTGAAGCACTCTTTTTGTAGTATGTGCAAGTGGATATTTGGATCGCTCTGAGGCCTAAGGTGAAAAAGCAAATATCTTCCCATAACCACTAGACAGAAACATTCTCAGAAACTCCTTTCTGACGTATGCACTCACCCAACAGAGAAGAACCTTCCTTTTGACAGAGCAGTTTTGATACACTCTTTTTGTAGAATCTGCAAGTGGATATTTGGATAGCTGTGAAGATTTCGTTGGAAACGGGAATATCTTCCTATAAAATCTAGACAGAAGCATTCTCAGAAACTGCTCTGTGATGTCTGCATTCAAGTCACAGAGTTGAACATTGCCTTTCATAGAGCAGGTTTGAAACGCTCTTTTTGTAGTATATGGAAGTGGATGTTTCGGACGGTTGGAGGCCCATGGTGATAAAGGGAATATATTCCCCTACAAGCTAGAAAGAAGCATTCTGTGAAACTTGTTTGTGATGTGTGTACTCAACTAACAGAGTTGAACCTTTCTTTTTACAGAGCAGTTTTGAAACACTCTTTTTGTAGAATCTGCGAGGAGATATTTGGAAAGATTTCAGGATTTTGTTGGAAACGGGAATATCTTCATATAAAATCGCGACAGAAGCATTCTCAGAAACTTCTTTGTGATATGTGCATTCAATCACAGAGTTGAATATTCCCTTTCACAGAGTAGGTTTGAAACACTCTTTTTGTAGTATCTGGAAGTGGACATTTGGAGCGCCTTGACACCTACGGTGAAAAGGGAAATATCTTCCCATAAAAACTAGACAGAAGCAATCTCAGAATCTTCTTTGGGATATATGCACGCAGCTAACAGAGTTGAACCTTTCTATTGACTGAGCAGATTTGAAACAGTCTTTCTGTGGAATCTGCAAGTGGATATTTGGATAGATTGGAGGATTTCGTTGGAAACGGGATTACGTATAAAAAGTAGACAGCAGCATCCTCAGAAACTTCTTTGTGATGTGTGCATTCAAGTCACAGAGTTGAACATTACCTTTCGTACAGCAGTTTTGAAACACTCTTTCTGTAGTATCTGGAAGTGAACATTAGGACAGCTTTCAGGTCTATGGTGAGAAAGGAAATATCTTCAAATAAAAACTAGACAGAAGCATTCTCATAAACTTGTTCGTGATGTGTGAACTCAGCTAAGAGCCGTGGATCTTTCTTTTGATAGAGCAGTTTTGAAAAACACTTTTTGTTGAATCTGCAAGTGGACATTTGGATAGATTTGAAGATTTCTTTGGAAACGGGAATATCTTCATATCAAATCTAGACAGAAGCATTCTCAGAAACGTCTTTGTGATGTTTGCATTCAACTCATAGAGTTGAACATTCCCTTTCAGAGAGCAGCTTTGAAGCACTCTTTTTGTAGTATGTGCAAGGGGATATATGGAGCCGCTCTGAGGCCTAAGGTGAAAAAGCAAATATCTTCCCATAACCACTAGACAGAAAACATTCTCAGAAACTCCTTTATGACGTATGTACTCAACTAACAGAGAAGAACCTTCCTTTTGACAGAGCACTTTTGATACACTCTTTTTGTAGAATCTGCAAGTGCATATTTGGATAGCTGTGAAGATTTCGTTGGAAACGGGAATATCTTCCTATAAAGTCTAGACAGAAGCATTCTCAGAAACTGCTCTGTGATGTCTGCATTCAAGTCAAAGAGTTGAACATTGCCTTTCATAGAGCAGGTTTGAAACGCTCTTTTTGTAGTATATGGAAGTGGACGTTTCGGACGGTTTGAGGCCCATGGTGATAAAGGGAATATCTTCCCCTACAAGCTAGAAAGAAGCATTCTGTGAAACTTGTTTGTGATGTGTGTACTGAAGTAACAGAGTTGAACCTTTCTTTTTACAGAGCAGTTTTGAAACACTCTTTTTGTAGAATCTGCGAGGGGATATTTGGATAGATTTCAGGATTTCGTTGGAAACGGGAATATCTTCATAGAAAATTCTCGACAGAAAGCATTCTCAGAAACTTCTTTGTGATATGTGCATTCAAGTCACAGAGTTGAATATTCCCTTTCACAGAGTAGGTTTGAAACACTCTTTTTGTAGTATCTGGAAGTGGACATTTGGAGCGCCTTGACACCTACGGTGAAAAGGGAAATAACTTCTCATAAAAAGTAGACAGAAGCAATCTCAGAATCTTCTTTGGGATATATGCACGCAGCTCACAGAGTTGAACCTTTCTATTGACAGAGCAGTTTAGAAACAGTCCTTCTGTGGAATCTGCAAGTGGATATTTGGATAGCTTGGAGGATCTCTTTGGAAACGGGATTACGTATAAAAAGTAGACAGCAGCATCCTCAGAAACTTCTTTGTGATGTGTGCATTCAAGTCACAGAGTTGAACATTCCCTTTCGTACAGCAGTTTTGAAACACTCTTTCTGTAGTATCTGGAAGTGAACAATAGGACAGCTTTCAGGTCTATGGTGAGAAAGGAAATATCTTCAAATAAAAACTAGACAGAAGCATTCTCATAAACTTGTTTGTGATGTGTGAACTCAGCTAACGGACGTGGATCTTTCTTTTGATACAGCAGTTTTGAAAAACACTTTTTGTTGAATCTGCAAGTGGACATTTGGATAGATATGAAGATTCCGTTGGAAACGGGAATATCTTCATATCAAATCTAGACAGAAGCATTCCCAGAAACGTCTTTGTGATGTTTGCATTCAACTCATAGAGTTGAACATTCCCTTTCAGAGAGCAGCTTTGAAGCACTCTTTTTGTAGTATGTGCAAGGGGATATTTGGAGCGCTCTGAGGCCTAAGGTGAAAAAGCAAATATCTTCCCATAACCACTAGACAGAAACATTCTCAGAAACTCCTTTATGACGTATGCACTCACCTAACAGAAAAGAACCTTCCTTTTGACAGAGCAGTTTTGATACACTCTTTTTGTAGAATCTGCAAGTGGATATTTGGATAGCTGTGAAGATTTCGTTGGAAACGGGAATATCTTCCTATAAAATATAGACAGAAGCATTCTCAGAAATTGCTCTGTGATGTCTGCATTCAAGTCACAGAGTTGAACATTGCCTTTCCTAGAGCAGGTTTGAAACGCTCTTTTTGTAGTATATGGAAGTGGACGTTTCGGACGGTTTGAGGCCCATGGTGATAAAGGGAATATCTTCCCCTACAAGCTAGAAAGAAGCATTCTGTGAAACTTGTTTGTGATGTGTGTACTCAACTAACAGAGTTGAACCTTTCTTTTTACAGAGCAGTTTTGAAACACTCTTTTTGTAGAATCTGAGAGGGGATATTTGGATAGATTTCAGGATTTCGTTGGAAATGGGAATATCTTCATATAAAATCTCGACAGAAGCATTCTCAGAAAGCTTCTTTGTGATATGTGCATTCAAGTCACAGAGTTGAATATTCCCTTTCACAGAGTAGGTTTGAAACACTCTTTTTGTAGTATCTGGAAGTGGACATTTGGAGCGCCTTGACGCCTACGGTGAAAAGGGAAATATCTTCTCATAAAAAGTAGACAGAAGCAATCTCAGAATCTTCTTTGGGATATATGCACGCAGCTAACAGAGTTGAACCTTTCTATTGACAGAGCAGTTTTGAAACAGTCTTTCTGTGGAATCTGCAAGTGGATATTTGTATAGATTGGAGGATTTCGTTGGAAACGGGATTACGTATAAAAAGTAGACAGCAGCATCCTCCGAAACTTCTTTGTGATGTGTGCATTCAAGTCACAGAGTTGAACATTCCCTTTGGTACAGCAGTTTTGAAACACTCTTTCTGTAGTATCTGGAAGTGAACATTAGGACAGCTTTCAGCTCTATGGTGAGAAAGGAAATATCTTCAAATAAAAACTAGACAGAAGCATTTTCATAAACTTGTTTGTGATGTGTGAACTCAGCTAAGAGAGGTGGATCTTTCTTTTGATAGAGCAGTTCTGAAAAACACTTTTTGTTGAATCTGCAAGTGGACATTTGGATAGATTTGAAGATTTCGTTGGAAACGGGAATATCTTCATATCAAATCTAGACAGAAGCATTCTCAGAAACGTCTTTGTGATGTTTGCATTCAACTCATAGAGTTGAACATTCCGTTTCAGAGAGCAGCTTTGAAGTACTCTTTTTGTAGTATGTGCAAGTGGATATTTGGAGCGCTCTGAGGCCTACGGGGAAAAAGCAAATATCTTCCCATAACCACTACACTGAAACATTCTCAGAAACTCCTTTATGACGTGTGCACTCACCTAACGGAGAAGAACCTTCCTTTTGACAGAGCAGTTTTGATACACTCTTTTTGTAGAATCTGCAAGTGGATATTTGGATAGCTGTGAAGATTTCGTTGGAAACGGGAATATCTTCCTATAAAATCTAGACAGAAGCATTCTCAGAAACTGCTCTGTGATGTCTGCATTCAAGTCACAGAGTTGAACATTGCCTTTCATAGAGCAGGTTTGAAATGCTTTTTTGTAGTATATGGAAGAGAATGTTTCGGACGGTTGGAGGCCCATGGTGATAAAGGGAATATCTTCCCCTACAAGCTAGAAAGAAGCATTCTGTGAAAGTTGTTTTTGATGTGTGTACTCAACTAACAGAGTTGAACCTTTCTTTTTACAGAGCAGTTTTGAAACACTCTTTTTGTAGAATCTGCGAGAGGATATTTGGATAGATTTCAGGATTTCGTTGGAAACGGGAATATCTTCATATAAAATCTCGACAGAAAGCATTCTCAGAAACTTCTTTGTGATATCTGCCTTCAAGTCACAGTAGTTGAATATTCCCTTTCACAGAGTAGGTTTGAAACACTCTTTTTGTAGTATCTGGAAGTGGACATTTGGAGCGCCTTGACGCCTACGGTGAAAAGGGAAATATCTTCCCATAAAAACTAGACAGAAGCAATCTCAGCATCTTCTTTGGGATATATGCACGCAGCTAACAGAGTTGAACCTTTCTATTGACAGAGCAGTTTTGAAACAGTCTTTCTGTGGAATCTGCAAGTGGATATTTGGATAGCTTGGAGGATTTCGTTGGAAACGGGATTACGTATAAAAAGTAGACAGCAGCATCCTCAGAAACTTCTTTGTGATGTGTGCATTCAAGTCACAGAGTTGAACATTCCCTTTCGTACAGCAGTTTTGAAACACTCTTTCTGTAGTACATGGAAGTGAACATTAGGACAGCTTTCAGGTCTATGGTGAGAAAGGAAATATCTTCAAATAAAAACTAGACAGAAGCATTCTCATAAACCTCTTTGTGATGTGTGAACTCAGCTAACAGAGGTGGATCTTTCTTTTGATAGAGCAGTTCTGAAAAACACTTTTTGTTGAATCTGCCAGTGGACATTTGGATAGATTTGAAGATTTCGTTGGAAACGGGAATATCTTCATATCAAATCTAGACAGAAGCATTCCCAGAAACGTCTTTGTGATGTTTGCATTCAACTCATAGAGTTGAACATTCCGTTTCAGAGAGCAGCTTTGAAGCACTCTTTTTGTAGTATGTGCAAAAGGATATTTGGAGCACTCTGAGGCCTAAGGTGAAAAAGCAAATATCTTCCCATAACCACTAGACAGAAACATTCTCAGAAACTCCTTTATGACGTATGCACTCACCTAACAGAGAAGAACCTTCCTTTTGCCAGAGCAGTTTGGATACACTCTTTTTGTAGAATCTGCAAGTGGATATTTGGATAGCTGTGAAGATTTCGTTGGAAACGGGAATATCATCCTATAAAATCTAGACAGAAGCATTCTCAGAAACAGCTCTGTGATGTCTGCATTCAAGTCACAGAGTTGAACATTGCCTTTCATAGAGCAGGTTTGAACCGCTCTTTTTGTAGTATATGGAAGTGGACGTTTCGGACGGTTTGAGACCCATGGTGATAAAGGGAATATATTCCCCTACAAGCTAGAAAGAAGCATTCTGTGAAACTTGTTGTGATGTGTGTACTCAACTAACAGAGTTGAACCTTTCTTTTTACAGAGCAGTTTTGAAACACTCTTTTTGTAGAATCTGCGAGGGGATATTTGGATAGATTTCAGGATTTCGTTGGAAACGGGAATATCTTCATATAAAATACTCGACAGAAGCATTCTCAGAAACTTCCTTGTGATATGTGCATTCAAGTCACAGAGTTGAATATTCCCTTTCACAGAGTAGGTTTGAAACACTCTTTTTGTAGTATCTGGAAGTGGACATTTGGAGCGCCTTGATGCCCACGGTGAAAAGGGAAATATCTTCCCATAAAAACTAGACAGAAGCAATCTCAGAATCTTCTTTGGGATATATGCACGCAGCTAACAGAGTTAAACCTTTCTATTGACAGAGCAGTTTTGAAACAGTCTTTCTGTGGAATCTGCAAGTGGATATTTGGATAGCTTGGAGGATTTCGTTGGAAACGGGATTACGTATAAAAAGTAGACAGCAGCATCCTCAGGAAACTTCTTTGTGATGTGTTCATTCAAGTCACAGAGTTGAACATTCCCTTTCGTACAGCAGTTTTGAAACACTCTTTCTGTAGTATCTGGAAGTGAACATTAGGACAGCTTTCAGGTCTATGGTGAGAAAGGCAATATCTTCAAATAAAAACTAGACAGAAACATTTTCATAAACTTGTTTGTGATGTGTGAACTCAGCTAACAGAGGTGGATCTTTCTTTTGATAGAGCAGTTCTGAAAAACACTTTTTGTTGAATCTGCAAGTGGACATTTGGATAGATTTGAAGATTTCGTTGGAAACGGGAATATCTTCATATCAAATCTAGACAGAAGCATTCTCAGAAACGTCTTTGTGATGTTTGCATTCAACTCATAGAGTTGAACATTCCGTTTCAAAGAGCAGCTTTGAGGCACTCTTTTTGTAGTATGTGCAAGTGGATATTTGGAGCGCTCTGAGGCCTACGGTGAAAAAGCAAATATCTTCCCATAACCACTAGACAGAAAACATTCTCAGAAACTCCTTTATGACGTATGCACTCACCTAACAGAGAAGAACCTTCCTTTTGACAGAGCAGTTTTGATACACTCTTTTTGTAGAATCTGCAAGTGGATATTTGGATAGCTGTGAAGATTTCGTTGGAAACGGGAATATCTTCCTATAAAATCTAGACAGAAGCATTCTCAGAAACTGCCTCTGTGATGTCTGCATTCAAGTCACAGAGTTGAACATTGCCTTTCATAGAGCAGGTTTGAAACGCTCTTTTTGTAGTATATGGAAGTGGACTTTTCGGACGGTTTGAGGCCCATGGTGATAAAGGGAATATCTTCCCCTACAAGCTAGAAAGAAGCATTCTGTGAAACTTGTTTGTGATGTGTGTACTCAACTAACAGAGTTGAACCTTTCTTTTCACAGAGCAGTTTTGAAACACTCTTTTTGTATAATCTGCGAGGGGAAATTTGGATAGATTTCAGGATTTCGTTGGAAACGGGAATATCTTCATACAAAATCTCGACAGAAGCATTCTCAGAAACTTCCTTGTGATATGTGCATTCAAGTCACAGAGTTGAATATTCCCTTTCACAGAGTAGGTTTGAAACACTCTTTTTGTAGTATCTGGAAGTAGACATTTGGAGCGCCTTGACACCTACGGTGAAAAGGGAAATATCTTCCCATAAAAACTAGACAGAAGCAATCTCAGAATCTTCTTTGGGATATATGCACGCAGCTAACAGAGTTGAACCTTTCTATTGACAGAGCAGTTTTGAAACAGTCTTTCTGTGGAATCTGCAAGTGGATATTGGGATAGCTTGGAGGATTTCGTTGGAAACGGGATTACGCATAAAAAGTAGACAGCAGCATCCTCAGAAACTTCTTTGTGATGTGTGCATTCAAGTCACAGAGTTGAACATTCCCTTTCGTACAGCAGTTTTGAAACACTCTTTCTGTAGTATCTGGAAGTGAACATTAGGACAGCTTTCAGGTCTATGGTGAGAAAGAAAATATCTTCAAATAAAAACTAGACAGAAGCATTCTCATAAACTTGTTTGTGATGTGTGAACTCAGCTAACAGAGGTGGATCTTTCTTTTGATAGAGCAGTTCTGAAAAACACTTTTTGTTGAATCTGCAAGTGGACATTTGGATAAATTTGAAGATTTCGTTGGAAACGGGAATATCTTCATATCAAATCTAGACAGAAGCATTCTCAGAAACGTCTTTGCGATGTTTGCATTCAACTCATAGAGTTGAACATTCCCTTTCAGAGAGCAGCTTTGAGGCACTCTTTTTGTAGTATGTGCAAGTGGATATTTGGAGCGCTCTGTGGCCTACGGTGAAAAAGCAAATGTCTTCCCATAACCACTAGACAGAAACATTCTCAGAAACTCCTTTATGACGTATGCACTCACCTAACAGAGAAGAACCTTCCTTTTGACAGAGCAGTTTTGATACACTCTTTTTGTAGAATCTGCAAGTGGATATTTTGATACCTGTGAAGATTTCGTTGGAAACGGGAATATCTTCGTATAAAATCTAGACAGAAGCATTCTCAGAAACTGCTCTGTGATGTCTGCATTCAAGTCACAGAGTTGAACATTGCCTTTCATAGAGCAGGTTTGAAACGCTCTTTTTGTAGTATATGGAAGTGGACTTTTCGGACGGTTTGAGGCCCATGGTGATAAAGGGAATATCTTCCCCTACAAGCTAGAAAGAAAGCATTCTGTGAAACTTGTTTGTGATGTGTGTACTCAACTAACAGAGTTGAACCTTTCTTTTTACAGAGCAGTTTTGAAACACTCTTTTTGTAGAATCTGCGAGGGGATATTTGGATACATTTCAGCATTTCGTTGGAAACGGGAATATCTTCATATAAAATCTCGACAGGAAGCATTCTCAGAAACTTCCTTGTGATATGTGCATTCAAGTCACAGAGTTGAATATTCCCTTTCACAGAGTAGGTTTGAAACACTCTTTTTGTAGTATCTGGAAGTGGACATTTGGAGCGCCTTGACGCCTACGGTGAAAAGGGAAATATCTTCCCATAAAAACAAGACAGAAGCAATCTCAGAATTTTCTTTGAGATATATGCACACAGCTAACAGAGTTGAACCTTTCTATTGACAGAGCAGTTTTGAAACAGTCTTTCTGTGGAATCTGCAAGTGGATATTTGGATAGCATGGAGGATTTCGTTGGAAACGGGATTACGTATAAAAAGTAGACAGCAGCATCCTCAGAAACTTCTTTGTGATGTGTGCATTCAAGTCACAGAGTTGAACATTCCCTTTCATACAGCAGTTTTGAAACACTCTTTCTGTAGTATCTGGAAGTGAACATTAGGAGAGCTTTCAGGTCTATGGTGAGAAAGGAAATATCTTCAAATAAAAACTAGACAGAAGCATTCTCATAAACTTGTTTGTGATGTGTGAACTCAGCTAACAGAGGTGGATCTTTCTTTTGATAGAGCAGTTCTGAAAAACTCTTTTGTTGAATCTGCAAGTGGACATTTGGATAGATTTGAAGATTTCGTTGGAAACGGGAATATCTTCATATCAAATCTAGACAGAAGCATTCTCAGAAACGTCTTTGTGATGGTTGCATTCAACTCATAGAGTTGAACATTCCGTTTCAGAGAGCAGCTTTGAATCACTCTTTTTGTAGTATGTTCAAGTGGATATTTGGAGCGCTCTGAGGCCTACGGTGAAAAAGCAAATATCTTCCCATAACCACTAGACAGAAACATTCTCAGAAACTCCTTTATGACGTATGTACTCAACTAACAGAGAAGAACATTCTTTTTCACAGAGCAGTTTTGATACACTCTTTTTGTAGAATCTGCAAGTGCATATTTGGATAGCTGTGAAGATTTCGTTGGAAACGGGAATATCTTCCTATAAAATCTAGACAGAAGCATTCTCAGAAACTGCTCTGTGATGTGTGCATTCAAGTCACAGAGTTGAACATTGCCTTTCATAGAGCAGGTTTGAAATGCTCTTTTTGTAGTATATGGAAGTGGACGTTTCAGACGGTTTGAGGCCCATGGTGATAAAGGGAATATCTTCCCCTACAAGCTAGAAAGAAGCATTCTGTGAAACTTGTTTTTGATGTGTGTACTCAACTAACAGAGTTGAACCTTTCTTTTTACAGAGCAGTTTTGAAACACTCTTTTTGTAGAATCTGCGAGGGGATATTTGGAGAGATTTCAGGATTTCGTTGGAAACGGGAATATCTTCATATAAAATCTCGACAGAAGCATTCTCAGAAACTTCTTTGTGATATCTGCATTCAAGTCACAGAGTTGAATATTCCCTTTCACAGAGTAGGTTTGAAACACTCTTTTTGCAGTATCTGGAAGTGGACATTTGGAGCGCCTTGACGCCTACGGTGAAAAGGGAAATATCTTCCCATAAAAACTAGATAGAAGTAATCTCAGAATCTTCTTTGGGATATATGCACGCAGCTAACAGAGTTGAACCTTTCTATTGACAGAGCAGTTTTGAAACAGTCTTTCTGTGGAATCTGCAATTGGATATTTGGATAGCTTGGAGGATTTCGTTGGAAACGGGATTACGTATAAAAAGTAGACAGCAGCATCCTCAGAAACTTCTTTGTGATGTGTGCATTCAAGTCACAGAGTTGAACATTCCCTTTCGTACAGCAGTTTTGAAACACTCTTTCTGTAGTATCTGGAAGTGAACATTAGGACAGCTTTCAGGTCTATGGTGAGAAAGGAAATACCTTCAAATAAAAACTAGACAGAAGCATTCTCATAAATTTGTTTGTGATGTGTGAACTCAGCTAACAGAGGTGGATCTTTCGATAGAGCAGTTCTGAAAAACACTTTTTGTTGAATCTGCAAGTGGACATTTGGATAGATTTGAAGATTTCGTTGGAAACGGGAATATCTTCATATCAAATCTAGACAGAAGCATTCTCAGAAACGTCTTTGTGATGTTTGCATTCAACTCATAGAGTTGAACATTCCCTTCCAGTGAGTAGCTTTGAAGCACTCTTTTTGTAGCATGTGCAAGTGGACATTTGGAGCGCCCTGAGGCCTACGGGGAAAAAGCAAATATCTTCCCATAACCACTAGACAGAAACATTCTCAGAAACTCCTTTATGACGTATGCACTCACCTAACAGAGAAGAACCTTCCTTTTGACAGAGCAGTTTTGATACACTCTTTTTGTAGAATCTGCAGGTGGATATTTGGATACCTGTGAAGATTTCGTTGGAAACGGGAATATCTTCCTATAAAATCTAGACAGAAGCATTCTCAGAAACTGCTCTGTGATGTCTGCATTCAAGTCACAGAGCTGAACATTGCCTTTCATAGAGCAGGTTTGAAACGCTCTTTTTGTAGTATATGGAAGTAGACGTTTCGGACAGTTTGAGGCCCATGGTGATAAAGGAATATCTTCCCCTACAAGCTAGAAAGAAGCATTCTGTGAAACTTGTTTGTGAGGTGTGTACTCAACTAACAGAGTTGAACCTTTCTTTTTACAGAGCAGTTTTGAAACACTCTTTTTGTAGAATCTGCGAGGGGATATTTGGATAGATTTCAGGATTTCGTTGGAAACGGGAATATCTTCATATAAAATCTCGACAGAAGCATTCTCAGAAACTTCTTTGTGATATGTGCATTCAAGTCACAGAGTTGAATATTCCCTTTCACAGAATAGGTTTGAAACACTCTTTTTGTAGTATCTGGAAGTGGACATTTGGAGCGCCTTGACGCCTACGGTGAAAAGGGAAATATCTTCCCATAAAAACTAGACAGAAGCAATCTCAGAATCTTCTTTGGGATATATGGACGCAGCTAACAGAGTTGAACCTTTCTATTGACAGAGCAGTTTTGAAACAGTCTTTCTGTGGAATCTGCAAGTGGATATTTGGATAACTTGGAGGATTTCGTTGGAAACGGGATTACGTATAAAAAGTAGACAGCAGCATCCTCAGAAACTTCTTTGTGATGTGTGCATTCAAGTCACAGAGTTGAACATTCCCTTTCGTACAGCAGTTTTGAAACACTCTTTCTGTAGTATCTGGAAGTGAACATTAGGACACCTTTCAGGTCTATGGTGAGAAAGGAAATATCTTCAAATAAAAACTAGACAGAAGCATTCTCATAAACTTGTTTGTGATGTGTGAACTCAGCTAACAGAGGCGGATCTTTCTTTTGTTACAGCAGTTTTGAAAAACACTTTTTGTTGAATCTGCAAGTGGACATTTGGATAGATTTGAAGATTTCGTTGGAAACGGGAATATCTTCATATCAAATCTAGACAGAAGCATTCTCAGAAACGTCTTTGCGATGTTTGCATTCAACTCATAGAGTTGAACATTCCCTTTGAGAGAGCAGCTTTTAAGCACTCTTTTTGTAGCATGTGCAAGAGAAAATTTGGAGCGCCCTGAGGCCTACGGTGAAAAAGCAAATATCTTCCCATAACCACTAGACAGAAACATTCTCAGAAACTCCTGTATGACGTATGTACTCAACTAACAGAGAAGAACCTTCCTTTTGACAGAGCAGTTTTGATACACTCTTTTTGTAGAATCTGCAAGTGGATATTTGGATAGCTGTGAAGATTTCGTTGGAAACGGGAATATCTTCCTATAAAATCTCGACAGAGGCATTCTCAGAAACTGCTCTGTGATGTCTGTATTCAAGTCACAGAGTTGAACATTGCCTTTCATAGAGCAGGTTTGAAACGCTCTTTTTGTAGTATATGGAAGTGGATGTTTCGGACGGTTGGAGGCCCATGGTGATAAAGGGAATATCTTCCCCTACAAGCTAGAAAGAAGCATTCTGTGAAACTTGTTTGTGATGTGTGTACTCAAGTAACAGAGTAGAACCTTTCTTTTTACAGAGCAGTTTTGAAACTCTCTTTCTGTAGAATCTGCGAGGGGATATTTGGATAGATTTCAGGATTTCGTTGGAAACGGGAATATCTTCATATAAAATCTCGACAGAAGCATTCTCAGAAACTTCTTTGTGATATGTGCATTCAAGTCACAGAGTTGAATATTCCCTTTCACAGAGTAGGTTTGAAACACTCTTGTTGTAGTATCTGGAAGTGGACATTTGGAGCGCCTTGACGCCTACGGTGAAAAGGGAAATATCTTCCCATAAAAACTAGACAGAAGCAATCTCAGAATCTTCTTTGGGATATATTCACGCAGCTAAAAGAGTTGAACCTTTCTATTGACAGAGCAGTTTTGAAACAGTCTTTCTGTGGAATCTGCAAGTGGATATTTGGATAGCTTGGAGGATTTCGTTGGAAACGGGATTACGTATAAAAAGTAGACAGCAGCATCCTCAGAAACTTCTTTGTGATGTGTGCATTCAAGTCACAGAGTTGAACATTCCCTTTCGTACAGCAGTTTTGAAACACTCTTTCTGTAGTATCTGGACGTGAACATTAGGACAGCTTTCAGGTCTATGGTGAGAAAGGAAATATCTTCAAATAAAAACTAGACAGAAGCATTCTCATAAACTTGTTTGTGATGTGTCAACTCAGCTAAGAGAGGTGGATCTTTCTTTTGATAGAGCAGTTCTGAAAAACACTTTTTGTTGAATCTGCAAGTGGACATTTCGATAGATTTGAAGATTTCGTTGGAAACGGGAATATCTTCATATCAAATCTAGACAGAAGCATTCTCAGAAACGTCTTTGTGATGTTTGCATTCAACTCATACAGTTGAACATTCCCTTTCAGAGAGCAGCTTTGAAGCACTCTTTTTGTAGTATGTGCAAGTGGACAATTGGAGCGCTTTGAGGCCTACGGGGAAAAAGCAAATATCTTCTCATAACCACTAGACAGGAACATTCTCAGAAACTCCTTTATGACGTATGCACTCACCTAACAGAAAAGAACCTTCCTTTTGACAGAGCAGTTTTGATACACTCTTTTTGTGGAATCTGCAAGTGGATATTTGGATAGCTGTGAAGATTTCGTTGGAAACGGGAATATATTCCTATAAAATCTAGACAGAAGCATTCTCAGAAACTGCTCTGTGATGTCTGCATTCAAGTCACAGAGCTGAACATTGCCTTTCATAGAGCAGGTTTGAAACGCTCTTTTTGTAGTATATGGAAGTGGACGTTTCGGACAGTTTGAGGCCCATGGTGATAAAGGGAATATCTTCCCCTACAAGCTAGAAAGAAGCATTCTCAGGAACTTCTTTGTGATGTGTGTACTCAACTAATGGAGTTGAACCTTTCTTTTACAGAACAGTTTTGAAAAACTCTTTTTGTAGAACCTGCAAGTGGATATTTGGATAGATTTAAAGATTTCGTCGGAAACGGGGATGTCTTAATATAAAATCTAGACCGAAGCATTCTCAGAAACTTCTTTGTGATATCTGCATTCAAGTCACAGAGTTGAATATTCCCTTTCACAGAGTAGGTTTGAAACACTCTTTTTGTAGTATCTGGAAGTGGACATTTGGAGCGCCTTGACGCCTACGGTGAAAAGGGAAATATCTTCCCATAAAAACTTGACAGAAGCAATCTCAGAATCTTCTTTGGGATATATGCACGCAGCTAACAGAGTTGAACCTTTCTATTGACAGAGCAGTTTTGAAACAGTCTTTCTGTGGAATCTGCAAGTGGATATTTGGATAGCTTGGAGGATTTCTTTGGAAACGGGACTACGTGTAAAAAGTAGACAGCAGCATCCTCAGAAACATCCTTGTGATGTGTGCATTCAAGTCACAGAGTTGAACATTCCCTTTCGTACAGCAGTTTTGAAACACTCTTTCTGTAGTATCTGGAAGTGAACATTAGGACAGCTTTCAGGTCTATAGTGAGAAAGGATATATCTTCAAATAAAAACTAGACAGAAGCATTCTGATAAACTTGTTTGTGAAGTGTGAACTCAGCTAACAGAGGTGGATCTTTCCTTTGATAGAGCAGTTCTGAAAAACACTTTTTGTTGAATCTGCAAGTGGACATTTGGATAGATTTGAAGATTTCGTTGGAAACGGGAATATCTTCATATCAAATCTAGACAGAAGCATTCTCAGAAACGTCTTTGCGATGTTTGCATTCAACTCATAGAGTTGAACATTCCGTTTCAGAGTGCAGCTTTGAGGCACTCTTTTTGTAGTATGTGCAAGTGGATATTTGGAGCGCTCTGAGGCCTTCGGTGAAAAAGCAAATATCTTCCCATAACCACTAGATGGAAACATTCTCAGAAACTCCTTTATGACGTATGCACTCACCTAACAGAGAAGAACCTTCCTTTTGACAGAGCAGTTTTGATACACTCTTTTTGTAGAATCTGCGAGGGGATATTTGGATAGATTTCAGGATTTCGTTGGAAACGGGAATATCTTCATATAAAATCTCGACAGAAGCATTGCTCAGAAACTGCTCTTTGATGTTTGCATTCAAGTCACAGAGTTGAACATTGCCTTTCATAGAGCAGGTTTCAAGCACTCTTTTTTTAGTATATGGAAGTGGACGTTTCGGACGGTTTGAGGCCCATGGTGATAAAGGAAATATCTTCCCCTACAAGCTAGAAAGAAGCATTCTGTGAAACTTGTTTGTGATGTGTGTACTCAACTAACAGAGTTGAACCTTTCTTTTTACAGAGCAGTTTTGAAACACTCTTTTTGTAGAATCTGCGAGGGGATATTTGGATAGATTTCAGGATTCCGTTGGAAACGGGAATATCTTCATATAAAATCTCGACAGAAGCATTCTCAGAAACTTCTTTTGTGATATCTGCATTCAAGTCACAGAGTTGAATATTCCCTTTCACAGAGTAGGTTTGAAACACTCTTTTTGTAGTATCTGGAAGTGGACATTTGGAGCGCCTTGACACCTACGGTGAAAAGGGAAATATCTTCCCATAAAAACTAGACAGAAGCAATCTCAGAATCTTCTTTGGGATATATGCACGCAGCTAACAGAGTTGAACCTTTCTATTGACAGAGCAGTTTTGAAACAGTCTTTCTGTGGAATCTGTCAAGTGGATATTTGGATAGCTTGGAGGATTTCGTTGGAAACGGGATTACTTATAAAAAGTAGACAGCAGCATCCTCAGAAACTTCTTTGTGATGTGTGCATTCAAGTCACAGAGTTGAACATTCCCTTTCGTACAGCAGTTTTGAAACACTCTTTCTGTAGTATCTGGAAGTGAACATTAGGACAGCTTTCAGGTCTATGGTGAGAAAGGAAATATCTTCAAATAAAAACTAGACAAAAGCATTCTCATAAACTTGTTTGTGATGTGTGAACTCAGCTAACAGAGGTGGATCTTTCTTTTGGTAGACCAGTTCTGAAAAACACTTTTTGTTGAATCTGCAAGTGGACATTTGGATAGATTTGAAGATTTCGTTGGAAACGGGAATATCTTCATATCAAATCTAGACAGAAGCATTCTCAGAAACGTCTTTGTGATATTTGCATTCAACTCATAGAGTTGAACATTCCCTTTCAGAGAGCAGCTTTGAAGCACTCTTTTTGTAGTATGTGCAAGTGGAGATTTGGAGCGCTTTGAGGCCTACGGTGAAAAAGCAAATATCTTCCCATAACCACTAGACAGAAACATTCTCAGAAACTCCTTTATGACGTGTGCACTCACCTAACAGAGAAGAACCTTCCTTTTGACAGAGCAGTTTTGATACACTCTTTTTGTAGAATCTGCAAGTGGATATTTGGATAGCTGTGAAGATTTCGTTGGAAACGGGAATATCTTCCTATAAAATCTAGACAGAAGCATTCTCAGAAACTGCTCTGTGATGTCTGCATTCAAGTCACAGAGTTGAACATTGCCTTTCATAGAGCAGGTTTGAAACGCTCTTTTTGTACTATATGGAAGAGGACGTTTCGAACGGTTTGAGGACCATGGTGATAAAGGGTATATCTTCCCCTACAAGCTAGAAAGAAGCATTCTGTGAAACTTGTTTGTGATGTGTGTACTCAACTAACAGAGTTGAACCTTTCTTTTTACAGAGCAGTTTTGAAACACTCTTTTTGTAGAATCTGCGAGGGGATATTTGGATAGATTTCAAGATTTCGTTGGAAACGGGAATATCTTCATATAAAATCTCGACAGAAGCATTCTCAGAAACTTCTTTGTGATATGTGCATTCAAGTCACAGAGTTGAATATTCCCTTTTACAGAGTAGGTTTGAAACACTCTTTTTGTAGTATCTGGAAGTGAACATTTGGAGCGCCTTGACGCCTACGGTGAAAAGGGAAATATCTTCTCATAAAAAGTAGACAGAAGCAATCTCAGAATCTTCTTTGGGATATATGCACGCAGCTAACAGAGTTGAACCTTTCTATTGACAGAGCAGTTTTGAAACAGTCTTTCTGTGGAATCTGCAAGTGGATATCTGGATAGCTTGGAGGATTTCTTTGGAAACGGGATTACGTATAAAAAGTAGACAGCAGCATCCTCAGAAACTTCTTTGTGATGTGTGCATTCAAGTCACAGAGTTGAACATTCCCTTTCGTACAGCAGTTTTGAAACACTCTTTCTGTAGTATCTGGAAGTGAACATTAGGACAGCTTTCAGGTCTATGGTGAGAAAGGAAACATCTTCAAATAAAAACTAGACAGAAGCATTCTCATAAACTTGTTTGTGATGTGTGAACTCAGCTAACAGAGTTGGATCTTTCTTTTGATAGAGCAGTTCTTAAAAACACGTTTTGTTGAATCTGCAAGTGGACATTTGGATAGATTTGAAGATTTCGTTGGAAACGGGAATATCTTCATGTAAAATCTAGACAGAAGCATTCTCAGAAACGTCTTTGTGATGTTTGCATTCAACTCATAGAGTTGAACATTCCGTTTCAGAGAGCAGCTTTGAGGCACTCTTTTTGTAGTATGTGCAAGGGGATATTTGGAGCGCTGTGAGGCCTACGGTGAAAAAGCAAATATCTTCCCATAACCACTAGACAGAAACATTCTCAGAAACTCCTTTATGACGTATGCACTCACCTAACAGAAAAGAACCTTCCTTTTGACAGAGCAGTTTTGATACACTCTTTTTGTAGAATCTGCAAGTGGATATTTGGATAGCTGTGAAGATTTCGTTGGAAACGGGAATATCTTCCTATAAAATCTAGACAGGAAGCATTCTCAGAAACTGCTCTGTGATGTCTGCATTCAAGTCACAGAGTTGAACATTGCCTTTCCTAGAGCAGGTTTGAAACACTCTTTTTGTAGTATATGAAAGTGGACGTTTCGGACGGTTTGAGGACCATGGTGATAAAGGGAATATCTTCCCCTACAAGCTAGAAAGAAGCATTCTGTGAAACTTGTTTGTGATGTGTGTACTCAACTAACAGAGTTAAACCTTTCTTTTTACAGAACAGTTTTGAAACACTCTTTTTGTAGAATCTGCGAGGGGATATTTGGATAGATTTCAGGATTTCGTTGGAAACGGGAATATCTTCATATAAAATCTCGACAGAAACATTCTCAGAAACTTCTTTGTGATATCTGCATTCAAGTCACAGAGTTGAATATTCCCTTTCACAGAGTAGGTTTGAAACACTCCTTTTGTAGTATCTGGAAGTGGACATTTGGAGCACCTTGACGCCTACGGTGAAAAGGGAAATATCTTCCCATAAAAACTAGACAGAAGCAATCTCAGAATCTTCTTTGGGATATATGCACGCAGCTAACAGAGTTGAACCTTTCTATTGACAGAGCAGTTTTGAAACAGTCTTTCTGTGGAATCTGCAAGTGGATATTTTGATAGCTTGGAGGATTTCGTTGGAAACGGGATTACGTATAAAAAGTAGACAGCAGCATCCTCAGAAACTTCTTTGTGATATGTGCATTCAAGTAACAGAGTTGTTTCGTACAGCATTTTTGAAACACTCTTTCTGTAGTATCTGGGAGTGAACATTAGGACAGCTTTCAGGTCTATGGTGAGAAAGGAAATATCTTCAAATAAAAACTAGACAGAAGCATTCTCATAAACTTGTTTGTAATGTGTGAACTCAGCTAACACACGTGGATCTTTCTTTTGATAGAGCAGTTCTGAAAAACACTTTTTGTTTAATCTGCAAGTGGACATTTGGATAGATTTGAAGATTTCGTTGGAAACGGGAATATCTTCATATCAAATCTAGACAGAAGCATTCTCAGAGACGTCTTTGTGATGTTTGCATTCAACTCATAGAGTTGAACATTCCCTTTCAGAGAGCAGCTTTGAAGCACTCTTTTTGTAGTATGTGCAAGTGGATATTTTGAGCGCTCTGAGGCCTACGGTGAAAAAGCAAATATCTTCCCATAACCACTAGACAGAAACATTCTCAGAAACTCCTTTATGACGTATGTACTCAACTAGCAGAGAAGAACTTTCCTTTTGACAGAGCATTTTTGATACACTCTTTTTGTACTATCTGCAAGTGGATATTTGGATAGCTGTGAAGATTTCGTTGGAAACGGGAATATCTTCCTATAAATTCTGGACAGAAGCATTCTCAGAAACTGCTCTGTGATGTCTGCATTCAAGTCACAGAGTTGAACATTGCCTTTCATAGAGCAGGTTTGAAACACTCTTTTTTTAGTATATGGAAGTGGACGTTTCGGACGGTTTGAGGCCCATGGTGATAAAGGGAATATCTTCCCCTACAAGCTAGAAAGAAGCATTCTGTGAAACTTGTTTGTGATGTGTGTACTCAACTAACAGAGTTGAACCTTTCTTTTTACAGAGCAGTTTTGAAACACTCTTTTTGTAGAATCTGCGAGGGGATATTTGGATAGATTTCAGGATTTCGTTGGAAACGGGAGTATCTTCATATAAAATCTCGACAGAAGCATTCTGAGAAACTTCTTTGTGATATCTGCCTTCAAGTCACAGAGTTGAATATTCCCTTTCACAGAGTAGGTTTGAAACACTCTTTTTGTAGTATCTGGAAGTGGACATTTGGAGCGCCTTGACGCCTACGGTGAAAAGGGAAATATCT
Source organism: Homo sapiens (assembly GCF_000001405.40). Lineage (NCBI taxonomy): Eukaryota > Metazoa > Chordata > Mammalia > Primates > Hominidae > Homo > Homo sapiens. Next base: position 11,567,810 of record NC_000021.9, read on the forward strand.
TCCCATAAAAACTAGACAGAAGGAATCTCAGAATCAGCTTTGGGATATATGCACGCAGCTAACAGAGTTGAACCTTTCTATTGACAGAGCAGTTTTGAAACAGTCTTTCTGTGGAATCTGCAAGTGGATATTTGGATAGCTTGGAGGATTTCGTTGGAAACGGGATTACGTATAAATAGTAGACAGCCAGCATCCTCAGAAACTTCTTTGTGATGTGTGCATTCAAGTCACAGAGTTGAACATTCCCTTTCGTACAGCAGTTTTGAAACACTCTTTCTGTAGTATCTGGAAGTGAACATTAGGACAGCTTTCAGCTCTATGGTGAGAAAGGAAATATCTTCAAATAAAAACTAGACAGAAGCATTCTCATAAACTTGTTTGTGATGTGTGAACTCAGGCTAACAGAGGTGGATCTTTCTTTTGATAGAGCAGTTCTGAAAAACACTTTTTGTTGAATCTGCAAGTGGACATTTGGATAGATTTGAAGATTTCGTTGGAAACGGGAATATCTTCATATCAAATCTAGACAGAAGCATTCTCAGAAACGTCTTTGTGATGTTAGCATTCAACTCATAGAGTTGAACATTCCCTTTCAGAGAGCAGCTTTGAAGCACTCTTTTTGTAGTATGTGCAAGTGGATATTTGGAGCGCTCTGAGGCCTATGGTGAAAAAGCAAATATCTTCCCATAACCACTAGACAGAAACATTCTCAGAAACTCCTTCATGACGTATGCACTCACCTAACAGAGAAGAACCTTCCTTTTGACAGAGCACTTTTGATACACTCTTTTTGTAGAATCTGCAAGTGGATATTTGGATAGCTGTGAAGATTTCGTTGGAAACGGGAATATCTTCCTATAAAATCTATACAGAAGCATTCTCTGAAACTGCTCTGTGATGTCTGCATTCAAGTCACAGAGTTGAACGTTGCCTTTCATAGAGCAGGTTTCAAACACTCTTTTTTTAGTATATGGAAGTGGACGTTTCGGACGGTTTGAGGACCATGGTGATAAAGGAAATATCTTCCCCTACAAGCTAGAAAGAAGCATTCTGTGAAACTTGTTTATGATGTGTGTACTCAACTAACAGAGTTGAACCTTTCTTTTCACAGAGCAGTTTTGAAACACTCTTTTTGTAGAATCTGCGAGGGGAAATTTGGATAGATTTCAGGATTTCGTTGGAATCGGGAATATCTTCATACAAAATCTCGACAGAAGCATTCTCAGAAACTTCTTTGTGATATGTGCATTCAAGTCACAGAGTTGAATATTCCCTTTCACAGAGTAGGTTTGAAACACTCTTTTTGTAGTATCTGGAAGTGGACATTTGGAGCGCCTTGACACCTACGGTGAAAATGGAAATATCTTCCCATAAAAACTAGACAGAAGCAATCTCAGAATCCTCTTTGAGATATATGGACGCAGCTAACAGTGTTGAACCTTTCTATTGACAGAGCAGTTTTGAAACAGTCTTTCTGTGGTATCTGCAAGTGGATATTTGGATAGCTTGGAGGATTTCTTTGGAAACGGGATTACGTATAAAAAGTAGACAGCAGCATCCTCAGAAACATCCCTTGTGATGTGTGCATTCAAGTCACAGAGTTGAACATTCCCTTTCGTACAGCAGTTTTGAAACACTCTTTCTGTAGTATCTGGAAGTGAACTTTAGGACAGCTTTCAGGTCTATAGTGAGAAAGGATATATCTTCAAATAAAAACTAGACAGAAAGCATTCTCATAAACTTGTTTGTGATGTCTGAACTCAGCTAACAGAGGTGGATCTTTCTTTTGATAGAGCAGTTCTGAAAAACACTTTTTGTTGAATCTGCAAGTGGACATTTGGATAGATTTGAAGATTTCGTTGGAAACGGGAATATCTTCATATCAAATCTAGACAGAGCATTCTCGGAAACGTCTTTGTGATGTTTGCATTCAACTCATAGAGTTGAACATTCCGTTTCAGAGAGCAGCTTTGAGGCACTCTTTTTGTAGTATGTGCAAGTGGATATTTGGAGCGCTCTGAGGCCTTCGGTGAAAAAGCAAATATCTTCCCATAACCACTAGACAGAAACATTCTCAGAAACTCCTTTATGACGTATGCACTCACCTAACAGAGAAGAACCTTCCTTTTGACAGAGCAGTTTTGAGATACTCTTTTTGTAGAATCTGCAAGTGGATATTGGGATAGCTGTGAAGCTTTCGTTGGAAACGGGAATATCTTCCTATAAAATCTAGACAGAAGCATTCTCAGAAACTGCTCTGTGATGTCTGCATTCAAGTCACAGAGTTGAACATTGCCTTTCATAGAGCAGGTTTGAAACGCTCTTTTTGTAGTATATGGAAGTGGAAGTTTCGGACGGTTTGAGGCCCATGGTGATAAAGGGAATATCTTCCCCTACAAGCTAGAAAGAAGCATTCTGTGAAACTTGTTTGTGATGTGTGTACTCAACTAACAGAGTTGAACCTTTCTTTTTACAGAGCAGTTTTGAAACACTCTTTTTGTAGAATCTGCGAGGGGATATTTGGATAGATTTCAGGATTTCATTGGAAACGAGAATATCTTCATATAAAATCTCGACAGAAGCATTCTCAGAAGCTTCTTTGTGATATGTGCATTCAAGTCACAGAGTTGAATATTCCCTTTCACAGAGTAGGTTTGAAACAATCTTTTTGTAGTATCTGGAAGTGGACATTTAGAGCGCCTTGACGCCTACGGTGAAAAGGGAAATATCTTCTCATAAAAAGTAGACAGAAGCAATCTCAGAATCTTCTTTGGGATATATGCACGCAGCTAACAGATTTGAACCTTTCTATTGACAGAGCAGTTTTGAAACAGTCTTTCTGTGGAATCTGCAAGTGGATATTTGGATAGCTTGGAGGATTTCGTTGGAAACGGGATTACGCATAAAAAGTAGACAGCAGCATCCTCCGAAACTTCTTTGTGATGTGTGCATTCAAGTCACAGAGTTGAACATTCCCTTTCGTACAGCAGTTTTCAAACACTCTTTCTGTAGTATCTGGAAGTGAACATTAGGACAGCTTTCAGCTCTATGGTGAGAAAGGAAATATCTTCAAATAAAAACTAGACAGAAGCATTCTCATAAACTTCTTTGTGATGTGTGAACTCAGCTAACAGAGGTGGATCTTTCTTTTGATAGAGCAGTTCTGAAAAACACTTTTTGTTGAATCTGCAAGTGGACATTTGGATAGATTTGAAGATTTCGTTGGAAACGGGAATATCTTCATATCAAATCTAGACAGAAGCATTCTCAGAAAAGTCTTTGTGATGTTTGCATTCAACTCACAGAGTTGAACATTCCCTTTCAGAGAGCAGCTTTGAAGCACTCTTTTTGTAGTATGTGCAAGGGGATATTTGGAGCGCTCTGAGGCCTACGGTGAAAAAGCAAATATCTTCCCATAACCACTAGACAGAAAACATTATCAGAAACTCCTTTATGACGTATGCACTCACCTAACAGAAAAGAACCTTCCTTTTGACAGAGCAGTTTTGATACACTCTTTTTGTAGAATCTGCAAGAGGATATTTGGATAGCTGTGAAGATTTCGTTGGAAACGGGAATATCTTCCTATAAAATCTAGACAGAAGCATTCTCAGAAACTGCTCTGTGATGTCTGCATTCAAGTCACAGAGTTGAACATTGTCTTTCATAGAGCAGGTTTGAAGCGTTCTTTTTGTAGTATATGGAAGTGGACGTTTCGGACGGTTTGAGGCCCATGGTGATAAAGGGAATATCTTCCCCTACAAGCTAGAAAGAAGCATTCTGTGAAACTTGTTTGTGATGTGTGTACTCAACTAACAGAGTTGAACCTTTCTTTTTACAGAGCAGTTTTGAAACACTCTTTTTGTAGAATCTGCGAGGGGATATTTGGATGGATTTCAGGATTTCGTTGGAACGGGAATATCTTCATATAAAATCTCGACAGAAGCATTCTCAGAAACTTCTTTGTGATATGTGCATTCAAGTCACAGAGTTGAATATTCCCTTTCAGAGAGTAGGTTTGAAACACTCTTTTTGTAGTATCTGGAAGTGGACATTTGGAGCGCCTTGACACCTACGGTGAAAAGGGAAATATCTTCCCATAAAAACTAGACAGAAGCAATCTCAGAATCTTCTTTGGGATATATGCACGCAGCTAACAGAGTTGAACCTTTCTATTGACGGAGCAGTTTTGAAACAGTCTTTCTGTGGAATCTGCAAGTGGATATTTGGATAGCTTGGAGGATTTCGTTGGAAACGGGATTACGTATAAAAAGTAGACAGCAGCATCCTCAGAAACTTCTTTGTGATGTGTGCATTCAAGTCACAGAGTTGAACATTCCCTTTCGTACAGCAGTTTTGAAACACTCTTTCTGTAGTATCTGGAAGTGAACATTAGGACAGCTTTCGGGTCTATGGTGAGAAAGGAAATATCTTCAAATAAAAACTAGACAGAAAGCATTCTCATAAACTTGTTTGTGATGTGTGAACTCAGCTAACAGCAGGTGGATCTTTCTTTTGATACAGCAGTTCTGAAAAACACTTTTTGTTGAATCTGCAAGTGGACATTAGGATAGATTTGAAGATTTCGTTGGAAACGGGAATATCTTCATATCAAATCTAGACAGAAGCATTCCCAGAAACGTCTTTGTGATGTTTGCATTCAACTCATAGAGTTGAACATTCCGTTTCAGAGAGCAGCTTTGAAGCACTCTTTTTGTAGTATGTGCAAGGGGATATTTGGAGCACTCTGAGGCCTAAGGTGAAAAAGCAAATATCTTCCCATAACCACTAGACAGAAACATTCTCAGAAACTCCTTTATGACGTATGCACTCAGCTAACAGAGAAGAACCTTCCTTTTGACAGAGCAGTTTTGATACACTCTTTTTGTAGAATCTGCAAGTGGATATTTGGATAGCTGTGAAGATTTCTTTGGAAACGGGAATATCTTCCTATAAAATCTATACAGAAGCATTCTCAGAAACTGCTCTGTGATGTCTGCATTCAAGTCACAGAGTTGAACATTGCCTTTCATAGAGCAGGTTTGAAACGCTCTTTTTGTAGTATATGGAAGTGGACGTTTCGTACGGTTTGAGGCCCATGATGATAAAGGGAATATCTTCCCCTACAAGCTAGAAAGAAGCATTCTGTGAAACTTGTTTGTGATGTGTGTACTCAACTAACAGAGTTGAACCTTTCTTTTCACAGAGCAGTTTTGAAACACTCTTTTTGTAGAATCTGCGAGCGGAAATTTGGATAGATTTCAGGATTTCGTTGGAAACGGGAATATCTTCATACAAAATCTCGACAGAAGCATTCTCAGAAACTTCTTTGTGATATGTGCATTCAAGTCACAGAGTTGAATATTCCCTTTCACAGAGTAGGTTTGAAACACTCTTTTTGTAGTATCTGGAAGTGGACATTTGGAGCGCCTTGACGCCTACGGTGAAAAGGGAAATATCTTCCATAAAAACTAGACAGAAGCAATCTCAGAATCTTCTTTGGGATATATGCATGCAGCTAACAGAGTTGAACCTTTCTATTGACAGAGCAGTTTTGAAACAGTCTTTCTGTGGAATCTGCAAGTGGATATTTGGATAGCTTAGAGGATTTCGTTGGAAACGGGATTACGTATAAAAAGTAGACAGCAGCATCCTCAGAAACTTCTTTGTGATGTGTGCATTCAAGTCACAGAGTTGAACATTCCCTTTCGTACAGCAGTTTTGAAACACTCTTTCTGTAGTATCTGAAAGTGAATATTAGGACAGCTTTCAGGTCTATATTGAGAAAGGAAATATCTTCAAATAAAAACTAGACAGAAGCATTCTCATAAACTTGTTTGTGATGTGTGAACTCAGCTAACCGAGGTGGATCTTTCTTTTGATAGAGCAGTTCTGAAAAACACTTTTTGTTGAATCTGCAAGTGGACATTTGGATAGATTTGAAGATGTCGTTGGAAACGGGAATATCTTCATATCAAATCTAGACGGAAGCATTCTCAGAAACGTCTTTGTGATGTTTGCATTCAACTCATAGAGTTGAACATTCCCTTCCAGAGAGTAGCTTTGAAGCACTCATTTTGTAGCATGTGCAAGTGGACATTTGGAGCGCCCTGAGGCCTACGGGGAAAAAGCAAATATCTTCCCATAACCACTAGACAGAAACATTCTCAGAAACTCCTTTATGACGTATGCACTCACCTAACAGAGAAGAACCTTCCTTTTGACAGAGCAGTTTTGATACACTCTTTTTGTAGAATCTGCAAGTGGATATTTGGATAGGTGTGAAGATTTCGTTGGAAACGGGAATATCTTCCTATAAAATCTAGACAGAAGCATTCTCTGAAACTGCTCTGGGATGTCTGCATTCAAGTCACGGAGTTGAACATTGCCTTTCCTAGAGCAGGTTTGAAACGCTCTTTTTGTAGTATATGGAAGTGGACGTTTCGGACTGTTTGAGGCCCATGGTGATAAAGGGAATATCTTCCCCTACAAGCTAGAAAGAAGCATTCTGTGAAACTTGTTTGTGATGTGTGTACTCAACTAACAGAGTTGAACCTTTCCTTTTACAGAGTAGTTTTGAAACACTCTTTTTGTAGAATCTGCGAGGGGATATTTGGATAGATTTCAGGATTTCGTTGGAAACGGGAGTATCTTCATATAAAATCTCGACAGAAGCATTCTCAGAAACTTCTTTGTGATATCTGCATTCAAGTCACAGAGTTGAATATTCCCTTTCACAGAGTAGGTTTGAAACACTCTTTTTGTAGTATCTGGAAGTGGACATTTTGAGCGCCTTGACGCCTACGGTGAAAAGGGAAATATCTTCTCATAAAAAGTAGACAGAAGCAATCTCAGAATCTTCTTTGGGATATATGCACGCAGCTAACAGAGTTGAACCTTTCTATTGACAGAGCCGTTTTGAAACAGTCTTTCTGTGGAATCTGCAAGTGGATATTTGGATAGCTTGGAGGATTTCGTTGGAAACGGGATTACGTATAAAAAGTAGACAGCAGCATCCTCAGAAACTACTTTGTGATGTGTGCATTCAAGTCACAGAGTTGAACATTCCCTTTCGTACAGCAGTTTTGAAACACTCTTTCTGTAGTATCTGGAAGTGAACATTAGGACAGATTTCAGCTCTATGGTGAGAAAGGAAATATCTTCAAATAAAAACTAGACAGAAGCATTCTCATAAACTTGTTTGTGATGTGTGAACTCAGCTAACAGAGATGGATCTTTCTTTTGATAGAGCGGTTCTGAAAAACACTTTTTGTTGAATCTGCAAGTGGACATTTGGATAGATTTGAAGATTTCGTTGGAAACGGGAATATCTTCATATCAAATCTAGACAGAAGCATTCTCAGAAACGTCTTTGTGATGTTTACATTCAACTCATAGAGTTGAACATTCCCTTGCAGAGAGCAGCTTTGAAGCACTCTTTTTGTAGCATGTGCAAGTGGACATTTGGAGCGCTCTGAGGCCTACGGGGAAAAAGCAAATATCTTCCCATAACCAATAGACAGAAACATTCTCAGAAACTTCTTTATGACGTATGTACTCAACTAGCAGAGAAGAACTTTCCTTTTGACAGAGCATTTTTGATACATTCTTTTTGTAGTATCTGCAAGTGGATATTTGGATAGCTGTGAAGATTTCGTTGGAAACCGGAATATCTTCCTATAAAGTCTGGACAGAAGCATCCTCAGAAACTTCTTTGTGATGTGTGCATTCAAGTCACAGAGTTGAACATTGCCTTTCATAGAGCAGGTTTCAAACACTCTTTTTTTACTATATGGAAGTGGACGTTTCGGACGGTTTGAGGACCATGGTGATAAAGGAAATATCTTCCCCTACAAGCTAGAAAGAAGCATTCTGTGAAACTTGTTTGTGATGTGTGTACTCAACTAATAGATTTGAACCTTTCTTTTTACAGAGCAGTTTTGAAACACTCTTTTTGTAGAATCTGCGAGGGGATATTTGGATAGATTTCAGGATTTCGTTGGAAACGGGAATATCTTCATATAAAATCTCGACAGAAGCATTCTCAGAAACTTCTTTGTGATATGTGCATTCAAGTCACAGAGTTCAATGTTCCCTTTCACAGAGTAGGTTTGAAACACTCTTTTTGTAGTATCTGGAAGTGGACATTTGGAGCGCCTTGACGCCTACGGTGAAAAGGGCAAATATCTTCTCATAAAAAGTAGACAGAAGCAATCTCAGAATCTTCTTTGGGATATATGTACGCAGCTAACAGAGTTGAACCTTTCTATTGACAGAGCAGTTTTGAAACAGTCTTTCTGTGGAAACTGCAAGTGGATATTTGGATAGCTTGGAGGATTTCGTTGGAAACGGGATTACGTATAAAAAGTAGACAGCAGCATCCTCAGTAAACTTCTTTGTGATGTGTGCATTCAAGTCACAGAGTTGAACATTCCCTTTCGTACAGCAGTTTTGAAACACTCTTTCTGTAGTATCTGGAAGTGAACATTAGGACAGCTTTCAGGACTATGGTGAGAAAGGAAATATCTTCAAATAAAAACTAGACAGAAGCATTCTCATAAACTTGTTTGTGATGTGTGAACTCAGCTAACAGAGGTGGATCTTTGTTTTGATAGAGCAGTTCTGAAAAACACTTTTTGTTGAATCTGCAAGTGGACATTTGGATAGATTTGAAGATTTCGTTGGAAACGGGAATATCTTCATATCAAATCTAGACAGAAGCATTCTCAGAAACGGCTTTGTGATGTTTGCATTCAACTCATAGAGTTGAACATTCCCTTTCAGAGTGCAGCTTTGAAGAACTCTTTTTGTGGTATGTGCAAGTGGACAATTGGAGCGCTTTGAGGCCTACGGGGAAAAAGCAAATATCTCCCATAACCACTAGACAGAAACATTCTCAGAAACTCCTTTATGACGTATGCACTCACCTAACAGAAAAGAACCTTCCTTTTCACAGAGCAGTTTTGATACACTCTTTTTGTAGAATCTGCAAGTGGATATTTGGATAGCTGTGAAGATTTCGTTGGAAACGGGAATATCTTCCTATAAAATCTAGACAGAAGCATTCTCAGAAACTGCTCTGTGATGTCTGCATTCAAGTCACAGAGTTGAACATTGCCTTTCATAGAGCAGGTTTGGAACGCTCTTTTTGTAGTATATGGAACCGGATGTTTCCGACGGTTGGAGGCCCATGGTGATAAAGGGAATATCTTCCCCTACAAGCTAGAAAGAAGCATTGTGTGAAACTTATTTGTGATGTGTGTACTCAACTAACAGAGTTGAACCTTTCTTTTTACAGAGCAGTTTTGAAACACTCTTTTTGTAGAATCTGCGAGGGGATATTTGGATACATTTCAGGATTTCGTTGGAAACGGGAATATCTTCATATAAAATCCTCGACAGAAGCATTCTCAGAAACTTCTTTGTGATATGTGCATTCAAGTCACAGAGTTGAATATTCGCTTTCACAGAGTAGGTTTGAAACACTCTTTTTGTAGTATCTGGAAGTGGACATTTGGAGCGCCTTGATGCCTACGGTGAAAAGGGAAATATCTTCCCATAAAAACTAGACAGAAGCAATCTCAGAATCTTCTTTGGGATATATGCACGCAGCTAACAGAGTTGAACCTTTCTATTGACAGAGCAGTTTTGAAACAGTCTTTCTGTGGAATCTGCAAGTGAATATTTGGATAGCTTGGAGGATTTCGTTGGAAACGGGATTAAGTATAAAAAGTAGACAGCAGCATCCTCAGAAACATCCTTGTGATGTGTGCATTCAAGTCACAGAGTTGAACATTCCCTTTCGTACAGCAGTTTTGAAACACTCTTTCTGTAGTATCTGGAAGTGAAATTTAGGAGAGCTTTCAGGTCTATAGTGAGAAAGGATATATCTTCAAATAAAAACTAGACAGAAGCATTCTCATAAACTTGTTTGTGATGTGTGAACTCAGCTAACAGAGGTGGATCTTTCTTTTGATAGAGCACTTCTGAAAAACACTTTTTGTTGAATCTGCAAGTGGACATTTGGATAGATTTGAAGATTTCGTTGGAAACGGGAATATCTTCATATCAAATCTAGACAGAAGCATTCTCAGAAACGTCTTTGTGATGTTTGCATTCAACTCATAGAGTTGAACATTCTCTTTCAGAGAGCAGCTTTGAAGCACTCTTTTTGTAGTATGTGCAAGTGGATATTTGGAGCGCTCTGAGGCCTACGGTGGAAAAGCAAATATCTTCCCATAACCACTAGACAGAAACATTCTCAGAAACTCCTTTATGACGTATGCACTCACCTAACAGAGAAGAACCTTCCTTTTGACAGAGCGGTTTTGATACACTCTTTTTGTAGAATCTGCAAGTGGATATTTGGATAGCTGTGAAGATTTCGTTGGAAACGAGAATATCTTCCTATAAAATCTAGACAGAAGCATTCTCAGAAACTGCTCTGTGATGTCTGCATTCAAGTCACAGAGTTGAACATTGCCGTTCATAGAGCAGGTTTGAAACACTCTTTTTGTAGTATATGGAAGTGGACGTTTCGGACGGTTTGAGGCCCATGGTGATAAAGGGAATATCTTCCCCTACAAGCTAGAAAAGAAGCATTCTGTGAAACTTGTTTGTGATGTGTGTACTCAACTAACAGAGTTGAACCTTTCTTTTTACAGAGCAGTTTTGAAACCCTCTTTTTGTAGAATCTGCGAGGGGATATTTGGATAGATTTCAGGATTTCGTTGGAAACGGGAATATCTTCATATAAAATCTCGACAGAAGCATTCTCAGAAACTTCTTTGTGATATGTGCATTCAAGTCACAGAGTTGAATATTCCCTTTCACAGACTAGGTTTGAAAAACCCTTTTTGTAGTAGTCTGGAAGTGGACATTTGGAGCGCCTTGATGCCTACGGTGAAAAGGGAAATATCTTCCCATAAAAACTAGACAGAAGCAATCTCAGAATCTTCTTTGGGATATATGCACGCAGCTAACAGAGTTGAACCTTTCTATTCACAGAGCAGTTTTGAAACAGTCTTTCTGTGGAATCTGCAAGTGGATATTTGGATAGCTTGGAGGATTTCGTTGGAAACGGGATTACGTATAAAAAGTAGACAGCAGCATCCTCAGAAACTTCTTTGTGATCTGTGCATTCAAGTCACAGAGTTGAACATTCCCTTTCGTACAGCAGTTTTGAAACACTCTTTCTGTAGTAACTGGAAGTGAACATTAGGACAGCTTTCAGGTCTATGGTGAGAAAGGAAATATCTTCAAATAAAAACTAGACAGAAGCATTCTCATAAACTTGTTTGTGATGTGTGAACTCAGCTAACAGAGGTGGATCTTTCTTTTGATAGAGCAGTTCTGAAAAACACTTTTTGTTGAATCTGCAAGTGGACATTTGAATAGATTTGAAGATTTCGTTGGAAACGGGAATATCTTCATATCAAATCTAGTCAGAAGCATTCTCAGAAACGTCGTTGTGATGTTTGCATTCAACTCATAGAGTTGAACATTCCGATTCAGAGAGCAGCTTTGAGGCACTCTTTTTGTAGTATGTGCAAGTGGATATTTGGAGCGCTCTGAGGCCTTCGGTGAAAAAGCAAATATCTTCCCATAACCACTAGATGGAAACATTCTCAGAAACTCGTTTATGACGTATGCACTCACCTAACAGAGAAGAACCTTCCATTTGACAGAGCAGTTTTGATACACTCTTTTTGTAGAATCTGCAAGTGGATATTTGGATAGCTGTGAAGATTTTGCTGGAAACGGGAATATCTTCCTATAAAATACTAGACAGAAGCATTCTCAGAAACTGCTCTGTGATGTCTGCATTCAAGTCACAGAGTTGAACATTGCCTTTCCTAGAGCAGGTTTGAAACGCTCTTTTTGTAGTATATGGAAGTGGACGTTTCGGACGGTTTGAGGACCATGGTGATAAAGGGAATATCTTCCCCTACAAGCTAGAAAGAAGCATTCTGTGAAACATGTTTGTGATGCGTGTACTCAACTAACAGAGTTGAACCTTTCTTTTTACAGAGCAGTTTTGAAACACTCTTTTTGTAGAATCTGCGAGGGGATATTTGGATAGATTTCAGGATTTCGTTGGAAACGGGAATATCTTCATATAAAATCTCGACAGAAGCATTCTCAGAAACTTCTTTGTGATATGTGCATTCAAGTCACAGAGTTGAATATTCCGTTTCACAGAGTAGGTTTGAAACACTCTTTTTGTAGTATCTGGAAGTGGACATTTGGAGCGCCTTGACACCTACGGTGAAAAGGGAAATATCTTCCCATAAAAACTAGACAGAAGCAATCTCAGAATCTTCTTTGGGATATATGCACGCAGCTAATAGAGTTGAACCTTTCTATTGACAGAGCAGTTTTGAAACAGTCTTTCTGTGGAATCTGCAAGTGGATATTTGGATAGCTTGGAGGATTTCGTAGGAAACGGGATTACGTATAGAAAGTAGACAGCAGCATCCTCAGAAACTTCTTTGTGATGTGTGCATTCAAGTCACAGAGTTGAACATTCCCTTTCGTACAGCAGTTTTGAAACACTCTTTCTGTAATATCTGGAAGTGAACATTAGGACAGCTTTCAGCTCTATGGTGAGAAAGGAAATATCTTCAAATAAAAACTAGACAGAAAGCATTCTCAAGAACTTGTTTGTGATGTGTGAACTCAGCTAACAGAGGTGGATGTTTCTTTTGATAGAGCAGTTCTGAAAAACACGTTTTGTTGAATCTGCAAGTGGACATTTGGATAGATATGAAGATTTCGTTGGAAACGGGAATATCTTCATATCAAATCTAGACAGAGCATTCTCAGAAACGTCTTTGTGATGTTTGCATTCAACTCATAGAGTTGAACATTCCCTTTCAGAGAGCAGCTTTGAAGCACTCTTTTTGTAGTATGTGCAAGGGGGTATTTGGAGCGCTCTGAGGCCTAAGGTGAAAAAGCAAATATCTTCCCATAACCACTAGACAGAAACATTCTCAGAAACTCCTTTATGACGTGTGCACTCACCTAACAGAGAAGAACCTTCCTTTTGACAGAGCATTTTTGATACACACTTTTTGTAGAATCTGCAAGTGGATATTTGGATAGCTGTGAAGATTTCGTTGGAAACGGGAATATCTTCCTATAAAATCTAGACAGAAGCATTCTCAGAAACTGCTCTGTGATGTCTGCATTCAAGTCACAGAGTTGAACTCTGCCTTTCCTAGAGCAGGTTTGAAACGCTCTTTTTGTAGTATATGGAAGTGGACGTTTCGGACGGTTTGAGGCCCATGGTGATAAAGGGAATATCTTCCCCTACAAGCTAGAAAGAAGCATTCTGTGAAACTTGTTTGTGATGTGTGTACTCAACTAACAGAGTTGAACCTTTCTTTTTACAGAGCAGTTTTGAAACACTCTTTTTGTAGAATATGCGAGGGGATATTTGGATAGATTTCAGGATTTCGTTGGAAACGGGAATATCTTCATATAAAATCTCGACAGAAGACCGAAGCATTCTCAGAAACTTCATTGTGATATCTGCATTGAAGTCACAGACTTGAATACTCCCTTTCACAGAGTAGGTTTGAAACACTCTTTTTGTAGTATCTGGAATTGGACATTTGGATCGCTTTGACGCCTATTGTGAAAAAGGAAATATCTTCCCCTAAAAACTAGACAGAAGCAATCTCAGAATCTTCTTTGGGATATATGCACGCAGCTAACAGAGTTGAACCTTTCTATTGACAGAGCAGTTTAGAAACAGTCTTTCTGTGGAATCTGCAAGTGGATATTTGGATAGATTGGAGGATTTCTTTGGAAACGGGATTACGTATAAAAAGTAGACAGCAGCATCCTCAGAAACTTCTTTGTGATGTGTGCATTCAAGTCACAGAGTTGAACATTCCCTTTCGTACAGCAGTTTTGAAACGCTCTTTCTGTAGTATCTGGAAGTGAACATTAGGACAGCTTTCAGGTCTATGGTGAGAAAGGAAATATCTTCAAATAAAAACTAGACAGAAGCATTCTCATAAACTTGTTTGTGATGTGTGAACTCAGCTAACAGAGGTGGATCTTTCTTTTGATAGAGCAGTTCTGAAAAACACTTTTTGTTGAATCTGCAGTGGACATTTGGATAGATTTGAAGATTTCGTTGGAAACGGGAATATCTTCATATCAAATCTAGACAGAAGCATTCTCAGAAACGTCTTTGTGATGTTGGCATTCAACTCATAGAGTTGAACATTCCGTTTCAGAGAGCAGCTTTGAGGCACTCTTTTTGTAGTATGTGCAAGGGGATATATGGAGCGCTCTGAGGCCTAAGGTGAAAAAGCAAATATCTTCCCATAACCACTAGACAGAAACATTCTCAGAAACTCCTTTATGACGTTTGTACTCAACTAACAGAGAAGAACCTTCCTTTTGACAGAGCAGTTTTGATACACTCTTTTTGTAGAATCTGCAAGTGGATATTTGGATAGCTGTGAAGATTTCGTTGGAAACGGGAATATCTTCCTATAAAATCTAGACAGAAGCATTCTCAGAAACTGCTCTGTGATGTCTGCATTCAAGTCACAGAGTTGAACATTGCCTTTCATAGAGCAGTTTTGAAATGCTCTTTTTGTAGTATATGGAAGTGGACGTTTCGGACGGTTTGAGGCCCATGGTGATAAAGGAAATATCTTCGCTACAAGCTAGAAAGAAGCATTCTGTGAAACTTGTTTGTGATGTGTGTACTCAACTAACAGAGTTGAACCTTTCTTTTTACAGAGCAGTTTTGAGACACTCTTTTTGTAGAATCTGCGAGGGGATATTTGGATAGATTTCAGGATTTCGTTGGAACGGGAATATCTTCATATAAAATCTCGACAGAAGCATTCTCAGAAACTTCTTTGTGATATCTGCCTTTAAGTCACAGAGTTGAATATTCCCTTTCACAGAGTAGGTTTGAAACACTCTTTTTGTAGTATCTGGAAGTGGACATTTGGAGCCCCTTGAGACCTACGGTGAAAAGGGAAATATCTTCCCATAAAAACAAGACAGAAGCAATCTCAGAATTTTCTTTGGGATATATGCACACAGCTAACAGAGTTGAACTTTTCTATTGACATAGCAGTTTTGAAACAGTCTTTCTGTGGAATATGCAAGTGGATATTTGGATAGCTTGGAGGATTTCGTTGGAAACGGGATTATGTATAAAAAGTAGACAGCAGCATCCTCAGAAACATCTTTGTGATGTGTGCATTCAAGTCACAGAGTTGAACATTCCCTTTCGTACAGCAGTTTTGAAACACTCTTTCTGTAGTATCTGGAAGTGAACATTAGGACAGCTTTCAGGTCTATGGTGAGAAAGGAAATATCTTCAAATAAAAACTAGACAGAAGCATTCTCATAAACTTGTTTGTGATGTGTGAACTCAGCTAACAGAGGTGGATCTTTCTTTTGATAGAGCAGTTCTGAAAAACACTTTTTGTTGAATCTGCAAGTCGACATTTGGATAGATTTGAAGATTTCGTTGGAAACGGGAATATCTTCATATCAAATCTAGACAGAAGCATTCTCAGAAACGTCTTTGCGATGTTTGCATTCAACTCATAGAGTTGAACATTCCGTTTCAGAGAGCAGCTGTGAGGCACTCTTTTTGTAGTATGTGCAAGTGGATATTTGGAGCGCTCTGAGGCCTACGGTGAAAAAGCAAATATCTTCCCATAACCACTACACAGAAACATTCTCAGAAACTCCTTTATGACGTATGTACTCAACTAACAGAGAAGAACCTTCCTTTTGACAGAGTAGTTTTGATACACTCTTTTTGTAGAATCTGCAAGTGGATATTTGGATAGCTGTGAAGATTTCGTTGGAAACGGGAATATCTTCCTATAAAATCTAGACAGAAGCATTCTCAGAAACTGCTATCTGATGTCTGCATTCAAGTCACAGAGTTGAACATTGCTTTTCATAGAGCAGGTTTGAAACGCTCTTTTTGTAGTATATGGAAGTAGACGTTTCGGACGGTTTGAGGCCCATGGTGATAAAGGGAATATCTTCCCCTACAAGCTAGAAAGAAGCATTCTGTGAAACTTGTTTGTGATGTGTGTACTCAACTAACAGAGTTGAACCTTTCTTTTTATAGAGCAGTTTTGAAACACTCTTTTTGTAGAATCTGCGAGGGGATATTTGGATAGATTTCAGGATTTCGTTGGAAAGGGGAATATCTTCATATAAAATCTCGACAGAAGCATTCTCAGAAAGCTTCTTTGTGATATGTGCATTCAAGTCACAGAGTTCAATATTCCCTTTCACAGAGTAGGTTTGAAACACTCTTTTTGTAGTATCTGGAAGTGGACATTTGGAGCGCCTTGACGCCTACGGTGAAAAGGGAAATATCTTCTCATAAAAAGTAGACAGAAGCAATCTCAGAATCTTCTTTGGGATATATGCACGCAGCTAACAGAGTTGAACCTTTCTATTGACAGAGCAGTTTTGAAACAGTCTTTCTGTGGAATCTGCAAGTGGATATTTGGATAGCTTGGAGGATTTCGTTGGAAATGGGATTAAGTATAAAAAGTAGACAGCAGCATCCTCAGAATCTTCTTTGTGATGTGTGCATTCAAGTCACAGAGTTGAACATTCCCTTTCGTACAGCAGTTTTGAAACACTCTTTCTGTAGTATCTGGGAGTGAACATTAGGACAGCTTTCAGGTCTATGGTTAGAAAGGAAATATCTTCAAATAAAAACTAGACAGAAGCATTCTCATAAACTTGTTTGTGATGTCTGAACTCAGCTAACAGAGGTGGATCTTTCTTTTGATAGAGCAGTTCTGAAAAACACTTTTTGTTGAATCTGCAAGTGGACATTTGGATAGATTTGAAGATTTCGTTGGAAACGGGAATATCTTCATATCACATCTAGACAGAAGCATTCTCAGAAACGTCTTTGCGATGTTTGCATTCAACTCATAGAGTTGAACATTCCCTTTGAGAGAGCAGATTTGAAGCACTCTTTTTGTAGCATGTGCAAGTGGACATTTGGAGCGCCCTGAGGCCTACGGGGAAAAAGCAAATATCTTCCCATAACCACTAGACAGAAACATTCTCAGAAACTTCTTTATGACGTATGTACTCAACTAGCAGAGAAGAACTTTCCTTTTGACAGAGCATTTTTGATACACTCTTTTTGTACTATCTGCAAGTGGATATTTGGATATCTGTGAAGATTTCGTTGGAAACGGGAATATCTTCCTATAAAGTCTGGACAGAAGCATTCTCAGAAACTGCTCTGTGATGTCTGCATTCAAGTCACAGAGTTGAACATTGCCTTTCATAGAGCAGGTTTGAAACGCTCTTTTTGTAGTATATGGAAGTGGACGTTTCGGACGGTTTGAGGCACATGGTGATAAAGGGAATATCTTCCCCTACAAGCTAGAAAGAAGCATTCTGTGAAACTTGTTTGTGTGTACTCAACTAACAGAGTTGAACCTTTCTTTTCACAGAGCAGTTTTGAAACACTCTTTTTGTAGAATCTGCGAGGGGATATTTGGATACATTTCAGGATTTCGTTGGAAACGGGAATATCTTCATATAAAATCTCGACAGAAGCATTCTCAGAAACTTCCTTGTGATATGTGCATTCAAGTCACAGAGTTGAATATTCCCTTTCACAGAGGAGGTTTGAAACACTCTTTTTGTAGTATCTGGAAGTGGACATTTGGAGCGCCTTGACGCCCACGGTGAAAAGGGAAATATCTTCCCATAAAAACTAGACAGAAGCAATCTCAGAATCTTCTTCGGGATATATGCACGCAGCTAACAGAGTTGAACCTTTCTATTGACAGAGCAGTTTTGAAACAGTCTTTCTGTGGAATCTGCAAGTGGATATTTGGATAGCTTGGAGGATTTCGTTGGAAACGGGATTACGTATAAAAGTAGACAGCAGCATCCTCAGAAACTTCTTTGTGATGTGTGCATTCAAGTCACAAAGTTGAACATTCCCTTTCGTACAGCAGTTTTGAAACACTCTTTCTGTAGTATCTGGAAGTGAACATTAGGACAGCTTTCAGGTCTATGATGAGAAAGGAAATATCTTCAAATAAAAACTAGACAGAAGCATTCTCATAAACTTGTTTGTGATGTGTGAACTCATCTAACAGGGGTGGATCTTTCTTTTGATAGAGCAGTTCTGAAAAACACTTTTTGTTGAATCTGCAAGTGGACATTTGGATAGATTTGAAGATTTCGTTGGAAACGGGAATATCTTCATATCAAATCTAGACAGAAGCATTCTCAGAAACGTCTTTGTGATGTTTGCATTCAACTCATAGAGTTGAACATTCCGTTTCAGAGAGCAGCTTTGAAGCACTCTTTTTGTAGTATGTGCAAGTGGATATTTGGAGCGCTCTTAGGCCTACGGGGAAAAAGCAAATATCTTCCCATAACCACTAGACAGAAACATTCTGAGAAACTCCTTTATGACGTATGCACTCACCTAACCGAGAAGAACCTTCCTTTTGACAGAGCAGTTTTGATACACTCTTTTTGTAGAATCTGCAAGTGGATATTTGGATAGCTGTGAAGATTTCGTTGGAAACGGGAATATCTTCCTATAAAATCTAGACAGAAGCATTCTCAGAAACTGCTCTGTGATGTCTGCATTCAAGTCACAGAGTTGAACATTGCCTTTCATAGAGCAGGTTTGAAACCCTCTTTTTGTAGTATATGGAAGTGGACGTTTCGGAAGGTTTGAGGCCCATGTTGATAAAGGGAATATCTTCCCCTACAAGCTAGAAAGAAGCATTCTGTGAAACTTGTTTGTGATGTTTGTACTCAACTAACAGAGTTGAACCTTTCTTTTTACAGAGCAGTTTTGAAACACTCTTTTTGTAGAATCTGCGAGGGGATATTTGGATACATTTCAGGATTTCGTTGGAAACGGGAATATCTTCATATAAAATCTCGACAGAAGCATTCTCAGAAACTTCTTTGTGATATGTGCATTCAAGTCACAGAGTTGAATATTCCCTTTCACAGAGTAGGTTTGAAACACTGTTTTTGTAGTATCTGGAAGTGGACATTTGGAGCGCCTTGACACCTACGGTGAAAAGGGAAATATCTTCCCATAAAAACTAGACAGAAGCAATCTCAGAATCTTCTTTGGGATATATGCACGCAGCTAACAGAGTTGAACCTTTCTATTGACAGAGCAGTTTTGAAACAGTCTTTCTGTGGAATCTGTAAGTGGATATTTGGATAGCTTGGAGGATTTCGTTGGTAACGGGATTACGTATAAAAATTAGACAGCAGCATCCTCCGAAACTTCTTTGTGATGTGTGCATTGAAGTCACAGAGTTGAACATTCCCTTTCGTACAGCAGTTTTGAAACACTCTTTCTGTAGTATCTGGAAGTGAACATTAGGACAGCTTTCAGCTCTATGGTGAGAAAGGAAATATCTTCAAATAAAAACTAGACAGAAGCATTCTCATAAACTTGTTCGTGATGTGTGAACTCAGCTAACACACGTGGATCTTTCTTTTGATAGAGCAGTTCTGAAAAACACTTTTTGTTGAATCTGCAAGAGGACATTTGGATAGATTTGAAGATTTCGTTGGAAACGGGAGTATCTTCATATCAAATCTAGACAGAAGCATTCTCAGAAACGTCTTTGTGATGTTTGCATTCATCTCATAGAGTTGAACATTCCGTTTCAGAGAGCAGGTTTGAAGCACTCTTTTTGTAGTATGTGCAAGTGGATATTTGGAGCGCTCTGAGGCCTACGGTGAAAAAGCAAATATCTTCCCATAACCACTAGACAGAAACATTCTCAGAAACTCCTTTATGACGTATGTACTCAACTGACAGAGAAGAACTTTCCTTTTGACGGAGCATTTTTGATACACTCTTTTTGTACTGTCTGCAAGTGGATATTTGGATAGCTGTGAAGATTTCGTTGGAAACGGGAATATCTTCCTATAAAACCTAGACAGAAGCATTCTCAGAAACTGCTCTGTGATGTCTGCATTCAAGTCACAGAGTTGAACATTGCCTTTCATAGAGCAGGTTTGAAACGCTCTTTTTGTAGTATATTGAAGTGGACTTTTCGGACGGTTTGAGGCCCATGGTGATAAAGGGAATATCTTCCCCTACAAGCTAGAAAGAAGCATTCTGTGAAACTTGTTTGTGATGTGTGTACTCAACTAACAGAGTTGAACCTTTCTTTTTACAGAGCAGTTTTGAAACACTCTTTTTGTAGAATCTGCGAGGGGATATTTGGATAGATTTCAGGATTTCGTTGGAAATGGGAATATCTTCATATAAAATCTCGACAGAAAGCATTCTCAGAAACTTCCTTGTGATATGTGCATTCAAGTCACAGAGTTGAATATTCCCTTTCACAGAGTAGGTTTGAAACACTCTTTTTGTAGTATCTGGAAGTGGACATTTGGAGCGCCTTGACGCCTACGGTGAAAAGGGAAATATCTTCCCATAAAAATTAGACAGAAGCAATCTCAGAATCTTCTTTGGGATATATGCACGCAGCTAACAGAGTTGAACCTTTCTATTGACAGAACAGTTTTGAAACAGTCTTTCTGTGGAATCTGCAAGTGGATATTTGGATAGCTTGGAGGATTTCGTTGGAAACGGGATTACGTAGAAAAAGTAGACAGCAGCATCCTCAGAAACTTCTTTCTGATGTGTGCATTCAAGTCACAGAGTTGAACATTCCCTTTCGTACAGCAGTTTTGAAACACTCTTTCTGTAGTATCTGGAAGTGAACATTAGGACAGCTTTCAGCTCTATGGTGAGAAAGGAAATATCTTCAAATAAAAACTAGACAGAAGCATTCTCATAAACTTGTTTGTGATGTGTGAACTCAGCTAACAGAGGTGGATCTTTCTTTTGATAGAGCAGTTCTGAAAAACACTTTTTGTTGAATCTGCAAGTGGACATTTGGATAGATTTGAAGATTTCGTTGGAAACGGGAATATCTTCATATCCAATCTAGACAGAAGCATTCTCAGAAACGTCTTTGTGATGTTTGCATTCAACTCATAGAGTTGAACATTCCGTTTCAGAGAGCAGCTTTGAGGCACTCTTTTTGTAGTATGTGCAAGTGGATATTTGGAGCGCTCTGAGGCCTACGGTGAAAAAGCAAATATCTTCCCATAACCACTAGACAGAAAACATTCTCAGAAACTCCTTTATGACGTATGCACTCACCTAACAGAGAAGAACCTTCCTTTTGACAGAGCAGTTTTGATACACTCTTTTTGTAGAATCTGCAAGTGGATATTTGGATACCTGTGAAGATTTCATTGGAAACGGGAATATCTTCCTATAAAATCTAGACAGAAGCATTCTCAGAAACTGCTCTGTGATGTCTGCATTCAAGTCACAGAGTTGAACATTGCCTTTCATAGAGCAGGTTTGAAACGCTCTTTTTGTAGTATATGGAAGTGGATGTTTCGGACGGTTGGAGGCCCATGGTGATAAAGGGAATATTCTTCCTCTACAAGCTAGAAAGAAGCATTCTGTGAAACTTGTTTGTGATGTGTGTACTCAACTAACAGAGTTGAACCTTTCTTTTACAGAGCAGTTTTGAAACACTCTTTTTGTAGAATCTGCGAGGGGATATTTGGATAGATTTCAGGATTTCGTTGGAAACGGGAATATCTTCATATAAAATCTCGACAGAAGCATTCTCAGAAGCTTCTTTGTGATATGTGCATTCAAGTCACAGAGTTGAATATTCCCTTTCACAGAGTAGGTTTGAAACACTCTTTTTGTAGTATCTGGAAGTGGACATTTGGAGCACCTTGACGCCTACGGTGAAAAGGGAAATATCTTCTCATGAAAAGTAGACAGAAGCAATCTCAGAATCTTCTTTGGGATATATGCACGCAGCTAACAGAGTTGAACCTTTCTATTGACAGAGCAGTTTTGAAACTGTCTTTCTGTGGAATCTGCAAGTGGATATTTGGATACCTTGGAGGATTTCGTTGGAAACGGGATTACGTATAAAAAGTAGACAGCAGCATCCTCAGAAACTTCTTTTTGATGTGTGCATTCAAGTCACAGAGTTGAACATTCCCTTTCATACAGCAGTTTTGAAACACTCTTTCTGTAGTATCTGGAAGTGAACATTAGGACAGCTTTCAGGTCTATGGTGAGAAAGGAAATATCTTCAAATAAAAACTAGACAGAAGCATTCTCATAAACTTGTTTGTTATGTGTGAACTCAGCTAACACACGTGGATCTTTCTTTTGATAGAGCAGTTCTGAAAAACAATTTTTGTTGAATCTGCAAGTGGACATTTGGATAGATTTGAAGATTTCGTTGGAAACGGGAATATCTTCATATCAAATCTAGACAGAAGCATTCTCAGAAACGTCTTTGTGATGTTTGCATTCAACTCATAGAGTTGAACATTCCCTTTCAGAGAGCAGCTTTGAAGCACTCTTTTTGTAGTATGTGCAAGTGGATATTTTGAGCGCTCTGAGGCCTACGGTGAAAAAGCAAATATCTTCCCATAACCACTAGACAGAAGCATTCTCAGAAACTGCTCTGTGATGTCTGCATTCAACTCACGGAGTTGAACATTGCCTTTCATAGAGCAGGTTTGAAACGCTCTTTTTGTAGTATATGGAAGTGGACGTTTCGGACGGTTTGAGGCCCATGGTGATAAAGGGAATATCTTCCCCTACAAGCTAGAAAGAAGCATTCTGTGAAACTTGTTTGTGATGTGTGTACTCAACTAACAGAGTTGAACCTTTCTTTTTACAGAGCAGTTTTGAAACACTCTTTTTGTAGAATCTGCGAGGGGATATTTGGATAGATTTCAGGATTTCGTTGGAAACGGGAATACCTTCATATAAAATCTCGACAGAAGCATTCTCAGAAACTTCCTTGTGATATGTGCATTCAAGTCACAGAGTTGAATATTCCCTTTCACAGAGTAGGTTTGAAACACTCTTTTTGTAGTATCTGGAAGTGGACATTTGGAGCGCCTTGATGCCTACGGTGAAAAGGGAAATATCTTCCCATAAAAACTAGACAGAAGCAACCTCAGAATGTTCTTTGGGATGTATGCACGCAGCTAACAGAGTTGAACCTTTCTATTGACAGAGCGGTTTTGAAACAGTCTTTTTGTGGAATCTGCAAGTGGATATTTGGATAGCTTGGAGGATTTCGTTGGAAACGGGATTACGTATAAAAAGTAGACAGCAGCATCCTCAGAACCTTCTTTGTGATGTGTGCATTCAAGTCACAGAGTTGAACATTCCCTTTCGTACAGCAGTTTTCAAACACTCTTTCTGTAGTATCTGGAAGTGAACATTAGGACAGCTTTCAGCTCTATGGTGAGAAAGGAAATATCTTCAAATAAAAACTAGACAGAAGCATTGTCATAAACATGTTTGTGATGTGTGAACTCAGCTAACAGAGGTGGATCTTTCTTTTGATAGAGCAGTTCTGAAAAACACTTTTTGTTGAATCTGGAAGTGGACATTTGGATAGATTTGAAGATTTCGTTGGAAACGGGAATATCTTCATATCAAATCTAGACAGAAGCATACTCAGAAACGTCTTTGTGATGTTTGCATTCAACTCATAGAGTTGAACATTCCGTTTCAGAGAGCAGCTTTGAAGCACTCTTTTTGTAGTATGTGCAAGTGGATATTTGGAGCGCTCTGAGGCCTACGGTGAAAAAGCAAATATCTTCCCATAACCACTAGACAGAAACATTCTCAGAAACTCCTTTATGACGTATGCACTCACCTAACAGAGAAGAACCTTCCTTTTGACAGAGCACTTTTGATACACTCTTTTTGTGGAATCTGACAGTGGATATTTGGATAGCTGTGAAGATTTCGTTGGAAACGGGAATATCTTCCTATAAAATCTAGACAGAAGGATTCTCAGAAACTGCTCTGTGATGTCTGCATTCAAGTCACAGAGTTGAACATTGCCTTTCATAGAGCATGTTTGAAAGGCTCTTTTTGTAGTATATGGAAGTGGACGTTTCGGACGGTTTGAGGCCCATGGTGATAAAGGGAATATCTTCCCCTACAAGCTAGAAAGAAGCATTCTGTGAAACTTGTTTGTGATGTGTGTACTCAACTAACAGAGTTGAACCTTTCTTTTTACAGAGCAGTTTTGAAACACTCTTTTTGTAGAATCTGCGAGGGGATATTTGGATAGATTTCAGGATTTCGTTGTAAACGGGAATATCTTCATATAAAATCTCGACAGAAGCATTCTCAGAAACTTCTTTGTGATATCTGCCTTCAAGTCACAGAGTTGAATATTCCCTTTCACAGAGTAGGTTTGAAACACTCTTTTTGTAGTATCTGGAAGTGGACATTTGGAGCGCCTTGACGCCTACGGTGAAAAGGGAAATATCTTCCCATAAAAACTAGACAAAAGCAATCTCAGAATCTTCTTTGGGATATATGCACGCAGCTAACAGAGTTGAACCTTTCTATTGACAGAGCAGTTTTGAAACAGTCTATCTGTGGAATCTGCAAGTGGATATTTGGATAGCTTGGAGGATTTCGTTGGAAACGGGATTACGTATAAAAAGTAGACAGCAGCATCCTCAGAAACTTCTTTGTGATGTGTGCATTCAAGTCACATAGTTGAACATTCCCTTTCATACAGCAGTTTTGAAACACTCTTTCTGTAGTATCTGGAAGTGAACATTAGGACAGCTTTCAGCTCTATGGTGAGAAAGGAAATATCTTCAAATAAAAACTAGACAGAAGCATTCTCATAAACTTGTTTGTGATGTGTGAACTCAGCTAACAGAGGTGGATCTTTCTTTTGATATAGCAGTTCTGAAAAACACTTTTTGTTGAATCTGCAAGTGGACATTTGGATAGATTTGAAGATTTCGTTGGAAACGGGAATATCTTCATATCAAATCTAGACAGAAGCATTCTCAGAAACGTCTTTGTGATGTTTGCATTCAACTCATAGAGTTGAACATTCCCTTTCAGAGAGCAGGTTTGAAGCACTCTTTTTGTAGTATGTGCAAGTGGACATTTGGAGCGCTCTGAGGCCTACGGTGAAAAAGCAAATATCTTCCCATAACCACTAGACAGAAACATTCTCAGAAACTCCTTTATGACGTATGCACTCACCTAACAGAGAAGAACCTTCCTTTTGACAGAGCAGTTTTGATAAACTCATTTTGTAGAATCTGCAAGTGGATATTTGGATAGCTGTGAAGATTTCGCTGGAAACGGGAATATCTTCCTATAAAATCTAGACAGAAGCATTCTCAGAAACTGCTCTGTGATGTCTGCATTCAAGTCACAGAGTTGAACATTGCCTTTCATAGAGCAGGTTTGAAACGCTCTTTTTGTAGTATATGGAAGTAGACGTTTCGGACGGTTTGAGGCCCAATGGTGATAAAGGGAATATCTTCCCCTACAAGCTAGAAAGAAGCATTCTGTGAAACTTGTTTGTGATGTGTGTACTCAACTAACAGAGTTGAACCTTTCTTTTTACAGAGCAGTTTTGAAACACTCTTTTTGTAGAATCTGCGAGGGGATATTTGGATAGATTTCAGGATTTCGTTGGCAACGGGAATATCTTCATATAAAATCTCGACAGAAGCATTCTCAGAAACTTCTTGGTGATATCTGCATTGAAGTCACAGAGTTGAATATTCCCTTTCACAGAGTAGGTTTGAAACACTCTTTTTGTAGTATCTAGAAGTGGACTTTTGGAGCGCCTTGACGCCTATGGTGAGAAGGGAAATATCTTCCCATAAAAACTAGACAGAAGCAATCTCAGAATCTTCTTTGGGATATATGCACGCAGCTAACAGAGTTGAACCTTTCCATTGACAGAGCAGTTTTGAAACAGTCTTTCTGTGGAATCTGCAAGTGGATATTTGGATAGCTTGGAGGATTTCGTTGGAAACGGGATTAAGTATAAAAAGTAGACAGCAGCATCCTCAGAAACTTCTTTGTGATGTGTGCATTCAAGTCACAGAGTTGAACATTCCCTTTCGTACAGCAGTTTTGAAAAACTCTTTCTGTAGTATCTGGAAGTGAACATTAGGACAGCTTTCAGCTCTATGGTGAGAAAGGAAATATCTTCAAATAAAAACTAGACAGAAGCATTCTGATAAACTTGTTTGTGAAGTGTGATCTCAGCTAACAGAGGTGGATCTTTCTTTTGATAGAGCAGTTCTGAAAAACACTTTGTTGAATCTGCAAGTAGACATTTGGATAGATTTGAAGATTTCGTTGGAAACGGGAATATCGTCATAAATCTAGACAGAAGCATTCTCAGAAACGTCTTTGTGATGTTTGCATTCAACTCATAGAGTTGAACATTCCGTTTCAGAGACCAGCTTTGAAGCACTCTTTTTGTAGTATGTGCAAGTGGATATTTGGAGCGCTCTGAGGCCTACGGTGAAAAAGCAAATATCTTCCGATAACCACTAGAC
Source organism: Homo sapiens (assembly GCF_000001405.40). Taxonomy (NCBI): domain Eukaryota; kingdom Metazoa; phylum Chordata; class Mammalia; order Primates; family Hominidae; genus Homo; species Homo sapiens. Next base: position 11,594,258 of record NC_000021.9, read on the forward strand.
AGAAACATTCTCAGAAACTCCTTTATGACGTATGTACTCAACTAACAGAGAAGAACCTTCCTTTTGACAGAGCAGTTTTGATAAACTCTTTTTGTAGAATCTGCAAGTGGATATTTGGATAGCTGTGAAGATTTCGTTGGAAACGGGAATATCTTCCTATAAAATCTAGACAGAAGCATTCTCAGAAACTGCTCTGTGATGTCTGCATTCAAGTTACAGAGTTGAACGTTGCCTTTCATAGAGCAGGTTTGAAACGCTCTTTTTGTAGTATATGGAAGTGGACTTATCGGACGGTTTGAGGCCCATGGTGATAAAGGGAATATCTTCCCCTACAAGCTAGAAAGAAGCATTCTGTGAAACTTGTTTGTGATGTGTGTACTCAACTAACAGAGTTGAACCTTTCTTTTTACAGAGCAGTTTTGAAACACTCTTTTTGTAGAATCTGCGGGGGGAAATTTGGATAGATTTCAGGATTTCGTTGGAAACGGGAATATCTTCATACAAAATCTCGACAGAAGCATTCTCAGAAACTTCTTTGTGATATGTGCATTCAAGTCACAGAGTTGAATATTCCCTTTCACAGGGTAGGTTTGAAACACTCTTTTTGTAGTATCTGGAAGTGGACATTTGGAGCGCCTTGACGCCTACGGTGAAAAGGGAAATATCTTCCCATAAAAACTAGACAGAAGCAATCTCAGAATCTTCTTTGGGATATATGCACGCAGCTAACAGAGTTGAACCTTTCTATTGACAGAGGAGTTTTGAAACAGTCTTTCTGTGGAATCTGGAAGTGGATATTTGGATAGCTTGGAGGATTTCGTTGGAAACGGGATTACATATAAAAAGTAGACAGCAGCATCCTCAGAAACTTCTTTGTGATGTGTGCATTCAAGTCACAGAGTTCAACATTCCCTTTCGTACAGCAGTTTTGAAACACTCTTTCTGTAGTATCTGGAAGTGAACATTAGGACAGCTTTCAGCTCTATGGTGAGAAAGGAAATATCTTCAAATAAAAACTAGACAGAAGCATTCTCATAAAGTTGTTTGTGAGGTGTGAACTCAGCTAACAGAGGTGGATCTTTCTTTTGATAGAGCAGTTCTGAAAAACACTTTTTGTTGAATCTGCAAGTGGACATTTGCATAGATTTGAAGATTTCGTTGGAAACGGGAATATCTTCATATCAAATCTAGACAGAAGCATTCTCAGAAACGTCTTTGCGATGTTTGCATTCAACCCATAGAGTTGAACATTCCGTTTCAGAGAGCAGCTGTGAGGCACTCTTTTTGTAGTATGTGCAAGTGGATATTTGGAGCGCTCTGAGGCCTACGGTGAAAAAGCAAATATCTTCCCATAACCACTAGACAGAAACATTCTCAGAAACTCCTTTATGAAGTATGCACTCACCTAACAGAGAAGAACCTTCCTTTTCACAGAGCAGTTTTGATACACTCTTTTTGTAGAATCTGCAAGTGGATATTTGGATAGCTGTGAAGATTTCGTTGGAAACGAGAATATCTTCCTATAAAATCTAGACAGAAGCATTCCCAGAAACTGCTCTGTGATGTCTGCATTCAAGTCACAGAGTTGAACATTGCCTTTCATAGAGCAGGTTTGAAACACTCTTTTTTTAGTATATGGAAGTGGACGTTTCGGACGGTTTGAGGACCATGGTGATAAAGGAAATATCTTCCCCTACAAGCTAGAAAGAAGCATTCTGTGAAACTTGTTTGTGATGTGTGTACTCAACTAACAGAGTTGAACCTTTCTTTTCACAGAGCAGTTTTGAAACACTCTTTTTGTAGAATCTGCGAGGGGAAATTTGGATAGATTTCAGGATTTCGTTGGAATCGGGAATATCTTCATACAAAATCTCGACAGAAGCATTCTCAGAAACTTCTTTGTGATATCTGCATTCAAGTCACAGAGTTGAATATTCCCTTTCACAGAGTAGGTTTGAAACACTCTTTTTGTATACCTGGAAGTGGACATTTGGAGCGCCTTGACGCCTATGGTGAAAAGGGAAATATCTTCCCATAAAAACTAGACAGAAGCAATCTCAGAATCTTCTTTGGAATATATGCACGCAGCTAACAGAGTTGAACCTTTCTATTGACAGAGCAGTTTTGAAACAGTCTTTCTGTGGAATCTGCAAGTGGATATTTGGATAGCTTGGAGGATTTCGTTGGAAACGGGATTACGTATAAAAAGAAGACAGCAGCATCCTCAGAAACTTCTTTGTGATGTGTGCATTCAAGTCACAGAGTTGAACATTCCCTTTCGTACAGCAGTTTTGAAACACTCTTTCTGTAGTATCTGTAAGTGAACATTAGGACAGCTTTCAGGTCTATGGTGAGAAAGGAAATATCTTCAAATAAAAACTAGACAGAAGCATTCTCATAAACTTGTTTGTGATGTGTGAACTCATCTAACAGAGGTGGATCTTTCTTTTGATAGAGCAGTTCTGAAAAACACTTTTTGTTGAATCTGCAAGTGGACATTTGGATAGATTTGAAGATTTCGTTGGAAACGGGAATATCTTCATATCAAATATAGACAGAAGCATTCTCAGAAACGTCTTTGTGATGTTTGCATTCAACTCATAGTGTTGAACATTCCCTTTCAGAGAGCAGATTTGAAGCACTCTTTTTGTAGTATGTGCAAGTGGATATTTGGAGCGCTCTGAGGCCTACGGTGAAAAAGCAAATATCTTCCCATAACCACTAGACAGAAACATTCTCAGAAACTCCTTTATGACGTATGCACTCACCTAACAGAAAAGAACCTTCCTTTTGACAGAGCAGTTTTGGTACACTCTTTTTGTAGAATCTGCAAGTGGATATTTGGATAGCTGTGAAGATTTCGTTGGAAACGGGAATATCTTCCTATAAAATCTAGACAGAAGCATTCTCAGAAACTGCTCTGTGATGTCTGCATTCAAGTCACAGAGTTGAACATTGCCTTTCATAGAGCAGGTTTGAAACACTCTTTTTGTAGTATATGGAAGTGGACATTTCGGACGGTTTGAGGCCCATGGTGATAAAGGGAATATCTTCCCCTACAAGGTAGAAAGAAGCATTCTGTGAAACTTGTTTGTGATGTGTGTACTCAACTAAAAGAGTTGAACCTTTCTTTTTACAGAGCAGTTTTGAAACACTCTTTTTGTAGAATCTGCGAGGGGATATTTGGATAGATTTCAGGATTTCGTTGCAAACGGGAATATCTTCACATAAAATCTCGACAGAAGCATTCTCAGAAACTTCCTTTGTGATATGTGCATTCAAGTCACAGAGTTGAATATTCCCTTTCACAGAGTAGGTTTGAAACACTCTTTTTGTAGTATCTGGAAGTGGACATTTGGAGCGCCTTGACGCCTACGGTGAAAAGGGAAATATCTTCCCATAAAAACTAGACAGAAGCAATCTCAGAATCTTCTTTGGGATATATGCACGCAGCTAACAGAGTTGAACCTTTCTATTGACAGAGCAGTTTTGAAACAGTCTTTCTGTGGAATCTGCAAGTGGATATTTGGATAGATTGGAGGATTTCGTTGGAAACGGGATTACGTATAAAAATTAGACAGCAGCATCCTCAGAAACTTCCTTGTGATGTGTGCATTCAAGTCACAGAGTTGAACATTCCCTTTCGTACAGCAGTTTTGAAACACTCTTTCTGTAGTATCTGGAAGTGAACTTTAGGAGAGCTTTCAGGTCTATAGTGAGAAAGGAAATATCTTCAAATAAAAACTAGACAGAAGCATTCTCATAAACTTGTTTGTGATGTGTGAACTCAGCTAACAGAGGCGGATCTTTCTTTTGATAGAGCAGTTCGGAAAAACACTTTTTGTTGAATCTGCAAGTGGACATTTCGATAGATTTGAAGATTTCGTTGGAAACGGGAATATCTTCATATCAAATCTAGACAGAAGCATTCTCAGAAACGTCTTTGTGATGTTTGCATTCAACTCATAGAGTTGAACATTCCCTTTCAGAGAGCAGCTTTGAAGCACTCTTTTTGTAGTCTGTGCAAGTGGATATTTGGAGCGCTGTGAGGCCTACGGTGAAAAAGCAAATATCTTCCCATAACCACTAGACAGAAACATTCTCAGAAACTCCTTTATGACGTATGCACTCACCTAACAGAGAAGAACCTTCCTTTTGACAGAGCAGTTTTGATACACTCTTTTTGTAGAATCTGCAAGTGGATATTTGGATAGCTGTGAAGATTTCATTGGAAACGGGAATATCTTCCTATAAAATCTAGACAGAAGCATTCTCAGAAACTGCTCTGTGATGTCTGCATTCAAGTCACAGAGTTGAACATTGCCTTTCATAGAGCAGGTTTGAAACACTCTTTTTGTAGTATATGGAAGTGGACGTTTCGGACAGTTTGAGGCCCATGGTGATAAAGGGAATATCTTCCCCTACAAGCTAGAAAGAAGCATTCTGTGAAACTTGCTTGTGATGTGTGTACTCAACTAACAGAGTTGAACCTTTCTTTTTACAGAGCAGTTTTGATACACTCTTTTTGTAGAATCTGAGAGGGGATATTTGGATAGATTTCAGGATTTCGTTGGAAACGGGAATATCTTCATATAAAATATCGACAGAAGCATTCTCAGAAACTTCTTTGTGATATCTGCCTTTAAGTCACAGAGTTGAATATTCCCTTTCACAGAGTAGGTTTGAAACACTCTTTTTGTAGTATCTGGAAGTGGACATTTGGAGCCCCTTGAGACCTACGGTGAAAAGGGAAATATCTTCCCATAAAAACTAGACAGAAGCAATCTCAGAATCTTCTTTGGGATATATGCACGCAGCTAACAGAGTTGAACCTTTCTATTGACAGAGCAGTTTTGAAACAGTCTTTCTGTGGAATCTGCAAGTAGATATTTGGATAGCTTGGAGGATTTCGTTGGAAACGGGATTACGTATGAAAAGTAGACAGCAGCATCCTCAGAAACTTCTTTGTGATGTGTGCATTCAAGTCACAGAGTTGAACATTCCCTTTCGTACAGCAGTTTTCAAACACTCTTTCTGTAGTAACTGGAAGTGAACATTAGGACAGCTTTCAGGTCTACGGTGAGAAAGGAAATATCTTCAAATAAAAACTAGACAAAAGCATTCTCATAAACTTGTTTGTGATGTGTGAACTCAGCTAACAGAGGTGGATCTTTCTTTTGATAGAGCAGTTCTGAAAAACACTTTTTGTTGAATCTGCAAGTGGACATTTGGATAGATTTGAAGATTTCGTTGGAAACGGGAATATCTTCATGTCAAATCTAGACAGAAGCATTCTCAGAAACGTCTTTGCGATGTTTGCATTCAACTCATAGAGTTGAACATTCCGTTTCAGAGAGCAGCTTTGAGGCACTCTTTTTGTAGTATGTGCAAGTGGATATTTGGAGCGCTCTGAGGCCTACGGTGAAAAAGCAAATATCTTCCCATAACCACTAGACGGAAACATTCTCAGAAACTCCTTTATGACGTATGCACTCACCTAACAGAGAAGAACCTTCCTTTTGACTGAGCAGTTTTTATACACTCTTTTTGCAGAATCTGCAAGTGGATATTTGGATAGCTGTGAAGATTTCGTTGGAAACGGGAATATCTTCCTATAAAATCTAGACAGAAGCATTCTCAGAAACTGCTCTGTGATGTCTGCATTCAAGTCACAGAGTTGAACATTGCCTTTCATAGAGCAGGTTTGAAACGCTCTTTTTGTAGTGTATGGAAGTGGATGTTTCGGACGGTTGGAGGCCCATGGTGATAAAGGGAATATCTTCCCCTACAAGCTAGAAAGAAGCATTCTGTGAAACTTGTTTGTGATGTGTGTACTCAACTAACAGAGTTGAACCTTTCTTTTTACATAGCAGTTTTGAAACACTCTTTTTGTAGAATCTGCGAGGGGATATTTGGATAGATTTCAGGATTCCGTTGGAAACGGGAATATCTTCATATAAAATCTCGACAGAAAGCATTCTCAGTAAACTTCTTTGTGATATCTGCATTCAAGTCACAGAGTTGAATATTCCCTTTCACAGAGTAGGTTTGAAACACTCTTTTTGTAGTATCTGGAAGTGGACATTTTGAGCGCCTTGACGCCTACGGTGAAAAGGGAAATATCTTCTCATAAAAAGTAGACAGAAGCAATCTCAGAATCTTCTTCGGGATATATGCACGCAGGTAACAGAGTTGAACCTTTCTATTGACAGAGCAGTTTTGAAACAGTCTTTCTGTGGAATCTGCAAGTGGATATTTGGATAGCTTGGAGGATTTCGTTGGAAACGGGATTACGTATAAAAAGTAGACAGCAGCCTCCTCAGAAACTTCTTTGTGATGTGTGCATTCAAGTCACACAGTTGAACATTCCCTTTCGTACAGCAGTTTTGAAACACTCTTTCTGTAGTATCTGGAAGTGAACATTAGGACAGCTTTCAGGTCTATGGTGAGAAAGGAAATATCTTCAAATAAAAACTAGACAGAAGCATTCTCATAAACTTGTTTGTGATGTCTGAACTCAGCTAACAGACGTGGATCTTTCTTTTGATAGAGCAGTTCTGAAAAACACGTTTTGTTGAATCTGCAAGTGGACATTTGGATAGATTTGAAGATTTCGTTGGAAACGGGAATATCGTCATATCAAATCTAGACAGATAAGCATTCTCAGAAACGTCTTTGCGATGTTTGCATTCAACTCATAGAGTTGAACATTCCGTTTCAGAGAGCAGCTTTGAGGCACTCTTTTTGTAGTATGTGCAAGTGGATATTTGGAGCGCTCTGAGGCCTACGGTGAAAAAGCAAATATCTTCCCATAACCACTAGACAGAAACATTCTCAGAAACTCCTTTATGACGTATGCACTCACCTAACAGAGAAGAACCTTCCTTTTGACAGAGCAGTTTTGATACACTCTTTTTGTAGAATCTGCAAGTGGATATTTGGATAGCTGTGAAGATTTCGTTGGAAACGGGAATATCTTCCTATAAAACCTAGACAGAAGCATTCTCAGAAACTGCTCTGTGATGTGTGCATTCAAGTCACAGAGTTGAACATTGGCTTTCATAGAGCAGGTTTGAAATGCTCTTTTTGTAGTATATGGAAGTGGACGTTTCAGACGGTTTGAGGCCCATGGTGATAAAGGGAATATCTTCCCCTGCAAGCTAGAAAGAAGCATTCTGTGAAACTAGTTTGTGATGTGTGTACTCAACTAACAGAGTTGAACCTTTCTTTTCACAGAGCAGTTTTGAAACACTCTTTTTGTAGAATCTGCGAGGGGATATTTGGATAGATTTCAGCATTTCGTTGGAAACGGGAATATCTTCATATAAAATCTCGACAGAAGCATTCTCTGAAACTTCTTTGTGATATGTGCATTCAAGTCACAGAGTTCAATATTCCCTTTCACAGAGTAGGTTTGAAACACTCTTTTTGTAGTATCTGAAGTGGACATTTGGAGCGCCTTGACGCCTACGGTGAAAAGGGAAATATCTTCTCATAAAAAGTAGACAGAAGCAATCTCAGAATCTTCTTTGGGATATATGCACGCAGCTAACAGAGTTGAACCTTTCTATTGACAGAGCTGTTTTGAAACACTCTTTCTGTGGAATCTGCAAGTGGATATTTGGATAGCTTGGAGGATTTCGTTGGAAACGGGATTACGTATAAAAAGTAGACAGCAGCATCCTCAGGAACTTCTTTGTGATGTGTGCATTCAAGTCACAGAGTTGAACATTCCCTTTCGTACAGCAGTTTTGAAACACTCTTTCTGTAGTATCTGGAAGTGAACATTAGGACAGCTTTCAGGTCTATGGTGAGAAAGGCAATATCTTCAAATAAAAACTAGACAGAAGAATTCTCATAAACTTGTTCGTGATGTGTGAACTCAGCTAACACACGTGGATCTTTCTTTTGATAGAGCAGTTCTGAAAAACACTTTTTGTTGAATCTGCAAGAGGACATTTGGATAGATTTGAAGATTTCGTTGGAAACGGGAATATCTTCATATCAAATCTAGACAGAAGCATTCTCGGAAACGTCTTTGTGATGTTTGCATTCAACTCATAGATTTGAACATTCCGTTTCAGAGAGCAGCTTTGAGGCACTCATTTTGTAGTATGTGCAAGTGGATATTGGGAGCGCTCTGAGGCCTTCGGTGAAAAAGCAAATATCTTCCCATAACCACTAGACAGAAACATTCTCAGAAACTCCTTTATGACGTATGCACTCACCTAACAGAGAAGAACCTTCCTTTTGACAGAGCAGTTTTGATACACTCTTTTTGTAGAATCTGCAAGTGGATATTGGGATAGCTGTGAAGATTTCGTTGGAAACGGTAATATCTTCCTATAAAATCTAGACAGAAGCATTCTCAGAAACTGCTCTGTGATGTCTGCATTCAAGTCACAGAGTTGAACATTGCCTTTCATAGAGCAGGTTTGAAACACTCTTTTTGTAGTATATGGAAGTGGACGTTTCGGACGGTTTCAGGCCCATGGTGATAAAGGGAATATCTTCCCCTACAAGCTAGAAAGAACAATTCTGTGAAACTTGTTTGTGATGTGTGTACTCAACTAACAGAGTTGAACCTTTCTTTTTACAGAGCAGTTTTGAAACACTCTTTTTGTAGAATCTGCGAGGGGATATTTGGATAGATTTCAGGATTTCGTTGGAAACGGGAATATCTTCATATAAAATCTCGACAGAAGCATTCTCAGAAACTTCTTTGTGATATCTGCATTCAAGTCACAGAGTTGAATATTCCCTTTCACAGAGTAGGTTTGAAACACTCTTTTTGTAGTATCTGGAAGTGGACATTTGGAGCGCCTTGACACCTACGGTGAAAAGGTAAATATCTTACCATAAAAACGAGACAGAAGCAATCTCAGAATCTTCTTTGGGATATATGCACGCAGCTAACAGAGTTGAACCTTTCTATTGAAAGAGCAGTTTAGAAACAGTCTTTCTGTGGAATCTGCAAGTGGATATTTAGATAGCTTGGAGGATTTCGTTGGAAACGGGATTACGTATAAAAAGTAGACAGCCAGCATCCTCAGAAACTTCTTTGTGATGTGTGCATTCAAGTCACAGTAGTTGAACATTCCCTTTCGTAAAGCAGTTTTGAAACACTCTTTCTGTAGTATCTGGAAGTGAACATTAGGACAGCTTTCAGGTCTATGGTGAGAAAGGAAATATCTTCAAATAAAAACTAGACAGAGCATTCTCATAAACTTGTTTGTGATGTGTGAACTCAGCTAACAGAGATGGATCTTTCTTTTGATAGAGCAGATCTGAAAAACACTTTTTGTTGAATCTGCAAGTGGACATTTGGATAGATTTGAAGATTTCGTTGGAAACGGGAATATCTTCATATCAAATCTAGACAGAAGCATTCTCGGAAACGTCTTTGTGATGTTTGCATTCAACTCATAAAGTTGAACATTCCGTTTCAGAGAGCAGCTTTGAGGCACTCTTTTTGTAGTATGTGCAAGTGGATATTTGGAGCGCTCTGAGGCCTTCTGTGAAAAAGCAAATATCTTCCCATAACCACTAGACAGAAACATTCTCAGAAACTCCTTTATGACGTATGCACTCACCTAACAGAAAAGAACCTTCCTTTTGACAGAGCAGTTTTGATACACTCTTTTTGTAGAATCTGCAAGTGGATATTTGGATAGCTGTGAAGATTTCGTTGGAAACGGGAATAGCTTCCTATAAAATCTAGACAGAAGCATTCTCAGAAACTGCTCTGTGATGTCTGCATTCAAGTCACAGAGTTGAACATTGCCTTTCATAGAGCAGGTTTGAAACGCTCTTTTTGTAGTATATGGAAGTGGATGTTTCGGACGGTTGGAAGCCCATGGTGATAAAGGGAATATCTTCCCCTACAAGCTGGAAAGAAGCATTCTGTGAAACTTGTTTGTGATGTGTGTACTCAACTAACAAAGTTGAACCTTTCTTTTCACAGAGCAGTTTTGAAACACTCTTTTTGTAGAATCTGCGAGGGGATATTTGGATACATTTCAGGATTTCGTTGGAAACGGGAATATCTTCATATAAAATCTCGACAGAAGCATTCTCAGAAACTTCCTTGTGATATGTGCATTCAAGTCACAGAGTTGAATATTCCCTTTCACAGAGTAGGTTTGAAACACTCTTTTTGTAGTATCTGGAAGTGGACATTTGGAGCGCCTTGACGCCTACGGTGAAAGGGGAAATATCTTCCCATAAAAACTAGACAGAAGCAATCTCAGAATCTTCTTTGGGATATATGCACGCAGCTAACAGAGTTGAACCTTTCTATTGACAGAGCAGTTTTGAAACAGTCTTTCTGTGGAATCTGCAAGTGGATATTTGGATAGCTTGGAGGATTTCGTTGGAAACGGGATTACGTATAAAAAGTAGTCAGCAGCATCCTCAGAAACTTCTTTGTGATGTGTGCATTCAAGTCACAGAGTTGAACATTCCCTTTCGTACAGCAGTTTTGAAACACTCTTTCTGTAGTAACCGGAAGTGAACATTAGGACAGCTTTCAGGTCTATGGTGAGAAAGGAAATATCTTCAAATAAAAACTAGACAGAAGCATTCTCATAAACTTGTTTGTGATGTCTGAACTCAGCTAACAGAGGTGGATCTTTCTTTTGATAGAGCAGTTCTGAAAAACACTTTTTGTTGAATCTGCAAGTGGACATTTGGATAGAATTGAAGATTTCGTTGGAAACGGGAATATCTTCATATCAAATCTAGACAGAAGCATTCTCAGAAACGTCTTTGTGATGTTTGCATTCAACCCATAGAGTTGAACATTCCGTTTCAGGGAGCAGCTTTGAAGCACTCTTTTTGTAGTATGTGCAAGTGGATATTTGGAGCGCTGTGAGGCCTGCGGTGAAAAAGCAAATATCTTCCCATAACCACTAGACAGAAACATTCTCAGAAACTCCTTTATGACGTATGCACTCAACTAACAGAGAAGAACCTTCCTTTTGACAGAGCAGTTTTGATACACTCTTTTTGTAGAATCTGCAAGTGGATATTTGGATAGCTGTGAAGATTTCGTTGGAAACGGGAATATCTTCCTATAAAATCTAGACAGAAGCATTCTCAGAAACTGCTCTGTGATGTCTGTATTCAAGTCACAGAGTTGAACATTGCCTTTCATAGAGCAGGTTTGAAACGCTCTTTTTGTAGTATATGTAAGTGGATGTTTCAGACGGTTTGAGGCCGATGGTGATAAAGGGAATATCTTCCCCTACAAGCTAGAAAGAAGCATTCTGTGAAACTTGTTTTTGATGTGTGTACTCAACTAACAGAGTTGAACCTTCCTTTTTACAGAGCAGTTTTGAAACACTCTTTTTGTAGAATCTGCGAGGGGATATTTGGATAGATTTCAGGATTTCGCTGGAAACGGGAGTATCTTCATATAAAATCTCGACAGAAGCATTCTCAGAAACTTCCTTGCGATATGTGCATTCAAGTCACAGAGTTGAATATTCCCTTTCACAGAGTAGGTTTGAAACACTCTTTTTGTAGTATCTGGAAGTGGACATTTGGAGCGCCTTGACGCCTACGGTGAAAAGGGAAATATCTTCCCATCAAAACTAGACAGAAGCAATCTCAGAATCTTCTTTGGGATATATGCACGCAGCTAACAGAGTTGTACCTTTCTATTGACAGAGCAGTTTTGAAACAGTCTTTCTGTGGAATCTGCAAGTGGATATTTGGATAGCTTGGAGGATTTCGTTGGAAACGGGATTACGTATAAAAAGTAGACAGCAGCATCCTCAGAATCTTCTTTGTGATGTGTGCATTCAAGTCACAGAGTTGAACATTCCCTTTCGTACAGCAGTTTTGAAACACTCTTTCTGTAGTATCTGGAAGTGAACATTAGGACAGCTTTCAGGTCTATGGTGAGAAAGGAAATATCTTCAAATAAAAACTAGACAGAAGCATTCTCATAAACTTGTTTGTGATGTCTGAACTCAGCTAACAGAGGTGGATCTTCCTTTTGATAGAGCAGTTCTGAAAAACACTTTTTGTTGAATCTGCAAGTGGACATTTGGATAGATTTGAAGATTTCGTTGGAAACGGGAATATCTTCATATCAAATCTAGACAGAAGCATTCTCAGAAACGTCTTTGTGATGTTTGCATTCAACTCATAGAATTGAACATTGCGGTTCAGAGAGCCGCTTTGAAGCACTCTTTTTGTAGTATGTGCAAGTGGATATTTGGAGCGATCTGAGGCCTAAGGTGAAAAAGCAAATATCTTCCCATAACCACTAGACAGAAACATTCTCAGAAACTCCTTTATGACGTATGTACTCAACTAACAGAGAAGAACCTTCCTTTTGACAGAGCAGTTTTGATACACTCTTTTTGTAGAATCTGCAAGTGGATATTTGGATAGCTGTGAAGATTTCGTTGGAAACGGAAATATCTTCCTATAAAATCTAGACAGAAGCATTCTCAGAAACTGCTCTGTGATGTCTGCATTCAAGTCACAGAGTTGAACATTGCCTTTCATAGAGCAGGTTTGAAACGCCCTTTTTGTAGTATATGGAAGTGGACGTTTCGGACGGTTTGAGGCCCATGGTGATAAAGGGAATATCTTCCCCTACAAGCTAGAAAGAAGCATTGTGTGAAACTTATTTGTGATGTGTGTACTCAACTAACAGAGTTGAACCTTTCTTTTTACAGAGCAGTTTTGAAACACTCTTTTTGTAGAATCTGCGAGGGGATATTTGGGTACATTTCAGGATTTCGTTGGAAACGGGAATATCTTCATATAAAATCTCGACAGAAGCATTCTCAGAAACTTCTTTGTGATATGTGCATTCAAGTCACAGAGTTGAATATTCCCTTTCACAGAGTAGGTTTGAAACACTCTTTTTGTAGTATCTGGAAGTGGACATTTGGAGCGCCTTGACCCCTACGGTGAAAAGGGAAATATCTTCCCACAAAAACTAGACAGAAGCAATCTCAGAATCTACTTTGGGATATATGCACGCAGCTAACAGAGTTGAACCTTTCTATTGACAGAGCAGTTTTGAAACAGTCTTTCTGTGGAATCTGCAAGTGGATATTTGGATAGCTTGGAGGATTTCGTTGGAAACGGGATTACGCATAAAAAGTAGACAGCAGCATCCTCAGAAACTTCTTTGTGATGTGTGCATTCAAGTCACAGTGTTGAACATTCCCTTTCGTACAGCAGTTTTGAAACACTCTTTCTGTAGTATCTGGAAGTGAACATTAGGACAGCTTTCAGGTCTATTGTGAGAAAGGAAATATCTTCAAATAAAAACTAGACAGAAGCATTCTCATAAACTTGTTTCTGATGTGTGAACTCAGCTAACAGAGGTGGATCTTTCTTTTGATAGAGCAGTTCTGAAAAACACTTTTTGTTGAATCTGCAAGTGGACATTTGGATAGATTTGAAGATTTCGTTGGAAACGGGAATATCTTCATATCAAATCTAGACAGACAAGCATTCTCAGAAACGTCTTTGCGATGTTTGCATTCAACTCATAGAGTTGAACATTCCGTTTCAGAGAGCAGCTGTGAGGCACTCTTTTTGTAGTATGTGCAAGTGGATATTTGGAGCGCTCTGAGGCCTATGGTGAAAAAGCAAATATCTTCCCATAACCACTAGACAGATACATTCTCAGAAACTCCTTTATGACGTATGTACTCAACTAACAGAGAAGAACCTTCCTTTTGACAGAGCAGTTTTGATACACTCTTTTTGTAGAAACTGCAAGTGGATATTTGGATAGCTGTGAAGATTTCGTTGGAAACGGGAATATCTTCCTATAAAATCTAGACAGAAGCATTCTCAGAAACTGCTCTGTGATGTCTGCATTCAAGTCACAGAGTTGAACATTGCCTTTCATAGAGCAGGTTTGAAACGCTCTTTTTGTAGTATATGGAAGTGGATGTTTCGGACGGTTGGAGGCCCATGGTGATAAAGGGAATATCTTCCTCTACAAGCTAGAAAGAAGCATTCTGTGAAACTTGTTTGTGATGTGTGCACTCAACTAACAGAGTTGAACCTTTCTTTTTACAGAGCAGTTTTGAAACACTCTTTTTGTAGAATCTGCGAGGGGATATTTGGATACATTTCAGGATTTCGTTGGAAACGGGAATATCTTCATATAAAATCTCGACAGAAGCATTCTCAGAAACTTCCTTGTGATATGTGCATTCAAGTCACAGAGTTGAATATTCCCTTTCATAGAGTAGGTATGAAACACTCTTTTTGTAGTATCTGGAAGTGGACATTTGGAGCGCCTTGACGCCTACGGTGAAAAGGGAAATATCTTCCCATAAAAACTAGACAGAAGCAATCTCAGAATCTTCTTTGGGATATATGCACGCAGCTAACAGAGTTGAACCTTTCTATTGACAGAGCAGTTTTGAAACAGTCTTTCTGTGTAATCTGCAAGTGGATATTTGGATAGCTTGGAGGATTTCGTTGGAAACGGGATTACGTATAAAAAGTAGACAGCAACATCCTCAGAAACTTCTTTGTGATGTGTGCATTCAAGTCACAGAGTTGAACATTCCCTTTCGTACAGCAGTTTTGAAACACTCTTTCTGTAGTAACTGGAAGTGAACATTAAGACAGCTTTCAGGTCTATGGTGAGAAAGGAAATATCTTCAAATAAAAACTAGACAGAAGCATTCTCATAAACTTGTTTGTGATGTGCGAACTCAGCTAACAGAGGTGGATCTTTCTTTTGATAGAGCAGTTCTGAAAAACACTTTTTGTTGAATCTGCAAGTGGACATTTGGATAGATTTGAAGATTTCGTTGGAAACGGGAATATCTTCATATCAAATCTAGACAGAAGCATTCTCAGAAACGTCTTTGTGATGTTTGCATTCAACTCATAGAGTTGAACATTCCGTTTCAGAGAGCAGCTTTGAAGCACTCTTTTTGTAGCATGTGCAAGTGGATATTTGGAGCGCTCTGAGGCCTACGGTGAAAAAGCAAATATCTTCCCATAACCAGTAGACAGAAACATTCTCAGAAACTCCTTTATGACGTATGCACTCACCTAACAGAGAAGAACCTTCCTTTTGACAGAGCAGTTTTGATACACTCTTTTTGTAGAATCTGCAAGTGGATATTTGGATAGCTGTGAAGGTTTCGTTGGAAACGGAAATATCTTCCTATGAAATCTAGACAGAAGCATTCTCAGAAACAGCTCTGTGATGTCTGCATTCAAGTCACAGAGTTGAACATTGCCTTTCCTAGAGCAGGTTTGAAATGCTCTTTTTGTAGCATATGGAAGTGGACGTTTCGGACGGTTTGAGGCCCATGGTGATAAAGGGAATATCTTCCCCTACAAGCTAGAAAGAAGCATTCTGTGAAACTAGTTTGTGATGTGTGTACTCAACTAACAGAGTTGAACCTTTCTTTTTACAGAGCAGTTTTGAAACACTCTTTTTGTAGAATCTGCGAGGGGATATTTCGATAGATTTCAGGATTTCGTTGGAAACGGGAATATCTTCATATAAAATCTCGACAGAAGCATTCTCAGAAACTTCTTTGTGATATGTGCATTCAAGTCACAGAGTTGAATATTCCCTTTTACAGAGTAGGTTTGAAACACTCTTTTTGTAGTATCTGGAAGTGGACATTTGGAGCGCCTTGACGCCTACGGTGAAAAGGGAAATATCTTCTCATAAAAAGTAGACAGAAGCAATCTCAGAATCTTCTTTGGGATATATGCACGTAGCTAACAGAGTTGAACCTTTCTATTGACAGAGCAGGTTTGAAACAGTCTTTCTGTGGAATCTGCAAGTGGATATTTGGATAGCTTGGAGGATTTCGTTGGAAACAGGATTACGTATAAAAAGTAGACAGCAGCATCCTCAGAAACTTCTTTGTGATGTGTGCATTCAAGTCACAGAGTTGAACATTCCCTTTTGTACAGCAGTTTTGAAACACTCTTTCTGTAGTATCTGGAAGTGAACATTAGGACAGCTTTCAGGTCTATGGTGAGAAAGGAAATATCTTCAAATAAAAACTAGACAGAAGCATTCTCATAAACTTGTTTGTGATGTGTGAACTCAGCTAACAGAGGTGGATCTTTCTTTTGATAGAGCAGTTCTGAAAAACACTTTGTTGAATCTGCAAGTGGACATTTGGATAGATTTGAAGATTTCGTTGGAAACGGGAATATCTTCATATCAAATCTAGACAGAAGCATTCTCGGAAACGTCTTTGTGATGTTTGCATTCAACTCATAGAGTTGAACATTCCGTTTCAGAGAGCAGCTTTGAAGCACTCTTTTTGTAGTATGTGCAAGTGGATATTTGGAGCGCTGTGAGGCCTACGGTGAAAAAGCAAATATCTTCCCATAACCACTAGAAAGAAACATTCTCAGAAATTCCTTTATGACGTATGCACTCACCTAACAGAGAAGAACCTTCCTTTTGACAGAGCAGTTTTGATACACTCTTTTTGTAGAATCTGCAAGTGGATATTTGGATACCTGTGAAGATTTCGTTGGAAACGGGAATATCTTCCTATAAAATCTAGACAGAAGCATTCTCAGAAACTGCTCTGTGATTTCTGCATTCAAGTCACAGAGTTGAACATTGCCTTTCATAGAGCAGGTTTGAAACGCTCTTTTTGTAGTATATGGAAGTGGATGTTTCGGACGGTTGGAGGCCCATGGTGATAAAGGGAATATCTTCCCCTACAAGCTAGAAAGAAGCATTCTGTGAAACTTGTTTGTTATGTGTGTACTCAACTAACAGAGTTGAACCTTTCTTTTCACAGAGCAGTTTTGAAACACTCTTTTTGTAGAATCTGCGAGGGGATATTTGGATAGATTTCAGGATTTCGTTGGAAACGGGAATATCTTCATATAAAATCTCGACATTAGCATTCTCAGAAACTTCCTTGTGATATGTGCATTCAAGTCACAGAGTTGAATATTCCCTTTCACAGAGTAGGTTTGAAACACTCTTTTTGTAGTATCTGGAAGTGGACATTTGGAGCGCCTTGACACCTACGGTGAATAGGGAAATATCTTCCCATAAAAACTAGACAGAAGCAATCTCAGAATCTTCTTTGGGATATATGCACGCAGCTAACAGAGTTGAACCTTTCTATTGACAGAGCAGTTTTGAAACAGTCTTTCTGTGGAATCTGCAAGTGGATACTTGGAGAGCTTGGAGGATTTCGTTGGAAACGGGATTACGTATAAAAAGAAGACAGCAGCATCCTCAGAATCTTCTTTGTGATGTGTGCATTCAAGTCACAGATTTGAACATTCCCTTTCGTACAGCAGTTTTGAAACACTCTTTCTGTAGTATCTGGAAGTGAACATTAGGACAGCTTTCAGCTCTATGGTGAGAAAGGAAATATCTTCAAATAAAAACTAGACAGAAGCATTCTCATAAACTTGTTTGTGATGTGTGAACTCAGCTAACAGAGGTGGATCTTTCTTTTGATAGAGCAGTACTGAAAAACACTTTTTGTTGAATCTGCAAGTGGACATTTGGATAGATTTGAAGATTTCGTTGGAAACGGGAATATCTTCATATCAAATCTAGACAGAAGCATTCTCAGAAACGTCTTTGTGATGTTTGCATTCAACTCATAGAGTTGAACATTCCGTTTCAGAGAGCAGCTTTGAAGCACTCTTTTTGTAGTATGTGCAAGTGGACATTTGGAGCGCCCTGAGGCCTACGGTGAAAAAGCAAATATCTTCCCATAACCACTAGACAGAAACATTCTCAGAAACTCCTTTATGACGTATGCACTCTCCTAACAGAGAAGAACCTTCCTTTTGACTGAGCAGTTTTGATACACTCTTTTTGCAGAATCTGCAAGTGGATATTTGGATAGCTGTGAAGATTTCGTTGGAAACGGGAATATCTTCCTATAAAATCTAGACAGAAGCATTCTCAGAAACTGCTCTGTGATGTCTGCATTCAAGTCACAGAGTTGAACATTGCCTTTCCTAGAGCAGGTTTGAAACGCTCTTTTTGTAGTATATGGAAGTGGACGTTTCGGACGGCTTGAGGCCCATGGTGATAAAGGGAATATCTTCCCCTACAAGCTAGAAAGAAGCATTCTGTGAAACTTGTTTGTGATGTGTGTACTCAACTAACAGAGTTGAACCTTTTATTTTTACAGAGCAGTTTTGAAACACTCTTTTTGTAGAATCTGCGAGGGGATATTTGGATAGATTTCAGGATTTCGTTGGAAAGGGGAATATCTTCATATAAAATCTCGACAGAAGCATTCTCAGAAACTGCTCTGTGATGTCTGCATTCAAGTCACAGAGTTGAATATTCCCTTTCACAGAGTAGGTTTGAAACACTCTTTTTGTAGTATCTGGAAGTGGACATTTGGAGCGCCTTGACACCTATGGTGAAAAGGGAAATATCTTCCCATAAAAACTAGACAGAAGCAAGCTCAGAATCCTCTTTAGGATATATGCACGCAGCTAACAGAGTTGAACCTTTCTATTGACAGAGCAGTTTTGAAACAGTCTTTCTGTGGAATCTGCAAGTGGATATTTGGATAGCTTGGAGGATTTCGTTGGAAACGGGATTACGTATAAAAAGTAGACAGCAGCATCCTCAGAAACTACTTTGTGATGTGTGCATTCAAGTCACAGAGTTGAACATTCCCTTTCGTACAGCAGTTTTGAAACACTCTTTCTGTAGTATCTGGAAGTGAACATTAGGACAGCTTTCAGGTCTATGGTGAGAAAGGAAATATCTTCAAATAAAAACTAGACAGAAGCATTCTCATAAACTTGTTTGTGATGTGTGAACTCAGCTAACACACGTGGATCTTTCTTTTGATAGAGCAGTTCTGAAAAACAATTTTTGTTGAATCTGCAAGTGGACATTTGGATAGATTTGAAGATTTCGTTGGAAACGGGAATATCTTCATATCAAATCTAGACAGAAGCATTCTCAGAAACGTCTTTGTGATGTTTGCATTCAACTCATAGAGTTGAACATTCCGTTTCAAAGAGCAGCTTTGAGGCCCTCTTTTTGTAGTATGTGCAAGTGGATATTTGGAGCGCTCTGAGGCCTACGGTGAAAAAGCAAATATCTTCCCATAACCACTAGACAGAAACATTCTCAGAAACTGCTTTATGACGTATGCACTCACCTAACAGAGAAGAACCTTCCTTTTGACAGAGCAGCTTTGATACACTCTTTTTGTAGAATCTGCAAGTGTATATTTGGATAGCTGTGAAGATTTCGTTGGAAACGGGAATATCTTCCTATAAAATCTAGACAGAAGCATTCTCAGAAACTGCTCTGTGATGTCTGCATTCAAGTCACAGAGTTGAACATTGCCTTTCATAGAGCAGGTTTGAAATGATCTTTTTGTAGTATATGGAAGTGGACGTTTCAGACGGTTTGAGGCCCATGGTGATAAAGGGAATATCTTCCCCTACAAGCTAGAAAGAAGCATTCTGTGAAACTTGTTTGTGATGTGTGTACTCAAGTAAGAGAGTTGAACCTTTCTTTTCACAGAGCAGTTTTGAAACACTCTTTTTGTAGAATCTGCGAGGGGATATTTGGATAGATTTCAGGATTTCGTTGGAAACGGGAATATCTTCATATAAAATCTCGACAGATGCATTCTCAGAAACTTCTTTGTGATATGTGCATTCTAGTCACAGAGTTGAATATTCCCTTTCATAGAGTAGGTTTGAAACACTCTTTTTGTACTATCTGGAAGTGGACATTTGGAGCGCCTTGACGCCTACGGTGAAGAGGGAAATATCTTCCCATAAAAACTAGACAGAAGCAATCTCAGAATCTTCTTTGGGATATATGCACGAAGCTAACAGAGTTGAACCTTTCTATTGACAGAGCAGTTTTGAAACAGTCTTTCTGTGGAATCTGCAAGTGGATATTTGGATAGCTTGGAGGATTTCGTTGGAAACGGGATTACGTATAAAAAGTAGACAGCAGCATCCTCAGAAACTTCTTTGTGATGTGTGCATTCAAGTCACAGAGTTGAACATTCCCTTTCATACAGCAGTGTTGAAACACTCTTTATGTAGTATCTGGAAGTGAACATTAGGACAGCTTTCAGGTCTATGGTGAGAAAGGAAATATCTTCAAATAAAAACTAGACAGAAGCATTCTCATAAACTTGTTTGTGATGTGTGAACTCAGCTAACAGAGGTGGATCTTTCTTTTGAAAGAGCAGTTCTGAAAAACACTTTTTGTTGAATCTGCAAGTGGACATTTGGATAGATTTGAAGATTTCGTTGGTAACGGGAACATCTTCATATCAAATCTAGACAGAAGCATTCTCAGAAACGTCTTTGTGATGTTTGCATTCAACTCATAGAGTTGAACATTCCGTTTCAGTAGAGCAGCTTTGAAGCACTCTTTTTGTAGTATGTGCAAGTGGATATTTGGAGCGCTCTGAGGCCTACGGTGAAAAAGCAAATATCTTCCCATAACCACTAGACAGAAACATTCTCAGAAACTACTTTATGGCGTATGTACTCAACTAGCAGAGAAGAACTTTCCTTTTGACAGAGCACTTTTGATACACTCTTTTTGTAGTATCTGCAAGTGGATATTTGGATAGCTGTGAAGATTTCGTTGGAATCGGGAATATCTTCCTATAAAGTCTGGACAGAAGCATTCTCAGAAACTGCTCTGTGATGTCTGCATTCAAGTCACAGAGTTGAACATTGCCTTTCATAGAGCAGGTTTCAAGCACTCTTTTTTTAGTATATGGAAGTGGACGTTTCGGACGGTTTGAGGCCCATGGTGATAAAGGAAATATCTTCCCCTACAAGCTAGAAAGAAGCATTCTGTGAAACTTGTTTGTGATGTGTGTACTCAACTAACAGAGTTGAACCTTTCTTTTTACAGAGTAGTTTTGAAACACTCTTTTTGTAGAATCTGCGAGGGGATATTTGGATACATTTCAGCATTTCGTTGGAAACGGGAATATCTTCATATAAAATCTCGACAGAAGCATTCTCAGAAACTTCCTTGTGATACGTGCATTCAAGTCACAGAGTTGAATATTCCCTTTCACAGAGTAGGTTTGAAACACTCTTTTTGTAGTATCTGGAAGTGGACATTTGGAGCGCCTTGACACCTACGGTGAAAAGGGAAATATCTTCCCATAAAAACTAGACAGAAGCAATCTCAGAATCTTCTTTGGGATATATGCACGCAGCTAACAGAGTTGAACCTTTCTATTGACAGAGCAGTTTTGAAACAGTCTTTCTGTGGAATCTGCAAGTGCATATTTTGATAGCTTGGAGGATTTCGTTGGAAACGGGATTACGTATAAAAAGTAGACAGCAGCATCCTCAGAAACTTCTTTGTGATGTGTGCATTCAAGTCACAGAGTTGAACATTCCCTTTCGTACAGCAGTTTTGAAACACTCTTTCTGTGGTATCTGGAAGTGAACATTAGGACAGCTTTCAGCTCTATGGTGAGAAAGGAAATATCTTCAAATAAAAACTAGACAGAAGCATTCTCATAAACTTGTTTGTGATGTGTGAACTCAGCTAAGAGACGTGGATCTTTCTTTTGATACAGCAGTTTTGAAAAACACTTTTTGTTGAATCTGCAAGTGGACATTTTATAGATATGAAGATTTCGTTGGAAACGGGAATATCTTCATATCAAATCTAGACAGAAGCATTCTCGGAAACGTCTTTGTGATGTTTGCATTCAACTCATAGAGTTGAACATTCCGTTTCAGAGAGCAGCTTTGAGGCACTCATTTTGTAGTATGTGCAAGTGGATATTTGGAGCGCTCTGAGGCCTTCGGTGAAAAAGCAAATATCTTCCCATAACCACTACACAGAAACATTCTCAGAAACTCCTTTATGACGTATGCACTCACCTAACAGAGAAGAACCTTCCTTTTGACAGAGCATTTTTGATACACTCTTTTTGTAGAATCTGCAAGTGGATATTTGGATAGCTGTGAAGATTTCGTTGGAAACGGGAATATCTTCCTATAAAATCTAGACAGAAGCATTCTCAGAAACTGCTCTGTGATGTCTGCATTCAAGTCACAGAGTTCAACATTGTCTTTCATAGAGCAGGTTTGAAATGCTCTTTTTGTAGTATATGGAAGTGGACGTTTCGGACGGTTTGAGGCCCATGGTGATAAAGGGAATATCTTCCCCTACAAGCTAGAAAGAAGCATTCTGTGAAACTTGTTTGTGATGTGTGTACTCAACTAACAGAGTTGAACCTTTCTTTTTACAGAGCAGTTTTGAAACACTCTTTTTGTAGAATCTGCGAGGGGATATTTGGATACATTTCAGGATTTAGTTGGAAACGGGAATATCTTCACATAAAATCTTGACAGAAGCATTCTCAGAAGCTTCTTTGTGATATGTGCATTCAAGTCACAGAGTTCAATATTCCCTTTCACAGAGTAGGTTTGAAACACTCTTTTTGTAGTATCTGGAAGTGGACATTTGGAGCGCCTTGACGCCTAAGGTGAAAAGGGAAATATCTTCTCATAAAAAGTAGACAGAAGCAATCTCAGAATCTTCTTTGGGATATATGCACGCAGCTAACAGAGTTGAACCTTTCTATTGACAGAGCAGTTTTGAAACAGTCTTTCTGTGGAATCTGCAAGTGGATATTTGGATAGCTTGGAGGATTTCGTTGGAAACGGGATTACGTATAAAAAAGTAGACAGCAGCATCCTCAGAAACTTCTTTGTGATGTGTGCATTCAAGTCACAGAGTTGAACATTCCCTTTCGTACAGCAGTTTTGAAACACTCTGTAGTAACTGGAAGTGAACATTAGGACAGCTTTCAGGTCTATGGTGAGAAAGGAAATATCTTCAAATAAAAACTAGACAGAAGCATTCTCATAAACTTGTTTGTGATGTGTGAACTCAGCAAACAGCGGTGGATCTTTCTTTTGATAGAGCAGTTCTGAAAAACACTTTTTGTTGAATCTGCAAGTGGACATTTGGATAGTTTTGAAGATTTCCTTGGAAACGGGAATATCTTCATATCAAATCTAGACAGAAGCATTCTCAGAAACGTCTTTGTGATGTTTGCATTCAAGTCATAGAGTTGAACATTCCGTTTCAGAGAGCAGCTTTGAAGCACTCTTTTTGTAGTATGTGCAAGTGGATATTTGGAGCGCTCTGAGACCTACGGTGAAAAAGCAAATATCTTCCCATAACCACTAGACAGAAACATTCTCAGAAACTCCTTTATGACGTGTGCACTCACCTAACAGAGAAGAACCTTCCTTTTGACAGAGCAGTTTTGATACACTCTTTTTGTAGAATCTGCAAGTGGATATTTGGATAGCTGTGAAGATTTCGTTGGAAACGGGAATATCTTCCTATAAAACCTAGACAGAAGCATTCTCAGAAACTGCTCTGTGATGTCTGCATTCAAGTCACAGAGTTGAACATTGCTTTTCCTAGAGCAGGTTTGAAACGCTCTTTTTGTAGTATATGGAAGTGGACGTTTCGGATGGTTTGAGGCCCATGGTGATAAAGGGAATATCTTCCCCTACAAGCTAGAAAGAAGCATTCTGTGAAACTTGTTTGTGATGTGTGTACTCAACTAAGAGAGTTGAACCTTTCTTTTCACAGAGCAGTTTTGAAACACTCTTTTTGTAGAATCTGCGAGGGGATATTTGGATAGATTTCAGAATTTCGTTGGAAACGGGAATATCTTCATACAAAATCTCGACAGAAGCATTCTCAGAAACTTCCTTGTGATATGTGCATTCAAGTCACAGAGTTGAATATTCCCTTTCACAGAGTAGGTTTGAAACACTCTTTTTGTAGTATCTGGAAGTGGACATTCGGAGCGCCTTGATGCCTACGGTGAAAAGGGAAATATCTTCCCATAAAAACTAGACAGAAGCAATCTCAGAATCTTCTTTGGGATATATGCACGCAGCTAATAGAGTTGAACCTTTCTATTGACAGAGCAGTTTTGAAACAGTCTTTCTGTGGAATCTGCAAGTGGATATTTGGATAGCTTCGAGGATTTCTTTGGAAACGCGATTACGTATAAAAAGTAGACAGCAGCATCCTCAGAAACTTCTTTGTGATGTGTGCTTTCAAGTCACAGTGTTGAACATTCCCTTTCGTACAGTAGTTTTGAAACACTCTTTCTGTAGTATCTGGAAGTGAACATTAGGACAGCTTTCAGGTCTATGGTGAGAAAGGAAATATCTTCAAATAAAAACTAGACAGAAGCATTTTCATAAACTTGTTTGTGATGTGTGAACTCAGCTAACAGAGGTGGATCTTTCTTTTGATAGAGCAGTTCTGAAAAACACTTATTGTTGAATCTGCAAGTGGACATTTGGATAGATTTGAAGATTTCGTTGGAAACGGGAATATCTTCATATCAAATCTAGACAGAAGCATTCCCAGAAACGTCTTTGTGATGTTTGCATTCAACTCATAGAGTTGAACATTCCGTTTCAGAGAGCAGCTTTGAAGCACTCTTTTTGTAGTATGTGCAAGTGGATATTTGGAGCGCTCTGAGGCCTAAGGTGAAAAAGCAAATATCTTCCCATAACCACTAGACAGAAACATTCTCAGAAACTCCTTTATGACGTATGCACTCACCTAACAGAGAAGAACCTTCCTTTTGACAGAGCAGTTTTGATACACTCTTTTTGTAGAATCTGCAAGTGGATATTTGGATAGCTGTGAAGATTTCGTTGGAAACGGGAATATCTTCCTATAAAATCCAGACAGAAGCATTCTCAGAAACTGCTCTGTGATGTCTGCATTCAAGTCACAGAGTTGAACATTGCCTTTCATAGAGCCGGTTTGAAACGCTCTTTTTGTAGTATATGGAAGTGGATGTTTCGGACGGTTGGAGGCCCATGGTGATAAAGGGAATATCTTACCCAACAAGCTAGAAAGAAGCATTCTGTGAAACTTGTTTGTGATGTGTGTACTCAACTAACACAGTTGAACCTTTCTTTTTACAGAGCAGTTTTGAAACACTCTTTTTGTAGAATCTGCAAGTGGATATTTGGATAGCTGTGAAGGTTTCATTGGAAACGGGAATATCTTCCTATAAAATCTAGACAGAAGCATTCTCAGAAACTTCTTTGTGATATGTGCATTCAAGTCACAGAGTTGAATATTCCCTTTCACAGAGTAGGTTTGAAACACTCTTTTTGTAGTATCTGGAAGTGGACATTTGAAGCGCCTTGACGCCTACGGTGAAAAGGGAAATATCTTCCCATAAAAACTAGACAGAAAGCAATCTCAGAATCTTCTTTGGGATATATGCACGGAGTTAACAGAGTTGAACCTTTCTATTGACAGAGCAGTTTTGAAACAGTCTTTCTGTGGAATCTGCAAGTGGATATTTGGATAGCTTGGAGGTTTTCTTTGGAAACGGGATTACGTATAAAAAGTAGACTGCAGCATCCTCAGAAACTTCTTTGTGATGTGTGCATTCAAGTCACAGAGTTGAACATTCCCTTTCGTACAGCAGTTTTGAAACACTCTTTCTGTAGTATCTGGAAGTGAACATTAGGACAGCTTTCAGGTCTATGGTGAGAAAGGAAATATCTTCAAATATAAACTAGACAGAAGCATTTTCATAAACTTGTTTGTGATGTGTGAACTCAGCTAACAGAGGTGGATCTCTCTTTTGATAGAGCATCAGCTAACAGACGTGGATCTTTCTTTTGATACAGCAGTTTTGAAAAACACTTTTTGTTGAATCTGCAAGTGGACATTTGGATAGATATGAAGATTTCGTTGGAAACGGGAATATCTTCATATCAAATCTAGACAGAAGCATTCTCAGAAACGTCTTTGTGATGTTTGCATTCAACTCATAGAGTTGAACATTCCGTTTCAGAGAGCAGCTTTGAAGCACTCTTTTTGTAGTATGTGCAAGTGGATATTTGGAGCGCTCTGAGTCCTACGGGGAAAAAGCAAATATCTTCCCATAACCACTAGACAGAAACATTCTCAGAAACTCCTTTATGACGTATGTACTCAACTAACAGAGAAGAACCTTCCTTTTGACAGAGCAGTTTGAATACACTCTTTTTGTAGAATCTGCAAGTGGATATTTGGATAGCTGTGAAGATTTCGTTGGAAACGGGAATATCTTCCTATAAAATCTAGACAGAAGCATTCTCAGGAACTGCTCTGCGATGTCTGTATTCAAGTCACAGAGTTGAACATTGCCTTTCATAGAGCAGGTTTGAAACCCTCTTTTTGTAGTATATGGAAGTGGACGTTTCGGACGGTTTGAGGCCCATGGTGATAAAGGGAATATCTTCCCCTACAAGCTAGAAAGAAGCATTCTGTGAAACTTGTTTGTGATGTGTGTACTCAACTAACAGAGTTGAACCTTTCTTTTTACAGAGCAGTTTTGAAACACTCTTTTTGTGGAATCTGCGAGGGGATATTTGGATAGATTTCAGGATTTCGTTGGAAACGGGAATATCTTCATAGAAAATCTCGACAGAAGCATTCTCAGAAACTTCTTTGTGATATGTGCATTCAAGTCACAGAGTTGAATATTCCCTTTCACAGAGTAGGTTTGAAACACTCTTTTTGTAGTATCTGGAAGTGGACATTTGGAGCGCCTTGACACCTACGGTGAAAAGGGAAATATCTTCTCATAAAAAGTAGACAGAAGCAATCTCAGAATCTTCTTTGGGATATATGCACGCAGCTAACAGAGTTGAACCTTTCTATTGACAGAGCAGTTTTGAAACAGTCTTTCTGTGGAATCTGCAAGTGGATATTTGGATAGCTTGGAGGATTTCGTTGGAAACGGGATTGCATATAAAAAGTAGACAGCCAGCATCCTCAGAACTTCTTTGTGATGTGTGCATTCAAGTCACAGAGTTGAACATTCCCTTTCGTACAGCAGTTTTGAAACACTCTTTCTGTAGTATCTGGAAGTGAACATTAGGACAGCTTTCAGGTCTATGGTGAGAAAGGAAATATCTTCAAATAAAAACTAGACAGAGCATTCTCATAAACTTGTTCGTGATGTGTGAACTCAGCTAACACACGTGGATCTTTCTTTTGATAGAGCAGTTCTGACAAACACTTTTTGTTGAATCTGCAAGAGGACATTTGGATAGATTTGAAGATTTCGTTGGAAACGGGAATATCTTCATATCAAATCTAGACAGAAGCATTGTCAGAGACGTCTTTGTGATGTTTGCATTCAACTCATAGAGTTGAACATTCCCTTTCAGAGAGCAGCTTTGAAGCACTCTTTTTGTAGCATGTGCAAGTGGACATTTGGAGCACCCTGAGGCCTACGGTGAAAAAGCAAATATCTTCCCATAACCACTAGACAGAAACATTCTCAGAAACTCCTTTATGACGTATGCACTCACCTAACAGAGAAGAACCTTCCTTTTGACAGAGCAGTTTTGATACACTCTTTTTGTAGAATCTGCAAGTGGATATTTGGATAGCTGTGAAGATTTCGTTGGAAACGGGAATATCTTCCTATAATATCTAGACAGAAAGCATTCTCAGAAACTGCTCTGTGATGTCTGCATTCAAGTCACAGAGTTGAACATTGCCTTTCATAGAGCAGGTTTGAAACGCTCTTTTTGTAGTATATGGAAGTGGACGTTTCGGACGGTTTGAGGCCCATGGTGATAAAGGGAATATCTTCCCCTACAAGCTAGAAAGAAGCATTCTGTGAAACTTGTTTGTGATGTGTGTACGCAACTAACAGAGTTGAACCTTTCTTTTTACAGAGCAGTTTTGAAACACTCTTTTTGTAGAATCTGCGAGGGGATATTTGGATAGATTTCAGGTTTTCGTTGGAAACGGGAATATCTTCATATAAAATCTCGACAGAAGCATTCTCAGAAACTTCTTTGTGATATCTGCATTCCAGTCACAGAGTTGAATATTCTCTTTCACAGAGTAGGTTTGAAACACTCTTTTTATAGTATCTGGAATTGGACATTTGGAGCGCCTTGACGCCTACGGTGAAAAGGGAAATATCTTCCCATAAAAACTAGACAGAAGCAATCTCAGAATCTTCTTTGGGATATATGCACGCAGCTAACAGAGTTGAACCTTTCTATTGACACAGCAGTTTAGAAACAGTCTTTCTGTGGAATCTGCAAGTGGATATTTGGATAGCTTGGAGGATTTCGTTGGAAACGGGATTACGTATAAAAAGTAGACAGCAGCATCCTCAGAAACTTCTTTGTGATGTGTGCATTCAAGTCACAGTGTTGAACATTCCCTTTCGTACAGCAGTTTTGAAACACTCTATCTGTAGTATCTGGAAGTGAACATTAGGACAGCTTTCAGGTCTATGGTGAGAAAGGAAATATCTTCAAATAAAAACTAGACAGAAGCATTCTCATAAACTTGTTTGTGATGTGTGAACTCAGCTAACAGAGGTGGATCTTTCTTTTGATAGAGCAGTTCTGAAAAACACTTTTTGTTGAATCTGCAAGTGGACATTTGGATAGATTTGAAGATTTCGTTGGAAACGGAAATATCTTCATATCAAATCTAGACAGAAGCATTCTCAGAAACGTTCTTTGTGATGTTGGCATTCAACTCATAGAGTTGAACATTCCGTTTCAGAGAGCAGCTTTGAGGCACTCTTTTTGTAGTATGTGCAAGTGGATATTTGGAGCGCTCTGAGGCCTACGGTGAAAAAGCAAATATCTTCCCATAACCACTAGACAGAAACATTCTCAGAAACTTCTTTATGACGTATGCACTCACCTAACAGAGAAGAACCTTCCTTTTGACAGAGCAGTTTTGATACACTCTTTTTGTAGTATCTGCAGGTGGATATTTGGATAGCTGTGAAGATTTCGTTGGAAACGGGAATATCTTCCTATAAAGTCTGGACAGAAGCATTCTCTGAAACTGCTCTGTGATGTCTGCATTCAAGTCACAGAGTTGAACGTTGCCTTTCATAGAGCAGGTTTCAAACCCTCTTTTTTTAGTATATGGAAGTGGACGTTTCAGACTGTTTGAGGACCATGGTGATAAAGGAAATATCTTCCCCTACAAGCTAGAAAGAAGCATTCTGTGAAACTTGTTTGTGATGTGTGTACTCAACTTACAGAGTTGAACCTTTCTTTTTACAGAGCAGTTTTGAAACACTCTTTTTGTAGAATCTGCGAGGGGTTATTTGGATAGATTTCAGGATTTCGTTGGAAACGGGAATATCTTCATATAAAATCTCGACAGAAGCATTCTCAGAAACTTCTTTGTGATATGTGCATTCAAGTCACAGAGTTGAATATTCCCTTTCACAGAGTAGGTTTGAAACACTCTTTTTGTAGTATCTGGAAGTGGACATTTTGAGCGCCTTGACGCCTACGGTGAAAAGGGAAATATCTTCTCATAAAAAGTAGACAGAAGCAATCTCAGAATCTTCTTTGGGATATATGCACGCAGCTAACAGAGTTGAACCTTTCTATTGAGAGAGCAGTTTTGAAACAGTCTTTCTGTGGAATCTGCAAGTGGATATTTGGATAGCTTGGAGGATTTCGTTGGAAACGGGATTACGTATAAAAAGTAGACAGCAGCATCCTCAGAAACTTCCTTGTGGTGTGTGCATTCAAGTCACAGAGTTGAACATTCCCTTTCTTACAGCAGTTTTGAAACACTCTTTCTGTAGTATCTGGAAGTGAACATTAGGACAGCTTTCAGGTCTATGGTGAGAAAGGAAATATCTTCAAATAAAAACTAGACAGAAGCATTCTCATAAACTTGTTTGTGATGTGTGAACTCAGCTAACAGAGGTGGATCTTTCTTTTGATAGAGCAGTTCTGAAAAACACTTTTTGTTGAATCTGCAAGTGGACATTTGGATAGATTTGAAGATTTCGTTGGAAACGGGAATATCTTCATAACAATTCTAGACAGAAGCATTCTCAGAAACGTCTTTGTGATGTTTGCATTCAACTCATAGAGTTGAACATTCCGTTTCAGAGAGCAGCTTTGAATCACTCTTTTTGTAGTATGTGCAAGTGTATATTTGGAGCGCTCTGAGGCCTAAGGTGAAAAAGCAAATATCTTCCCATAACCACTAGACAGAAACATTCTCAGAAACTCCTTTATGACGTATGCACTCACCTAACAGAGAAGAAACCTTCCTTTTGACAGAGCACTTTTGATACACTCTTTTTGTAGAATCTGAAAGTGGATATTTGGATAGCTGTGAAGATTTCGTTGGAAACGGGAATATCTTCCTATAAATTCTAGACAGAAGCATTCTCAGAAACTGCTCTGTGATGTCTGCGTTCAAGTCACAGAGTTGAACATTGCCTTTCATGGAGCAGGTTTGAAACGC
The DNA here is from genome assembly GCF_000001405.40 of Homo sapiens. Lineage (NCBI taxonomy): Eukaryota > Metazoa > Chordata > Mammalia > Primates > Hominidae > Homo > Homo sapiens. The sequence continues at coordinate 11,624,565 of NC_000021.9, forward strand.
TCTTTTTGTAGTATATGGAAATGGACGTTTCGGACGGTTTGAGGCCCATGGTGATAAAGGGAATATCTTCCCCTACAAGCTAGAAAGAAGCATTCTGTGAAACTTGTTTGTGATGTGTGTACTCAACTAACAGAGTTGAACCTTTCTTTTTACAGAGCAGTTTTGAAACTCTCTTTTTGTAGAATCTACGAGGGGATATTTGGATAGATTTCAGGATTTCGTTGGAAACGGGAATATCTTCATATAAAATCTCGACAGATGCATTCTCAGAAACTTCTTTGTGATATGTGCATACTAGTCACAGAGTTGAATATTCCCTTTCACAGAGTAGGTTTGAAACACTCTTTTTGTAGTATCTGGAAGTGGACATTTGGAGCGCCTTAACGCCTACGGTGAAAAGGGAAATATCTTCCCATAAAAACTAGACAGAAGCAATCTCAGAATCGTCTTTGGGATATATGCACGCAGCTAACAGAGTTGAACCTTTCTATTGACATAGTAGTTTTGAAACAGTCTTTCTGTGGAATCTGCAAGTGGATATTTGGATAGCTTGGAGGATTTCGTTGGAAACGGGATTACGTATAAAAAGTAGACAGCAGCATCCTCAGAAACATCCTTGTGATGTGTGCATTCAAGTCACAGAGTTGAACATTCCCTTTCGTACAGCAGTTTTGAAACACTCTTTCTGTAGTATCTGGAAGTGAACTTTAGGAGAGCTTTCAGGTCTATAGTGAGAAAGGATATATACTTCAAATAAAAACTAGACAGAAGCATTTTCATAAACTTGTTTGTGATGTGTGAACTCAGCTAACAGAGGTGGATCTTTCTTTTGATAGAGCAGTTCTGAAAAACACTTTTTGTTGAATCTGCAAGTGGACATTTGGATAGATTTGAAGATTTCGTTGGGAACGGGAATATCTTCATATCAAATCTAGACAGAAGCATTGTCAGAAACGTCTTTGTGATGTTTGCATTCAACTCATAGAGTTGAACATTCCGTTTCAGAGAGCAGCTTTGAAGCACTCTTTTTGTAGTATGTGCAAGTGGATATTTGGAGCGCTCTGAGGCCTAAGGTGAAAAAGCAAATATCTTCCCATAACCACTAGACAGAAACATTCTCAGAAACTCCTTTATGACGTATGCACTCACCTAACAGAGAAGAACCTTCCTTTTGACAGAGCAGTTTTGATACACTCTTTTTGTAGAATCTGCAAGTGGATATTTGGATAGCTGTGAAGATTTCGTGGGAATCGGGAATATCTTCCTATAATATCTAGACAGAAGCATTCTCAGAAACTGCTCTTTGATGTCTGCATTCAAGTCACAGAGTTGAACATTGCCTTTCATAGAGCAGGTTTGAAACACTCTTTTTGTAGTATATGGAAGTGGACGTTTCGGACGGTTTGAGGCCCATGGTGATAAAGGGAATATCTTCCCCTACAAGCTAGAAAGAAGCATTCTGTGAAACTTGTTTGTGATGTGTGTACTCAACTAACAGAGTTGAACCTTTCTTTTTACAGAGCAGTTTTGAAACAGTCTTTTTGTAGAATCTGCGAGGGGATATTTGGATAGATTTCAGGATTTCGTTGGAAACGGGAATATCTTCATATAAAATCTCGACAGAAGCATTCTCAGAAGCTTCTTTGTGATATGTGCATTCAAGTCACAGAGTTCAATATTCCCTTTCACAGAGTAGGTTTGAAACACTCTTTTTGTAGTATCTGGAAGTGGACATTTGGAGCGCCTTGACGCCTACGGTGAAAAGGGAAATATCTTCTCATAAAAAGTAGACAGCAGCAATCTCAGAATCTTCTTTGGGATATATGCACGGAGTTAACAGAGTTGAACCTTTCTATTGACAGAGCAGTTTTGAAACAGTCTTTCTGTGGAATCTGCAAGTGGATATTTGGATAGCTTGGAGGTTTTCTTTGGAAACGGGATTACGTATAAAAAGTAGACTGCAGCATCCTCAGCAAACTTCTTTGTGATGTGTGCATTCAAGTCACAGAGTTGAACATTCCCTTTCGTACAGCAGTTTTGAAACACTCTTTCTGTAGTATCTGGAAGTGAACATTAGGACAGCTTTCAGGTCTATGGTGAGAAAGGAAATATCTTCAAATAAAAACTAGACGGAAGCATTCTCATAAACTTGTTTGTGATGTGTGAACTCAGCTAACAGAGGATGGATCTTTCTTTTGATAGAGCAGTTCTGAAAAACACTTTTTGTTGAATCTGCAAGTGGACATTTGGATAGATTTGAAGATTTCGTTGGAAACGGGAATATCTTCATATCAAATCTAGGCAAGAAGCATTCTCGGAAACGTCTTTGTGATGTTTGCATTCAACTCATAGAGTTGAACATTCCGTTTCAGAGAGCAGCTTTGAGGCACTCATTTTGTAGTATGTGCAAGTGGATATTTGGAGCGCTCTGAGGCCTTCGGTGAAAAAGCAAATATCTTCCCATAACCACTAGACGGAAACATTCTCAGAAACTCCTTTATGACGTATGTACTCAACTAACAGAGAAGAACCTTCCTTTTGACAGAGCAGATTTGATACACTCTTTTTGTAGAATCTGCAAGCGGATATTTGGATAGCTGTGAAGATCTCGTTGGAAACGGGAATATCTTCCTATAAAATCTAGACAGAAGCATTCTCAGAAACTGCTCTGTGATGTCTGCATTCAAGTCACAGAGTTGAACATTGCCTTTCCTAGAGCAGGTTTGAAACGCTCTCTTTGTAGTATATGGAAGTGGACGTTTCGGACGGTTTGAGGCCCATGGTGATAAAGGGAATATCTTCCCCTACAAGCTAGAAAGAAGCATTCTGTGAAACTTGTTTGTGATGTGTGTACTCAACTAACAGAGTTGAACCTTTCTTTTCACAGAGCAGTTTTGAAACACTCTTTTTGTAGAATCTGCGAGGGGATATTTGGATACATTTCAGCATTTCGTTGGAAACGGGAATATCTTCATATAAAATCTCGACAGAAGCATTCTCAGAAACTTCTTTGTGATATGTGCATTGAAGTCACAGAGTTGAATATTCCCTTTCACAGAGTAGGTTTGAAACACTCTTTTTGTAGTATCTGGAAGTGGACATTTGGAGCGCCTTGACACCTACGGTGAAAAGGGAAATATCTTCCCATAAAAACTAGACAGAAGCAATCTCAGAATTTTCTTTGGGATATATGCACACAGCTAACAGAGTTGAACTTTTCTATTGACATAGCAGTTTTGAAACAGTCTTTCTGTGGAATATGCAAGTGGATATTTGGATAGCTTGGAGGATTTCGTTGGAAACGGGATTACGTATAAAAAGTAGACAGCAGCATCCTCAGAAACTTCTTTGTGATGTGTGCATTCAAGTCACAGAGTTGAATATTCCCTTTCGTACAGCAGTTTTGAAACACTCTTTCTGTAGCATCTGGAAGTGAACATTAGGACAGCTTTCAGGTCTATGGTGAGAATGGAAATATCTTCAAATAAAAACTAGACAGAAGAATACTGATAAACTTGTTTGTGAAGTGTGAACTCAGCTAACACAGGTGGATCTTTCTTTTGATACAGCAGTTTTGAAAAACATTTTGTTGAATCTGCAAGTGGACATTTGGATAGATTTGAAGATTTCGTTGGAAACGGGAATATCTTCATATCAAATCTAGACAGAAGCATTCTCAGAAACGTCTTTGTGATGCTTGCATTCAACTCATAGAGTTGAACATTCCCTTCCAGAGAGCAGCTTTGAAGCACTCTTTTTATAGTATGTGCAAGGGGATATTTGGAGCGCTCTGAGGCCTAAGGTGAAAAAGCAAATATCTTCCCATAACCACTAGACAGAAACATTCTCAGAAACTCCTTTATGACGTATGCACTCACCTATCAGAGAAGAACCTTCCTTTTGACAGAGCAGTTTTGATACACTCTTTTTGTAGAATCTGCAAGTGGATATTTGGATATCTGTGAAGATTTCGTTGGAAACGGGAATATCTTCCTATAAAATCTAGACAGAAGCATTCTCAGAAACTGCTCTGTGATGTCTGCATTCAAGTCACAGAGTTGAATATTGCTTTTCATAGAGCAGGTTTGAAACGCTCTTTTTGTAGTATATGGAAGTAGACGTTTCGGACGGTTTGAGGCCCATGGTGATAAAGGGAATATCTTCCCCTACAAGCTAGAAAGAAGCATTCTGTGAAACTTGTTTGTGATGTGTGTACTCAACTAACAGAGTTGAACCTTTCTTTTTACAGAGCAGTTTTGAAACACTCTTTTTGTAGAATCTGCGAGGGGATATTTGGATAGGTTTCAGGATTTCGTTGGAAACGGGAATATCTTCATATAAAATCTCGACAGAAGCATTCTCAGAAACTTCTTTGTGATATGTGCATTCAAGTCACAGAGTTGAATATTCCCTTTCACAGTGTAGGTTTGAAACACTCTTTTTGTAGTATCTGGAAGTGGACATTTGGAGCGCCTTGACGCCTACGGTGAAAAGGGAAATATCTTCCCATAAAAACTAGACAGAAGCAATCTCAGAATTTTCTTTGGGATATATGCACACAGCTAACAGAGTTGAACTTTTCTATTGACATAGCAGTTTTGAAACAGTCTTTCTGTGGAATCTGCAAGTGGATATTTGGATAGCTTGGAGGATTTCGTTGGAAACAGGATTACGTATAAAAAGTAGACAGCAGCATCCTCAGAAACTTCTTTGTGATGTGTGCATTCAAGTCACAGAGTTGAACATTCCCTTTCGTACAGCAGTTTTGAAACACTCTTTCTGTAGTATCTGGAAGTGAACATTAGGACAGCTTTCAGGTCTATGGTGAGAAACGAAATATCTTCAAATAAAAACTAGACAGAAGCATTCTCATAAACTTGTTTGTGATGTGTGAACTCAGCTAACAGAGGTGGATCTTTCTTTTGATAGAGCAGTTCTGAAAAACACTTTTGTTGAATATGCAAGTGGACATTTGGATAGATTTGAAGATTTCGTTGGAAACGGGAATATCTTCATATCAAATCTAGACAGAAGCATTCTCGGAAACGTCTTTGTGATGTTTGCATTCAACTCATAGAGTTGAACATTCCGTTTCAGAGAGCAGCTTTGAAGCACTCTTTTTGTAGTATGTGCAAGTGGATATTTGGAGCGCTCTGAGGCCTACGGTGAAAAAGCAAATATCTTCCCATAACCACTACACAGAAACATTCTCAGAAACTCCTTTTATGACGTATGCACTCACCTAACAGAGAAGAACCTTCCTTTTGACAGAGCAGTTTTGATACACTCTTTTTGTAGAATCTGCAAGTGGATATTTGGATAGCTGTGAAGATTTCGTTGGAAACGGGAATATCTTCCTATAAAATCTATACAGAAGCATTCTCAGAAACTGCTCTGTGATGTCTGCATTCAAGTCACAGAGTTGAACATTGCCTTTCATAGAGCAGGTTTGAAACGCTCTTTTTGTAGTATATGGAAGTGGACGTTTCGGACGGTTTGAAGCCCATGGTGATAAAGGGAATATCTTCCCCTACAAGCTAGAAAGAAGCATTCTGTGAAACTTGTTTGTGATGTGTGTACTCAACTAACAGAGTTGAACCTTTCTTTTTACAGAGCAGTGTTGAAACACTCTTTTTGTAGAATCTGCGAGGGGATATTTGGATAGATTTCAGGATTTCGTTGGAAACGGGAATATCTTCATATAAAATCTCGACAGAAGCATTCTCAGAAGCTTCTTTGTGATATGTGCATTCAAGTCACAGAGTTCAATATTCCCTTTCACAGAGTAGGTTTGAAACACTCTTTTTGTAGTATCTGGAAGTGGACATTTGGAGCACCTTGACGCCTACGGTGAAAAGGGAAATATCTTCTCATAAAAAGTAGACAGAAGCAATCTCAGAATCTTCTTTGGGATATTTGCACGCAGCTAACAGAGTTGAACCTTTCTATTGACAGAGCAGTTTTGAAACAGTCTTTCTGTGGAATCTGCAAGTGGATATTTGGATAGCTTGGAGGATTTCGTTGGAAACGGGATTACGCATAAAAAGTAGACAGCAGCATCCTCAGAAACTTCTTTGTGATGTGTGCATTCAAGTCACAGAGTTGAACATTCCCTTTCGTACAGCAGTTTTGAAACTCTCTTTCTGTAGTATCTGGAAGTGAACATTAGGACAGCTTTCACGTCTATGGTGAGAAAGGAAATATCTTCAAATAAAAACTAGACAGAAGCATTCTCATAAACTTGTTTGTGATGTGTGAACTCAGCTAACAGAGGTGGATCTTTCTTTTGATAGAGCAGTTTTGAAAAACACTTTTTGTTGAATCTGCAAGTGGACATTTGGATAGATTTGAAGATTTCGTTGGAAACGGGAATATCTTCATATCAAATCTAGACAGAAGCATTCTCAGAAACGTCTTTGTGATGTTTGCATTCAACTCATAGAGTTGAACATTCCGTTTCAGAGAGCAGCTTTGAAGCACTCTTTTTGTAGTATGTGCAAGTGGATATTTGGAGCGCTCTGAGGCCTACGGTGAAAAAGCAAGTATCTTCCCATAACCACTAGACAGAAACATTCTCAGAAACTCCTTTATGACGTATGCACTCACCTAACAGAGAAGAACCTTCCTTTTGACAGAGCAGTTTTGATACACTCTTTTTGTAGAATCTGCAAGTGGATATTTGGATAGCTGTGAAGATTTCGTTGGAAACGGGAATATCCTCCTATAAAATCTAGACAGAAGCATTCTCAGAAACTGCTCTGTGATGTCTGCATTCAAATCACAGAGTTGAACATTGCCTTTCCTAGAGCAGGTTTGAAACGCTCTTTTTGTAGTATATGGAAGTGGACGTTTCGGACGGTTTGAGGCCCATGGTGATAAAGGGAATATCTTCCCCTAGCAGCTAGAAAGAAGCATTCTGAGGAAACTTGTTTGTGATGTGTGTACTCAACTAACAGAGTTGAACCTTTCTTTTTGCAGAGCAGTTTTGAAACACTCTTTTTGTAGAATCTGCGAGGGGATATTTGGATAGATTTCAGGATTTCGTTGGAAACGGGAATATCTTCATATAAAATCTCGACAGAAGCATTCTCAGAAACTTCCTTGTGATATGTGCATTCAAGTCACAGAGTTGAATATTCCCTTTCACAGAGTAGGTTTGAAACACTCTTTTTGTAGTATCTGGAAGTGGACATTTGGAGCGCCTTGACGCCCACGGTGAAAAGGGAAATATCTTCCAATAAAAACTAGACAGAAGCAATCTCAGAATCTTCTTTGGGATATATGCACGCAGCTAACAGAGTTGAACCTTTCTATTGACAGAGCAGTTTTGAAACAGTCTTTCTGTGGAATCTGCAAGTGGATATTTGGATAGCTTGGAGGACTTCGTTGGAAACGGGATTAAGTATAAAAAGTAGACAGCAGCATCCTCAGAAACTTCTTTGTGATGTGTGCATTCAAGTCACAGAGTTGAACATTCTCTTTCGTACAGCAGTTTTGAAATGCTCTTTCTGTAGTATCTGGAAGTGAACATTAGGACAGCTTTCAGGTCTATGGTGAGAAAGGAAATATCTTCAAATAAAAACTAGACAGAAAGCATTCTCATAAACTTGTTTGTGATGTGTGAACTCAGCTAACAGAGGTGGATCTTTCTTTTGATAGAGCAGTTCTGAAAAACACTTTTTGTTGAAACTGCAAGTGGACATTTGGATAGATTTGAAGATTTCGTTGGAAACGGGAATATCTTCATATCAAATCTAGACAGAAGCATTCTCAGAAACGTCTTTGTGATGTTTGCATTCAACTCATAGAGTTGAACATTCCGTTTCAGAGAGCAGCTTTGAAGCACTCTTTTTGTAGTATGTGCAAGTGGATATTTGGAGCGCTCTGAGGCCTACGGTGAAAAAGCAAATATCTTCCCATAACCAGTAGACAGAAACATTCTCAGAAACTCCTTTATGACGTATGCACTCACCTAACAGAGAAGAACCTTCCTTTTGACAGAGCACTTTTGATACACTCTTTTTGTAGAATCTGCAAGTGGATATTTAGATAGCTGTGAAGATTTCGTTGGAAACGGGAATATCTTCCTATAAAATCTAGACAGAAGCATTCTCAGAAACTGCTCTGTGATGTCTGCATTCAATTCACAGAGTTGAACATTGCCTTTCCTAGAGCAGGTTTGAAATGCTCTTTTTGTAGTATATGGAAGTGGACGTTTCGGACGGTTTGAGGCCCATGGTGATAAAGGGAATATCTTCCCCTACAAGCTAGAAAGAAGCATTCTGTGAAACTTGTTTGTGATGTGTGTACTCAACTAACAGAGTTGAACCTTTCTTTTTACAGAGCAGTTTTGAAACACTCTTTTTGTAGAATCTGCGATGGGTTATTTGGATACATTTCAGCATTTCGTTGGAAACGGGAATATCTTCATATAAAATCTCGACAGAAGCATTCTCAGAAACTTCTTTGTGATATGTGCATTCAAGTCACAGAGTTGAATATTCCCTTTCACAGAGTAGGTTTGAAACACTCTTTTTGTAGTATCTGGAAGTGGACATTTGGAGCGCCTTGACGCCTACAGTGAAAAGGGAAATATCTTCCCATAAAAACTAGACAGAAGCAATCTCAGAATTTTCTTTGGGATATATGCACACAGCTAACAGTAGTTGAACTTTTCTATTGACATAGCAGTTTTGAAACAGTCTTTCTGTGGAATCTGCAAGTGGATATTTGGATAGCTTGGAGGATTTCGTTGGAAACGGGATTACGTATAAAAATTAGACAGCAGCATCCTCAGAAACTTCTTTGTGATGTGTGCATTCAAGTCACAGAGTTGAACATTCCCTTTCGTACAGCAGTTTTGAAACACTCTTTCTGTAGTAACTGGAAGTGAACATTAGGACAGCTTTCAGGTCTATGGTGAGAAAGGAAATATCTTCAAATAAAAACTAGACGGAAGCATTCTCATAAACTTGTTTGTGATGTGTGAACTCAACTAACACACGTGGATCTTTCTTTTGATAGAGCAGTTCTGAAAAACACTTTTTGTTGAATCTGCAAGTGGACATTTGGATAGATTTGAAGATTTCGTTGGAAACGGGAATATCTTCATATCAAATCTAGACAGAAGCATTCTCAGAAACGTCTTTGTGATGTTTGCATTCAACTCATAGAGTTGAACATTCCCTTTCAGAGAGCAGCTTTGAAGCACTCTTTTTGTAGCATGTGCAAGTGGACATTTGGAGCGCCCTGAGGCCTACGGGGAAAAAGCAAATATCTTCCCATAACCACTAGACAGGAAACATTCTGAGAAACTCCTCTATGACGTATGCACTCACCTAACAGAGAAGAACCTTCCTTTTGACAGAGCATTTTTGATACACTCTTTTTGTAGAATCTGCAAGTGGATATTTGGATAGCTGTGAAGATTTCGTTGGAAACGGGAATATCTTCCTATAAAATCTAGACAGAAGCATTCTCAGAAACTGCTCTGTGATGTCTCCGTTCAAGTCACAGAGTTGAACATTGCCTTTCATGGAGCAGGTTTGAAACGCTCTTTTTGTAGTATATGGAAATGGACGTTTCGGACGGTTTGAGGCCCATGGTGATAAAGGGAATATCTTCCCCTACAAGCTAGAAAGAAGCATTCTGTGAAACTTGTTTGTGATGTGTGTACTCAACTAACAGAGTTGAACCTTTCTTTTTACAGAGCAGTTTTGAAACTCTCTTTTTGTAGAATCTGCGAGGGGATATTTGGATAGATTTCAGGATTTCGATGGAAACGGGAATATCTTCATATAAAATCTCGACAGAAGCATTCTCAGAAACTTCTTTGTGATATGTGTATTCAAGTCACAGGGTTGAATACTCCCTTTCACAGAGTAGGTTTGAAACACTCTTTTTGTAGTATCTGGAAGTGGACATTTGGAGCGCCTTGACGCCTACGGTGAAAAGGGAAATATCTTCCCATAAAAACTAGACAGAAGCAATCTCAGAATCTTCTTTGGGATATATGCACGCAGCTAACAGAGTTGAACCTTTCTATTGACAGAGCAGTTTTGAAACAGTCTTTCTGTGGAATCTGCAAGTGGATATTTGGATAGCTTGGAGGATTTCGTTGGAAACGGGATTACGTACAAAAAGTAGACAGCAGCATCCTCAGAAACTTCTTTGTGATGTGTGCATTCAAGCCACAGAGTTGAACATTCCCTTTCGTACAGCAGTTTTGAAACACTCTTTCTGTAGTATCTGGAAGTGAACATTAGGACAGCTTTCAGGTCTATGGTGAGAAAGGAAATATCTTCAAATAAAAACTAGACAGAAGCATTCTCATAAACTTGTTTGTGATGTGTGAACTCAGCTAACAGAGGTGGATCTTTCTTTTGATAGAGCAGTTCTGAAAAACACTTTTTGTTGAATCTGCAAGTGGACATTTGGATAGATTTGAAGATTTCGTTGGAAACGGGAATATCTTCATAACAAATCTAGACAGAAGCATTCTCAGAAACGTCTTTGTGATGTTTGCATTCAACTCATAGAGTTGAACATTCCGTTTCAGAGAGCAGCTTTGAAGCACTCTTTTTGTAGTATGTGCAAGTGGATATTTGGAGCGCTCTGAGGCCTACGGTGAGAAAGCAAATATCTTCCCATAACCACTAGACGGAAACATTCTCAGAAACTCCTTTATGACGTATGCACTCACCTAACAGAGAAGAACCTTCCTTTTGACAGAGCAGTTTTGATACACTCTTTTTGTAGAATCTGCAAGTGGATATTTGGATAGCTGTGAAGATTTTGCTGGAAACGGGAATATCTTCCTATAAAATCTAGACAGAAGCATTCTCAGAAACTGCTCTGTGATGTCTGCATTCAAGTCACAGAGTTGAACATTGCCTTTCATAGAGCAGGTTTGAAACGCTCTTTTTGTAGTATATGGAAGTGGACGTTTCGGATGGTTTGAGGCCCATGGTGATAAAGGGAATATCTTCCCCTACAAGCTAGAAAGAAGCATTCTGTGAAACTTGTTTGTGATGTGTGTACTCAACTAACAGAGTTGGACCTTTCTTTTTACAGAGCAGTTTTGAAACACTCTTTTTGTAGAATCTGTGAGGGGATATTTGGATAGGTTTCAGGATTTCGTTGGAAACGAGAATATCTTCATATAAAATCTCGACAGAAGCATTCTCAGGAAACTTCTTTGTGATATCTGCCTTCAAGTCACAGAGTTGAATATTCCCTTTCACAGAGTAGGTTTGAAACACTCTTTTTGTAGTATCTGGAAGTGGACATTTGGAACGCCTTGGCGCCTACGGTGAAAAGGTAAATATCTTCCCATAAAAACTAGACAGAAAGCAATCTCAGAATCTTCTTTGGGATATATGCACGCAGCTAACAGAGTTGAACCTTTCTATTGACTGAGCAGATTTGAAACAGTCTTTCTGTGGAATCTGCAAGTGGATATTTGGATAGCTTGGAGGATTTCGTTGGAAACGGGATTACGTATAAAAAGTAGACAGCAGCATCCTCAGAAACTTCTTTGTGATGTGTGCATTCAAGTCACAGAGTTGAACATTCCATTTCGTACAGCAGTTTTGAAACACTCTTTCTGTAGTATCTGGAAGTGAACATTAGGACAGCTTTCAGGTCTATGGTGAGAAAGGAAATATCTTCAAATAAAAACTAGACAGAAGCATTCTGATAAACTTGTTTGTGAAGTGTGAACTCAGCTAACAGGTGGATCTTTCTTTCGAAACAGCAGTTTTGAAAAACACTTTTTGTTGAATCTGCAAGTGGACATTTGAATAGATTTGAAGATTTCGTTGGAAACAGGAATATCTTTATATGAAATCTAGACAGAAGCATTCTCAGAAACGTCTTTGTGATGTTTGCATTCAACTCATAGAGTTGAAGATTCCCTTTCAGAGAGCAGCTTTGAAGCACTCTTTTTGTAGTATGTGCAAGGGGATATTTGGAGCGCTCTGAGGCCTAAGGTGAAAAAGCAAATATCTTCCCATAACCACTAGACAGAAACATTCTCAGAAACTCCTTTATGACGTATGTACTCAACTAACAGAGAAGAACCTTCCTTTTGAAAGAGCAGTTTTGATACACTCTTTTTGTACAATCTGCAAGTGGATATTTGGATAGCTGTGAAGATTTCGATGGAAACGGGAATATCTTCCTATAAAATCTAGACAGAAGCATTCTCAGAAACTGCTCTGTGATGTCTGCATTCAAGTCACAGAGTTGAACATTGCTTTTCCTAGAGCAGGTTTGAAACGCTCTTTTTGTAGTATATGGAAGTGGACGTTTCGGACGGTTTGAGGCCCATGGTGTTAAAGGGAATATCTTTCCCTACAAGCTAGAAAGAAGCATTCTGTGAAACTTGTTTGTGATGTGTGTACTCAACTAACAGAGTTGAACCTTTCCTTTTACAGAGCAGTTTTGAAACACTCTTTTTGTAGAATCTGCGAGGGGATATTTGGATAGATTTCAGGATTTCGTTGGAAACGGGAATATCTTCATATAAAATCTCGACAGAAGCATTCTCAGAAACTTCTTTGTGATATCTGCATTCAAGTCACAGAGTTGAATATTCCCTTTCACAGAGTAGGTTTGAAACACTCTTTTTGTAGTATCTGGAAGTGGATATTTGGAGCGCCTTGACACCTACGGTGAAAAGGGAAATATCTTCCCATAAAAACTAGACAGAAGCAATCTCAGAATCTTCTTTGGGATATATGCACGCAGCTAATAGAGTTGAACCTTTCTATTGACAGAGCAGTTTTGAAACAGTCTTTCTGTGGAATCTGCAAGTGGATATTTGGATAGCTTCGAGGATTTCTTTGGAAACGGGATTACGTATAAAAAGTAGACAGCAGCATCCTCAGAAACTTCTTTGTGATGTGTGCATTCAAGTCACAGAGATGAACATTCCCTTTCGTACAGCAGTTTTGAAACACTCTTTCTGTAGTATCTGGAAGTGAACATTAGGACAGCTTTCAGGTCTATGGTGAGAAAGGAAATATCTTCAAATAAAAACTAGACAGAAGCATTCTCATAAACTTGTTTGTGATGTGTGAACTCAGCTAACAGAGGTGGATCTTTCTTTTGATAGAGCAGTTCTGAAAAACACTTTTTGTTGAATCTGCAAGTGGACATTTGGATAGATTTGAAGGTTTCGTTGGAAACGGGAATATCTTCATATCAAGTCTAGACAGAAGCATTCTCAGAAACGTCTTTGTGATGTATGCATTCAACTCATAGAGTTGAACATTCCCTTTCAGAGAGCAGCTTTGAAGCACTCTTTTTGTAGTATGTGCAAGTGGACATTTGGAGCGCTTTGAGGCCTACGGGGAAAAAGCAAATATCTTCCCATAACCACTAGACAGAAACATTCTCAGAAACTCCGTTATGACGTATGCACTCACCTAACAGAGAAGAACCTACCTTTTGACTGAGCAGTTTTGATACACTCTTTTTGCAGAATCTGCAAGTGGATATTTGGATAGCTGTGAAGATTTCGTTGGAAACGGGAATATCTTCCTATAAAATCTAGACAGAAGCATTCTCAGAAACTGCTCTGTGATGTCTGCATTCAAGTCACAGAGTTGAACATTGCCTTTCATAGAGCAGGTTTGAAACGCTCTTTTTGTAGTATATGGAAGTGGACGTTTCGGACGGTTTGAGGCCCACGGTGATAAAGGGAATATCTTCCCCTACAAGCTAGAAAGAAGCATTCTGTGAAACTTGTTTGTGATGTGTGTACTCAACTAACAGAGTTGAACCTTTCTTTTCACAGAGCAGTTTTGAAACACTCTTTTTGTAGAATCTGCGAGGGGATATTTGGATAGATTTCTGGATTTCGTTGGAAACGGGAATATCTTCATATAAAATCTCGACAGAAGCATTCTGAGAAGCTTCTTTGTGATATGTGCATTCAAGTCACAGAGTTGAATATTCCCTTTCACAGAGTAGGTTTGAAACACTCTTTTTGTAGTATCTGGAAGTGGACATTTTGAGCACCTTGACGCCTACGGTGAAAAGGGAAATATCTTCTCATAAAAAGTAGACAGAAGCAATCTCAGAATCTTCTTTGGGATATATGCACGCAGCTAACAGAGTTGAACCTTTGTATTGACAGAGCAGTTTTGAAACAGTCTTTCTGTGGAATCTGGAAGTGGATATTTGGATAGCTTGGAGGATTTCGTTGGAAACGGGATTAAGTATAAAAAGTAGACAGCAGCATCCTCAGAAACTTCTTTGTGATGTGTGCATTCAAGTCACAGAGTTGAACATTCCCTTTCGTACCGCAGTTTTGAAACACTCTTTCTGTATTATCTGGAAGTGAACATTAGGACAGCTTTCAGGTCTATGGTGAGAAAGGAAATATCTTCAAATAAAAACTAGACAGAAGCATTCTCATAAACTTGTTTGTGATGTGTGAACTCAGCTAACAGAGGTGGATCTTTCTTTTGATAGAGCAGTTCTGAAAAACACTTTTTGTTGAATCTGCAAGTGGACATTTGGATAGATTTTAAGATTTCGTTGGAAACGGGAATATCTTCATATCAAATCTAGACAGAAGCATTCTCAGAAACGTCTTTGTGATGTTTGCATTCAACTCATAGAGTTGAACATTCCGTTTCAGAGGGCAGCTTTGAAGCACTCTTTTTGTAGTATGTGCAAGTGGATATTTGGAGCGCTGTGAGGTCTACGGTGAAAAAGCAAATATCTTCCCATAACCACTAGACTGAAACATTCTCAGAAACTCCTTTATGACGTATGTACTCAACTAACAGAGAAGAACCTTCTTTTTGACAGAACAGTTTTGATACACTCTTTTTGTAGAATCTCCAAGTGGATATTTGGATAGCTGTGAAGATTTCGTTGGAAACGGGAATATCTTCCTATAAAATCTAGACAGAAGCATTCTCAGAAACTGCTCTGTGATGTCTGCATTCAAGTCACAGAGTTGAACGGTTGCCTTTCATAGAGCAGGTTTGAAACGCTCTTTTTGTAGTATATGGAAGTGGACTTATCGGACGGTTTGAGGCCCATGGTGATAAAGGGAATATCTTCCCCTACAAGCTAGAAAGAAGCATTGTGTGAAACTTGTTTGTGATGTGTGTACTCAACTAACAGAGTTGAACCTTTCTTTTCACAGAGCAGTATTGAAACACTCTTTTTGTAGAATCTGCGAGGGGATATTTGGATAGATTTCAGCATTTCGTTGGAAACGGGAATATCTTCATATAAAATCTCGACAGAAGCATTCTCAGAAACTTCTTTGTGATATGTGCATTCAAGTCACAGAGTTGAATATTCCCTTTCACAGAGTAGGTTTGAAACACTCTTTTTGTAGTATCTGGAAGTGGACATTTGGAGCGCCTTGACACCTACGGTGAAAAGGGAAATATTTCCCATAAAAACTAGACAGAAGCAATCTCAGAATCTTCTTTGGGATACATGCACGCAGCTAACAGAGTTGAACCTTTCTATTGACAGAGCAGTTTTGAAACAGTCTTTCTGTGTAATCTGCAAGTGGATATTTGGATAGCTTGGAGGATTTCGTTGGAAACGGGATTACGTATAAAAAGTAGACAGCAGCATCCTCAGAAACTTCTTTGTGATGTGTGCATTCAAGTCACAGAGTTCAACATTCCCTTTCGTACAGCAGTTTTGAAACACTCTTTCTGTAGTATCTGGAAGTGAACATTAGGACAGCTTTCAGGTCTATGGTGAGAAAGGAAATATCTTCAAATAAAAACTAGACAGAAAGCATTCTGATAAACTTGTTTGTGAAGTGTGATCTCAGCTAACAGAGGTGGATCTTTCTTTTGATAGAGCAGTTCTGAAAAACACTTTTTGTTGAATCTGCAAGTGGACATTTGGATAGATTTGAAGATTTCGTTGGAAACGGGAATATCTTCATATCAAATCTAGACAGAAGCATTCTCAGAAACGTCTTTGTCATGTTTGCATTCAACTCATAGAGTTGAACATTCCCTTTCAGAGAGCAGCTTTGGAACACTCTTTTTGTAGTATGTGCAAGTGGATATTTGGAGCGCTCTGAGGCCTACGGTGAAAAAGAAAATATCTTCCCATAACCACTAGACAGAAACATTCTCAGAAACTCCTTTATGACGTATGCACTCACCTAACAGAGAAGAACCTTCCTTTTGACAGAGCAGTTTTGATACACTCTTTTTGCAGAATCTGCAACTGGATATTTGGATAGCTGTGAAGATTTCGTTGGAAACGGGAATATCTTCCTATAAAATCTAGACAGAAGCATTCTCAGAAACTGCTCTGTGATGTCTGCATTCAAGTCACAGAGTTGAACATTGCCTTTCATAGAGCAGGTTTGAAACGCTCTTTTTGTAGTATATGGAAGTGGATGTTTCGGACGGTTGGAGGCCCATGGTGATGAAGGGAATATCTTCCCCTACAAGCTAGAAAGAAGCATTCTGTGAAACTTGTTTGTGATGTGTGTACTCAACTAACAGAGTTCAACCTTTCTTTTTACAGAGCAGTTTTGAAACACTCTTTTTGTAGAATCTGCGAGGGGATATTTGGATAGATTTCAGGATTTCATTGGAAACGGGAATATCTTCATATAAAATCTCGACAGAAGCATTCTCAGAAACTTCTTTGTGATATCTGCATTCAAGTCACAGAGTTGAATATTCCCTTTCACAGAGTAGGTTTGAAACACTCTTTTTGTAGTATCTGGAAGTGGACATTTGGAGCGCCTTGACACCTATGGTGAAAAGGGAAATATCTTCCCATAAAAACTAGACAGAAGCAATCTCAGAATCTTCTTTGGGATATATGCACGCAGCTAACAGAGTTGAACCTTTCTATTGACAGAGCAGTTTTGAAACAGTCTTTCTGTGGAATCTGCAAGTGGATATTTGGATAGCTTGGAGGATTTCGTTGGAAACGGGATTACCTATAAAAAGTAGACAGCAGCATCCTCAGAAACTTCTTTGTGATGTGTTCATTCAAGTCACAGAGTTGAACATTCCTTTTCGTACAGCAGTTTTGAAACACTCTTTCTGTAGTATCTGGAAGTGAACATTAGGACAGCTTTCAGGTCTATGGTGAGAAAGGCAATATCTTCAAATAAAAACTAGACAGAAGCATTCTCATAAAACTTGTTTGTGATGTGTGAACTCAGCTAACAGACGTGGATCTTTCTTTTGATAGAGCAGTTCTGAAAAACACGTTTTGTTGAATCTGCAAGTGGACATTTGGATAGATTTGAAGATTTCGTTGGAAACGGGAATATCTTCATATCAAATCTAGACAGAAGCATTCTCAGAAACGTCTTTGTGATGTTTGCATTCAACTCATAGAGTTGAACATTCCGTTTCAGAGACCAGCTTTGAAGCACTCTTTTTGTAGTATGTGCAAGTGGATATTTGGAGCGCTCTGAGGCCTACGGTGTAAAAGCAAATATCTTCCCATAACCACTAGACAGAAACATTCTCAGAAACTCCTTTATGACGTATGCACTCACCTAACAGAGAAGAACCTTCCTTTTGACAGAGCAGTTTTGATGCACTCTTTTTGTAGAATCTGCAAGTGGATATTTGGATAGCTGTGAATATTTCGTTGGAAACGGGAATACCTTCCTATAAAATCTAGACAGAAGCATTCTCAGAAACTGCTCTGTGATGTCTGCATTGAAGTCACAGAATTGAACATTGCCTTTCCTAGAGCAGGTTTGAAACGCTCTTTTTGTAGTATATGGAAGTGGACGTTTCGGACGGTTGGAGGCCCAGGGTGATAAAGGGAATATCTTCCCCTACAAGCTAGAAAGAAGCATTCTGTGAAACTTGTTTGTGATGTGTGTACTCAACTAACGGAGTTGAACCTTTCTTTTTACAGAGCAGTTTTGAAACACTCTTTTTGTAGAATCTGCGAGGGGATATTTGGATAGATTTCAGGATTTCGTTGGAAACGGGAATATCTTCATATAAAATCTCGACAGAAGCATTCTCAGAAGCTTCTTTGTGATATGTGCATTCAAGTCACAGAGTTGAATATTCCCTTTCACAGGGTAGGTTTGAAACACTCTTTTTGTAGTATCTGGAAGTGGACATTTGGAGCGCCTTGACGCCTACGTTGAAAAGGGAAATATCTTCTCATAAAAAGTAGACAGAAGCAATCTCAGAATCTTCTTTGGGATATATGGACACAGCTAACAGAGTTGAACTTTTCTATTGACAGAGCAGTTTTGAAACAGTCTTTCTGTGGAATCTGCAAGTGGATATTTGGATAGCTTGGAGGATTTCGTTGGAAACGGGATTACGTATAAAAAGTAGACAGCAGCATCCTCAGAAGCTTCTTTGTGATGTGTGCATTCAAGTCACAGAGTTGAACATTCCCTTTCGTACAGCAGTTTTGAAACACTCTTTCTGTAGTATCTGGAAGTGAACATTAGGACAGCTTTCAGGTCTATGGTGAGAAAGGAAATATCTTCAAATAAAAACTAGACAGAAGCATTCTCATAAACTTGTTTGTGATGTCTGAACTCAGCTAACAGAGGTGGATCTTTCTTTTGATAGAGCAGTTCTGAAAAACACTTTTTGTTGAATCTGCAAGTGGACATTTGGATAGATTTGAAGATTTCGTTAGAAACGGGAATATCTTCATATCAAATCTAGACAGAAGCATTCTCAGAAACGTCTTTGTGATGTTTGCATTCAACTCATAGAGTTGAACATTCCGTTTCAGAGAGCAGCTTTGAAGCACTCTTTTTGTAGTATGTGCAAGTGGATATTTGGAGCGCTCTGAGGCCTACGGTGAAAAAGGAAATATCTTCCCATAACCATTAGACAGAAACATTCTCAGAAACTCCTTTATGACGTATGCACTCACCTAACTGAGAAGAACCTTCCTTTTGACAGAGCAGTTTTGATACACTCTTTTTGTAGAATCTGCAAGTGGATATTTGGATAGCTGTGAAGATTTCGTTGGAAACGGGAATATCTTCCTATAAAATCTAGACAGAAGCATTCTCAGAAACTGCTCTGTGATGTCTGCATTCAAGTCACAGAGTTGAACATTGCCTTTCATAGAGCAGGTTTGAAACGCTCTTTTTGTAGTATGTGGAAGTGGACGTTTCGGACGGTTTGAGGCCCATGGTGATAAAGGGAATATCTTCCCCTACAAGCTAGAAAGAAGCATTCTGTGAAACTTGTTTGTGATGTGTGTACTCCACTAACAGAGTTGAACCTTTCTTTTTACAGAGCAGTTTTGAAACACTCTTTTTGTAGAATCTGTGAGGGGATATTTGGATAGATTTCAGGATTTCGTTGGAAACGGGAATATCTTCATATAAAATCTCGACAGAAGCATTCTCAGTAAACTTCTTTGTGATATCTGCATTCAAGTCACAGAGTTGAATATTCCCTTTCACAGAGTAGGTTTGAAACACTCTTTTTGTAGTATCTGGAAGTGGACATTTTGAGCGCCTTGACACCTACGGTGAAAAGGGAAATATCTTCCCATAAAAACTAGACAGAAGCAATCTCAGAATCTTCTTTGGGATATATGCACGCAGCTAACAGAGTTGAACCTTTCTATTGACAGAGCGGTTTTGAAACAGTCTTTCTGTGGAATCTGCAAGTGGATATTTGGATAGCTTGGAGGATTTCGTTGGAAACGGGATTAAGTATAAAAAGTAGACAGCAGCATCCTCAGAAACTTCTTTGTGATGTGTGCATTCAAGTCACAGAGTTGAACATTCCCTTTCGTACAGCAGTTTTGAAACACTCTTTCTGTAGTAACTGGAAGTGAACATTAGGACAGCTTTCAGGTCTATGGTGAGAAAGGAAATATCTTCAAATAAAAACTAGACAAAAGCATTGTCATAAACATGTTTGTGATGTGTGAAATCAGCTAACAGAGGTGGATCTTTCTTTTGATAGAGCAGTTCTGAAAAACACTTTTTGTTGAATCTGGAAGTGGACATTTGGATAGATTTGAAGATTTCGTTGGAAACGGGAATATCTTCATATCAAATCTAGACAGAAGCATTCTCAGAAACGTCTTTGTGATGTTTGCATTCAACTCACAGAGTTGAACATTCCCTTTCAGAGAGCAGCTTTGAAGCACTCTTTTTGTAGTATGTGCAAGGGGATATTTGGAGCGCTCTGAGGCCTACGGTGAAAAAGCAAATATCTTCCCATAACCAGTAGACAGAAACATTCTCAGAAACTCCTTTATGACGTATGCACTCACCTAACAGAAAAGAACCTTCCTTTTGACAGAGCAGTTTTGATACACTCTTTTTGTAGAATCTGCAAGTGGATATTTGGATAGCTGTGAAGATTTCGTTGGAAACGGGAATATCTTCCTATGAAATCTAGACAGAAGCATTCTCAGAAACTGCTCTGTGATGTCTGCATTCAAGTCACAGAGTTGAACATTGCCTTTCATAGAGCAGGTTTGAAACGCTCTTTTTGTACTATATGGAAGTAGACGATTCGGACCGTTTGAGGCCCATGGTGATAAAGGGAATATCTTCCCCTACAAGCTAGAAAGAAGCATTCTGTGAAACTTGTTTGTGATGTGTGTACTCAACTAACAGAGTTGAACCTTTCTTTTTACAGAGCAGTTTTGAAACACTCTTTTTGTAGAATCTGTGAGGGGATATTTGGATAGATTTCAGGATTTCGTTGGAAACGGTAATATCTTCATATAAAATCTCGACAGAAGCATTCTCAGAAACTTCTTTGTGATATGTGCATTCAAGTCACAGAGTTGAATATTCCCTTTCACAGAGTAGGTTTGAAACACTCTTTTTGTAGTATCTGGAAGTGGACATTTGGAGCGCCTTGACGCCTACGGTGGAAAGGGAAATATCTTCCCATAAAAACTGGACAGAAGCAATCTCAGAATCTTCTTTGGGATATATGCACGCAGCTAACAGAGTTGAACCTTTCTATTGACAGACCAGTTTTGAAACAGTCTTTCTGTGGAATCTGCAAGTGGATATTTGGATAGCTTGGAGGATTTCGTTGGAAACGGGATTAAGTATAAAAAGTAGACAGCAGCATCCTCAGAAACTTCTTTGTGATGTGTGCATTCAAGTCACAGAGTTGAACAATCCCTTTCGTACAGCAGTTTTGAAACACACTTTCTGTAGCATCTGGAAGTGAACATTAGGACAGCTTTCAGGTCTATGGTGAGAAAGGAAATATCTTCAAATAAAAACTAGACAGAAGCATTCTCATAAACTTGTTTGTGATGTGTGAACTCAGCTAACAGAGGTGGATCTTTCTTTTGATAGAGCAGTTCTGAAAAACACTTTTTGTTGAATCTGCAAGTGGATATTTGGATAGATTTGAAGATTTCGTTGGAAACGGGAATATCTTCATATCAAATCTAAACAGAAGCATTCTCAGAAACGTCTTTGTGATGTTTGCATTCAACTCATAGAGTTGAACATTCCGTTTCAGAGAGCAGCTTTGAAGCACTCTTTTTGTAGTATGTGCAAGTGGATATTTGGAGCGCTGTGAGGCCTACAGTGAAAAAGCAAATATCTTCCCATAACCACTAGACAGAAACATTCTCAGAAAATCCTTTATGACGTATGTACTCAACTAACAGAGAAGAACCCTCCTTTTGACAGAGCAGTTTTGATACACTCTTTTTGTAGAATCTGCAAGTGGATATATGGATAGCTGTGAAGATTTCGTTGGAAACGGGAATATCTTCCTATAAAATCTAGACAGAAGCATTCTCAGAAACTGCTCTGTGATGTCTGCATTCAAGTCACAGAGTTGAACATTGCCTTTCCTAGAGCAGGTTTGAAACGCTCTTTTTGTAGTATATGGAAGTGGACGGTTCGGACGGTTTGAGGCCCATGGTGATAAAGGGAATATCTTCCCCTACAAGCTAGAAAGAAGCATTCTGTGAAACTTCTTTGTGATGTGTGTACTCAACTAACAGAGTTGAACCTTTCTTTTTACAGAGCAGTTTTGAAACACTCTTTTTATAGAATCTGCGAGGGGATATTTGGATAGATTTCAGGATTTCGTTGGAAACGGGAATATCTTCATATAAAATCTCGACAGAAGCATTCTCAGAAAGTTCTTTGTGATATCTCCATTCAAGTCACCGAGTTGAATATTCCCTTTCACAGAGTAGGTTTGAAACACTCTTTTTGTAGTATCTGGAAGTGGACATTTGGAGCGCCTTGACGCCTACGGTGAAAAGGGAAATATCTTCCCATAAAAACTAGACAGAGCAATCTCAGAATCTTCTTTGGGATATATGCACGCAGCTAACAGAGTTGAACCTTTCTATTGACAGAGCAGTTTTGAAACAGTCTTTCTGTGGAATCTGCAAGTGGATATTTGGATAGCTTGGAGGATTTCGTTGGAAACGGGATTACGTATAAAAAGTAGACAGCAGCATCCTCAGAAACTTCTTTGTGATGTGTGCATTCAAGTCACAGAGTTGAACATTCCCTTTCGTACAGCAGTTTTGAAACACTCTTTCTGTAGTATCTGGAAGTGAACATTAGGACAGCTTTCAGGTCTATGGTGAGAAGGGAAATATCTTCAAATAAATACTAGACAGAAGCTTTCTGATAAACTTGTTTGTGAAGTGTGAACTCAGCTAACAGAGGTGGATCTTTCTTTTGATACAGCAGTTTTGAAAAACACTTTGTTGAATCTGCAAGTGGACATTTGGATAGATTTGAAGATTTCGTTGGAAACGGGAATATCTTCATATCAAATCTAGACAGAAGCATTCTCAGAAACGTCTTTGCGATGTTTGCATTCAACTCATAGAGTTGCACATTCCGTTTCAGAGAGCAGCTTTGAGGCACTCTTTTTGTAGTATGTGCAAGTGGATATTTTGAGCCCTCTGAGGCCTACGGTGAAAAAGCAAATATCTTCCCATAACCACTAGACAGAAACATTCTCAGAAACTCCTTTATGACGTATGTACTCAACTAACAGAGAAGAACCTTCCTTTTGACAGAGCAGTTTTGATACACTCTTTTGTAGTATCTGCAAGTGGATACTTGGATAGCTGTGAAGATTTCATTGGAAACGGGAATATCTTCCTATAAAGTCTGGACAGAAGCATTCTCAGAAACTGCTCTGTGTTGTCTGCATTCAAGTCACAGAGTTGAACATTGCCTTTCATAGAGCAGGTTTGAAACACTCTTTTTGTAGTATATGGAAGTGGACGTTTCGGACGGTTTGAGGCCCATGGTGTTTTAGGGAATATCTTCCCCTACAAGCTAGAAAGAAGCATTCTGTGAAACTTGTTTGTGATGTGTGTACTCAACTAAAAGAGTTGAACCTTTCTTTTTACAGAGCAGTTTTGAAACACTCTTTTTGTAGAATCTGCGAGGGGATATTTGGATAGGTTTCAGGATTTCGTTGGAAACGGGAATATCTTCATATAAAATCTCGACAGAAGCATTCTCAGAAACTTCTTTGTGATATGTGCATTCAAGTCACAGAGTTGAATATTCCCTTTCACAGAGTAGGTTTGAAACACTCTTTTTGTAGTATCTGGAAGTGGACATTTGGAGCGCCTTGACACCTACAGTGAAAAGGGAAATATCTTCTCATAAAAAGTAGACAGAAGCAATCTCAGAATCTTCTTTGGGATATATGCACGCAGCTAACAGAGTTGAACCTTTCTATTGACAGAGCAGTTTTGAAACAGTCTTTTTGTGGAATCTGCAAGTGGATATTTGGATAGCTTGGAGGATTTCTTTGGAAACGGGATTACGTATAAAAAGTAGACAGCAGCATCCTCAGAAACTTCTTTGTGATGTATGCATTCAAGTCCCAGAGTTGAACATTCCCTTTCGTACAGCAGTTTTGAAACACTCTTTCTGTAGTATCTGGAAGTGAACATTAGGACAGCTTTCAGGTCTATGGTGAGAAAGGAAATATCTTCAAATAAAAACTAGACAGAAAGCATTCTCATAAACTTGTTTGTGATGTGTGAACTCAGCTAACAGACGTGGATCTTTCTTTAGATAGAGCAGTTTTGAAAAACACTTTTTGTTGAATCTGCAAGTGGACATTTGGATAGATTTGAAGATTTCGTTGGAAACGGGAATATCTTCATATCAAATCTAGACAGAAGCATTCTCAGAAACGTCTTTGTGATGTTTGCATTCAACTCATAGAGTTGAACATTCCCTTTCAGAGAGCAGCTTTGAAGCACTCTTTTTGTAGCATGTGCAAGTGGACATTTGGAGCGCCCTGAGGCCTACGGGAAAAAGCAAATATCTTCCCATAACCACTAGACAGAAACATTCTCAGAAACTCCTTTATGACGTATGCACTCACCTAACAGAGAAGAACCTTCCTTTTGACAGAGCAGTTTTGATACACTCTTTTTGTAGTATCTGCAAGTGGATATTTGGATAGCTGTGAAGATTTCGTTGGAAACGGGAATATCTTCCTATAAAATCTAGACAGAAGCATTCTCAGAAACTGCTCTGTGATGTCTGCATTCAAGTCACAGAGTTGAACATTGCCTTTCATAGAGTAGGTTTGAAACGCTCTTTTTGTAGTATATGGAAGTGGACGTTTCGGACGGTTTGAGGCCCATGGTGTTAAAGGGAATATCTTCCCCTACAAGCTAGAAAGAAGCATTCTGTGAAACTGGTTTGTAATGTGTGTACTCAACTAACAGAGTTGAACCTTTCTTTTTACAGAGCAGTTTTGAAACACTCTTTTTGTAGAATCTGCGAGGGGATATTTGGATAGATTTCAGGGTTTCGTTGGAAACGGGAATATCTTCATATAAAATCTCGACAGAAGCATTCTCAGAAACTTCTTTGTGATATGTGCATTCAAGTCACAGAGTTGAATATTCCCTTTCACAGAGTAGGTTTGAAACACTCTTTTTGTAGTATCTGGAAGTGGACATTTGGAGCGCCTTGACACCTACGGTGAAAAGGGAAAATATCTTCTCATAAAAAGTAGACAGAAGCAATCTCAGAATCTTCTTTGGGATATATGCACACAGCTAACAGAGTTGAACCTTTCTATTGACAGAGCAGTTTTGAAACAGTCTTTCTGTAGAATCTGCAAGTGGATATTTGGATAGCTTGGAGGATTTCGTTGGAAACGGGATTACGTATAAAAAGTAGACAGCAGCATCCTCAGAAACTTCTTTGTGATGTGTGCATTCAAGTCACAGAGTTGAACATTCCCTTTCGTACAGCAGTTTTGAAACACTCTTTCTGTAGTAACTGGAAGTGAACATTAGGACAGCTTTCAGGTCTATGGTGAGAAAGGAAATATCTTCAATTAAAAACTAGACGGAAGCATTCTCGTAAACTTGTTTGTGATGTGTGGACTCAGCTAACAGAGGCGGATCTTTCTTTTGATAGAGCAGTTCGGGAAAACACTTTTTGTTGAATCTGCAAGTGGACATTTGGATAGATTTGAAGATTTCGTTGGAAACGGGAATATCTTCATATCAAATCTAGACAGAAGCATTCTCAGAAACGTCTTTGTGATGTTTGCATTCAACTCATAGAGTTGAACATTCCGTTTCAGAGGGCAGCTTTGAAGCACTCTTTTTGTAGTATGTGCAAGTGGATATTTGGAGCGCTGTGAGCTCTGCGGTGAAAAAGCAAATATCTTCCCATAACCACTAGACTGAAACATTCTCAGAAACTCCTTTATGACGTATGCACTCACCTAACAGAGAAGAAGCTTCCTTTTGACAGAGCAGTTTTGATACACTCTTTTTGTAGAATCTGCAACTGGATATTTGGATAGCTGTGAAGATTTCGTTGGAAACGGGAATATCTTCCTATAAAATCTAGACAGAAGCATTCTCAGAAACTGCTCTGTGATGTCTGCATTCAAGTCACAGAGTTGAACATTGCCTTTCATAGAGCAGGTTTGAAACGCTCTTTTTGTAGTATATGGAAGTGGACGTTTCGGACGGTTTGAGGCCCATGTTGATAAAGGGAATATCTTCCCCTACAAGCTAGAAAGAAGCATTCTGTGAAACTTGTTTGTGATGTGTGTACTCAACTAACAGAGTTGAACCTTTCTTTTTACAGAGCAGTTTTGAAACACTCTTTTTGTATAATCTGCGAGGGGATATTTGGATACATTTCAGGATTTCGTTGGAAACGGGAATATCTTCATATAAAATCTCGACAGAAGCATTCTCAGAAACTTCCTTGTGTTATGTGCATTCAAGTCACAGAGTTGAATATTCCCTTTCACAGAGTAGGTTTGAAACACTCTTTTTGTAGTATCTGGAAGTGGACATTTGGAGCGCCTTGACGCCTACGGTGAAAAGGGAAATATCTTCCCATAAAAACTAGACAGAAGCAATCTCAGAATTTTCTTTGGGATATATGCACACAGCTAACTGAGTTGAACTTTTCTATTGACATAGCAGTTTTGAAACAGTCTTTCTGTGGAATCTGCAAGTGGATATTTGGATAGCTTGGAGGATTTCGTTGGAAATGGGATTACGTATAAAAAGTAGACAGCAGCATCCTCAGAAATTTCTTTGTGATGTGTGCATTCAAGTCACAGAGTTGAACATTCCCTTTCGTACAGCAGTTTTGAAACACTCTTTCTGTAGTATCTGGAAGTGAACATTAGGACAGCTTTCAGGTCTATGGTGAGAAAGGAAATATCTTTAAATAAAAACTAGACAGAAGCATTCTCATAAACTTGTTTGTGATGTGTGAACTCAGCTAACAGAGGTGGATCTTTCTTTTGATAGAGCAGTTCTGAAAAACACGTTTTGTTGAATCTGCAAGTGGACATTTGGATAGATTTGAAGATTTCGTTGGAAACGGGAATATCTTCATATCAAATCTAGAAAGAAGCATTCTCAGAAACGTCTTTGTGATGTTTGCATTCAACTCATAGAGTTGAACATTCCCTTTCAAAGAACAGCTTTGAAGCACTCTTTTTGTAGTATGTGCAAGTGGATATTTGGAGCGCTCTGAGGCCTACGGTGAAAAAGCAAATATCTTCCCATAACCACTAGACAGAACATTCTCAGAAACTCCTTTATGACGTATGCACTCACCTAACAGAAAAGAACCTTCCTTTTGACAGAGCAGTTTTGATACACTCTTTTTGTAGAATCTGCAAGTGGATATTTGGATAGCTGTGAAGATTTCGTTGGAAACGGGAATATCTTCCTATAAAATCTAGACAGATAAGCATTCTCAGAAACTGCTCTGTGATGTCTGCATTCAAGTCACAGAGTTGAACATTGCCTTTCATAGAGCAGGTTTGAAACGCTCTTTTTGTAGTATATGGAAGTGGATGTTTCGGACGGTTGGAGGCCCATGGTGATAAAGGGAATATCTTCCCCTACAAGCTAGAAAGAAGCATTCTGTGAAACTTGTTTGTGATGTGTGTACTCAACTAACAGAGTTGAACCTTTCATTTTACAGAGCAGTTTAGAAACACTCTTTTTGTAGAATCTGCGAGGGGATATTTGGATAGATTTCAGGATTTCGTTGGAAACGGGAATATCTTCATTTAAAATCTCGACAGAAGCATTCTCAGAAACTTCCTTGTGATATGTGCATTGAAGTCACAGAGTTGAATATTCCCTTTCACAGAGTAGGTTTGAAACACTCTTTTTGTAGTATCTGGAAGTGGACATTTGGAGCGCCTTGACACCTACTGTGAAAAGGGAAATATCTACCCATAAAAACTAGACAGAAGCAATCTCAGAATCTTCTTTGGGATATATGCACGCAGCTAACAGAGTTGAACCTTTCTATTGACAGAGCGGTTTTGAAACAGTCTTTCTGTGGAATCTGCAAGTGGATATTTGGATAGCTTGGAGGATTTCGTTGGAAACGGGATTAAGTATGAAAAGTAGACAGCAGCATCCTCAGAAACTTCTTTGTGATGTGTGCATTCAAGTCACAGAGTTGAACATTCCCTTTCATACAGCAGTTTTGAAACACTCTTTCTGTAGTATCTGGAAGTGAACATTAGGACAGCTTTCAGGTCTATGGTGAGAAAGGAAATATCTTCAAATAAAAACTAGACAGAAGCATTCTCATAAACTTGTTTGTGATGTGTGAACTCAGCTAACAGAGGTGGATCTTTCTTTTGATAGAGCAGTTGTGAAAAACACTTTTTGTTGATTATGCAAGTGGATATTTGGATAGATTTGAAGATTTCGTTGGAAACGGGAATATCTTCATATCAAATCTAGACAGAAGCATTCTCAGAAACGTCTTTGTGATGTTTGCATTCAACTCATAGAGTTGAACATTCTGTTTCAGAGAGCAGGTTTGAAGCACTCTTTTTGTAGTATGTGCAAGTGGATATTTGGAGCGCTCTGAGGCCTACGGTGAAAAAGCAAATATCTTCCCATAACCACTAGACAGAAACATTCTCAGAAACTCCTTTATGACGTATGCACTCACCTAACAGAAAAGAACCTTCCTTTTGACAGAGCAGTTCTGATACACTCTTTTTGTAGAATCTGCAAGTGGATATTTGGATAGCTGTGAAGATTTCGTTGGAAACGGGAATATCTTCCTATAAAATCTAGACAGAAGCATTCTCAGAAACTGCTCTGTGATGTCTGCATTCAAGTCACAGAGTTGAACATTGCCTTTCATAGAGCAGGTTTGAAACGCTCTTTTTGTAGTATATGGAAGTGGATGTTTCGGACGGTTGGAGGCCCATGGTGATAAAGGGAATATCTTCCCCTGCAAGCTAGAAAGAGAGCATTCTGTGAACTTGTTTGTGATGTGTGTACTCAACTAACAGAGTTGAACCTTTCTTTTTACAGAGCAGTTTTGAAACACTCTTTTTGTAGAATCTGCGAGGGGATATTTGGATAGATTTCAGGATTTCGTTGGAAACGGGAATATCTTCATATAAAATCTCGACAGAGCATTCTCAGAAACTTCTTTGTGATATGTGCATTCAAGTCACAGAGTTGAATATTCCCTTTTACAGAGTAGGTTTGAAACACTCTTTTTGTAGTATCTGGAAGTGGACATTTGGAGCGCCTTGACGCCTACGGTGAAAAGGGAAATATCTTCTCATAAAAACTAGACAGAAGAAATCTCAGAATCATCTTTGGGATATATGCACGCAGCTAACAGAGTTGAACCTTTCTATTGACAGAGCAGTTTTGAAACAGTCTTTCTGTGGAATCTGCAAGTGGATATTTGGATAGCTTGGAGGATTTCGTTGGAAACGGGATTAGGTATAAAAAGTAGACAGCAGCATCCTCAGAAACTTCTTTGTGATGTGTGCATTCAAGTCACAGAGTTGAACATTCCCTTTCGTACAGCAGTTTTGAAACACTCTTTCTGGAGTATCTGGAAGTGAACATTAGGACAGCTTTCAGCTCTATGGTGAGAAAGGTAATATCTTCAAATAAAAACTAGACAGAAGCATTCTCATAAACTTGTTTGTGATGTGTGAACTCAGCTAACAGACGTGGATCTTTCTTTTGATACAGCAGTTTTGAAAAACACTTTTTGTTGAATCTGAAAGTGGACATTTGGATAGATTTGAAGATTTCCTTGGAAACGGGAATATCTTCATATCAAATCTAGACAGAAGCATTCTCAGTAAACGTCTTTGTGATGTTTGCATTCAACTCATAGAGTTGAACATTCCGTTTCAGAGACCAGCTTTGAAGCACTCTTTTTGTAGTATGTGCAAGTGGATATTTGGAGCGCTCTGAGGCCTACGGTGAAAAAGCAAATATCTTCCCATAACGACTAGACAGAAAACATTCTCAGAAACTCCTTTATGACGTATGCACTCACCTAACAGAGAAGAACCTTCCTTTTGACAGAGCAGTTTTGATACACTCTTTTTGTAGAATCTGCAAGTGGATATTTTGATACCTGTGAATATTTCGTTGGAAACGGGAATATCTTCCTATAAAATCTAGACAGAAGCATTCTCAGAAACTGCTCTGTGATGTCTGCATTCAAGTCACAGAGTTGAACATTGCCTTTCATAGAGCAGGTTTGAAAGGCTCTTTTTGTAGTATATGGAAGTGGACGTTTCGGACGGTTGGAGGCCCATGGTGATAAAGGGAATATCTTCCCCTACAAGCTAGAAAGAAGCATTCTGTGAAACTTGTTTGTTATGTGTGTACTCAACTAACAGAGTTGAACCTTTCTTTTTACAGAGCAGTTTTGAAACACTCTTTTTGTAGAATCTGCGAGGGGATATTTGGATAGATTTCAGGATTTTGTTGGAAACCGGAATATCTTTATATAAAATCTCGACAGAAGCATTCTCGGAAGCTTCTTTGTGATATGTGCATTCAAGTCACAGAGTTGAATATTCCCTTTCACAGAGTAGGTTTGAAACACTCTTTTTCTAGTATCTGGAAGTGGACATTTGGAGCGCCTTGATGCCTACGGTGAAAAGGGAAATATCTTCTCATAAAAAGTAGACAGAAGCAATCTCAGAATCTTCTTTGGGATATATGCACGCAGCTAACAGAGTTGAACCTTTCTATTGACAGAGCAGTTTTGAAACAGTCTTTCTGTGGAATCTGCAAGTGGATATTTGGATAGCTTGGAGGATTTCGTTGGAAACGGTATTACGTATAAAAAGTAGACAGCAGCATCCTCAGAAACTTCTTTGTGATGTGTGCATTCAAGTCACAGAGTTGAACATTCCCTTTCGTACAGCAGTTTTGAAACACTCTTTCTGTAGTATCTGGAAGTGAACATTAGGACAGCTTTCAGGTCTATGGTGAGAAAGAAAATATCTTCAAATAAAAACTAGACAAAAGCATTCTCATAAACTTGTTTGTGAAGTGTGAACTCAGCTAACAGAGGTGAATCTTTCTTTTGATAGAGCAGTTCTGAAAAACACTTTTTGTTGAATCTGCAAGTGGACATTTGGATAGATTTGAAGATTTCGTTGGAAACGGGAATATCTTCATATCAAATCTAGACAGAAGCATTCTCAGAAACGTCTTTGTGATGTTTGCATTCAACTCATAGAGTTGAACATTCCCTTTCAGAGAGCAGCTTTGAAGCACTCTTTTTGCAGTATGTGCAAGTGGATATTTGGAGCGCTCTGAGGCCTACGGGGAAAAAGCAAATATCTTCCCATAACCACTAGACAGAAACATTCTCAGGAACTCCTTTATGATGTATGCACTCACCTAACAGAGAAGAACCTTCCTTTTGACAGAGCAGTTTTGATACACTCTTTTTGTAGAATCTGCAAGTTTATATTTGGATAGCTGTGAAGATTTCGTTGGAAACGGGAATATCTTCCTATAAAATCTAGACAGAAGCATTCTCAGAAACTGCTCTGTGATGTCTGCATTCAAGTCACAGAGTTGAACATTGCCTTTCATAGAGCAGGTTTGAAATGCTCTTTTTGTAGTATATGGAAGTGGAAGTTTCAGACGGTTTGAGGCCCATGGTGATAAAGGGAATATCTTCCCCTACAAGCTAGAAAGAAACATTCTGTGAAACTTGTTTGTGATGTGTGTACTCAGCTAACAGAGTTGAACCTTTCTTTTTACAGAGCAGTTTTGAAACACTCTTTTTGTAGAATCTGCGAGGGGATATTTGGATAGATTTCAGGATTTCGTTGGAAAAGGGAATATCTTCATATAAAATCTCGACAGAAGCATTCTCAGAAACTTCTTTGTGATATCTGCATTCAAGTCACAGAGTTGAATATTCCCTTTCACAGAGTAGGTTTGAAACACTCTTTTTGTAGTATCTGGAAGTGGACATTTGGAGCGCCTTGACGCCTACGGTGAAAAGGGAAATATCTTCTCATAAAAAGTAGACAGAAAGCAATCTCAGAATCTTCTTTGGGATATATGCACGCAGCTAACAGAGTTGAACCTTTCTATTGACAGAGCAGTTTTGAAACAGTCTTTCTGTGGAATCTGCAAGTGGATATTGGGATAGCTTGGAGGATTTCGTTGGAAACGGGATTACGCATAAAAAGTAGACAGCAGCATCCTCAGAAACTTCTTTGTGATGTGTGCATTCAAGTCACAGAGTTGAACATTCCCTTTCGTACAGCAGTATTGAAACACTCTTTCTGTAGCATCTGGAAGTGAACATTAGGACAGCTTTCAGGTCTATGGTGAGAAAGGAAATATCTTCAAATAAAAACTAGACAGAAGCATTCTCATAAACTTGTTTGTGATGTGTGAACTCAGCTAACAGAGGTGGATTTTTCTTTTGATAGAGCAGTTCTGAAAAACACTTTTTGTTGAATCTGCAAGTGGACATTTGGATAGATTTGAAGATTTCGTTGGAAACGGGAATATCTTCATATCAAATCTAGACAGAAGCATTCTCAGAAACGTCTTTGTGATGTTTGCATTCAACTCACAGAGTTGAACATTCCCTTTCAGAGAGCAGCTTTGAAGCACTCTTTTTGTAGTATGTGCAAGGGGATATTTGGAGTGCTCTGAGGCCTACGGTGAAAAAGCAAATATCTTCCCATAACCACTAGACAGAAACATTCTCAGAAACTCCTTTATGACGTATGCACTCACCTAACAGAAAAGAACCTTCCTTTTGACAGAGCAGTTTTGATACACTCTTTTTGTAGAATCTGCAAGTGGATATTTGGATAGCTGTGAAGATTTCGTTGGAAACGGGAATATCTTCCTATAAAATCTACACAGAAGCATTCTCAGAAACTGCTCTGTGATGTCTGCATTCAAGTCACAGAGTTGAACATTGCCTTTCATAGAGCAGGTTTGAAACGCTCTTTTTGTAGTATATGGAAGTGGACGTTTCAGACGGTTTGAGGCCCATGGTGTTAAAGGGAATATCTTCCCCTACAAGCTAGAAAGAAGCATTCTGTGAAACTTGTTTGTGATGTGTGTACTCAACTAACAGAGTTGAACCTTTCTTTTTACAGAGCAGTTTTGAAACACTCTTTTTGTAGAATCTGCGAGGGAATATTTGGATAGATTTTAGGATTTCGTTGGAAACGGGAATATCTTCATATAAAATCTCGACAGAAGCATTCTCAGAAGCTTCTTTGTGATATGTGCACTCAAGTCACAGAGTTGAACATTCCCTTTCACAGAGTAGGTTTGAAACACTCTTTTTGTAGTATCTGGAAGTGGACATTTGGAGCGCCTTGACGCCTACGGTGAAAAGGGAAATATCTTCCCATAAAAACTAGACAGAAAGCAATCTCAGAATCTTCTTTGGGATATATGCACGCAGCTAACAGAGTTGAACCTTTCTATTGACAGAGCAGTTTTGAAACAGTCTTTCTGTGGAATCTGCAAGTGGATATTTGGATAGCTTGGAGGATTTCGTTGGAAACGGGATTACGTATAAAAAGTAGACAGCAGCATCCTCAGAAACTTCTTTGTGATGTGTGCATTCAAGTCACAGAGTTGAACATTCTCTTTCGTACAGCAGTTTTGAAACACTCTTTCTGTAGTATCTGGAAGTGAACATTAGGACAGCTTTCAGGTCTATGGTGAGAAAGGAAATATCTTCAAATAAAAACTAGACAGAAGCATTCTCATAAACTTGTTTGTGATGTGTGAACTCAGCTAACAGAGGTGGATCTTTCTTTTGATAGAGCAGTTCTGAAAAACACGTTTTGTTGAATCTGCAAGTGGACATTTGGATAGATTTGAAGATTTCGTTGGAAAAGGGAATATCTTCATATCAAATCTAGACAGAAGCATTCTCAGAAACGTCTTTGTGATGTTTGCATTCAACTCATAGAGTTGAACATTCCGTTTCAGAGACCAGCTTTGAGGCACTCTTTTTGTAGTATGTGCAAGTGGATATTTGGAGCGCTCTGAGGCCTACGGTGAAAAAGCAAATATCTTCCCATAACGACTAGACAGAAACATTCTCAGAAACTCCTTTATGACGTATGCACTCACCTAACAGAGAATAACCTTCCTTTTGACAGAGCAGTTTTGATACACTCTTTTTGTAGGATCTGCAAGTGGATATTTGGATAGCTGTGAAGATTTCGTTGGAAACGGGAATATCTTCCTATAAAATCTAGACAGAAGCATTCTCAGAAACTGCTCTGTGATGTCTGCATTCAAGTCACAGAGTTGAACATTGCCTTTCCTAGAGCAGGTTTGAAACGCTCTTTTTGTAGTATATGGAAGTGGATGTTTCGGACGGTTGGAGGCCCATGGTGATAAAGGGAATATCTTCCCCTACAAGCTAGAAAGAAGCATTCTGTGAAACTTGTTTGTGATGTGTGTACTAAACTAACAGAGTTGAACCTTTCTTTTTACAGAGCAGTTTTGAAACACTCTTTTTGTAGAATCTGCGAGGGGATATTTGGATAGATTTCAGGATTTCGTTGGAAACGGGAATATCTTCATATAAAATCTCGACAGAAGCATTCTCAGAAACTTCTTTGTGATATGTGCATTCAAGTCACAGAGTTGAATATTCCCTTTCACAGAGTAGGTTTGAAACACTCTTTTTGTAGTATCTGGAAGTGGACATTTGGAGCGCCTTGAGGCCTACGGTGAAAAGGGAAATATCTTCTCATAAAAAGTAGACAGAAAGCAATCTCAGAATCTTCTTTGGGATATATGCACGCAACTAACAGAGTTGAACCTTTCTATTGACAGAGCAGTTTTGAAACAGTCTTTCTGTGGAATCTGCAAGTGGATATTTGGATAGCTTGGAGGATTTCTTTGGAAATGGGATTACGTATAAAAAGTAGACAGCAGCATCCTCAGAAACTTCTTTGTGATGTGTGCATTCAAGTCACAGAGTTGAACATTCCCTTTCGTACAGCAGTTTTGAAACACTCTTTCTGTAGTATCTGGAAGTGAACATTAGGACAGCTTTCAGGTCGATGGTGAGAAAGGGAATATCTTCAAATAAAAACTAGACAGAAGCATTCTCATAAACTTGTTTGTGATGTGTGAACTCAGCTAACAGACGTGGATCTTTCTTTTGATACAGCAGTTTTGAAAAACACTTTTTGTTGAATCTGCAAGTGGACATTTGGATAGATATGAAGATTTCGTTGGAAACGGTAATATCTTCATATCAAATCTAGACAGAAGCATTCTTGGAAACGTCTTTGTGATGTTTGCATTCAACTCATAGAGTTGAACATTCCGTTTCAGAGAGCAGCTTTGAAGCATTCTTTTTGTAGTATGTGCATGGGGATATATGGAGCGCTCTGAGGCCTAAGGTGAAAAAGCAAATATCTTCCCATAACCACTACACAGAAACATTCTCAGAAACTCCTTTATGACGTATGCACTCACCTAACAGAGAAGAACCTTCCTTTTGACAGAGCAGTTTTGATAAACTCATTTTGTAGAATCTGCAAGTGGATATTTGGATAGCTGTGAAGATTTCGTTGGAAACGGGAGTATCTTCCTATAAAATCTAGACAGAAGCATTCTCAGAAACTGCTCTGTGATGTCTGCATTCAAGTCACAGAGTTGAACATTGCCTTTCATAGAGCAGGTTTGAAACGCTCTTTTTGTAGTACATGGAAGTGGACGTTTCGGACGGTTTGAGGCCCATGGTGATAAAGGGAATATCTTCCCCTACTAGCTAGAAAGAAGCATTCTGTGAAACTTGTTTGTGATGTGTGTACTCAACTAACAGAGTTGAACCTTTCTTTTTACAGAGCAGTTTTGAAACACTCTTTTTGTAGAATCTGCGAGGGGATATTTGGATAGATTTCAGGATTTCGTTGGAAAGGGGAATATCTTCATATAAAATCTGGACAGAAGCATTCTCAGAAACTTCTTTGTGGTATGTGCATTCAAGTCACAGAGTTGAATATTCCCTTTCACAGAGTAGGTTTGAAACACTCTTTTTGTAGTATCTGGAAGTGGACATTTTTAGCGCCTTGACGCCTACAGTGAAAAGGGAAATATCTTCCCATAAAAACTAGACAGAAGCAATCTCAGAATCTTCTTTGGGATATATGCACGCAGCTAACAGAGTTGAACCTTTTTATTGACAGAGCAATTTTGAAACAGTCTTGCTGTGGAATCTGCAAGTGGATATTTGGATAGATTAGAGGATTTCGTTGGAAACGGGATTACGTATAAAAAGTAGACAGCAGCATCCTCAGAAACTTTTTTGTGATGTGTGCATTCAAGTCACAGAGTTGAACATTCCCTTTCGTACAGCAGTTTTGAAACACCCTTTCTGTAGTATCTGGAAGTGAACATTAGGACAGCTTTCAGGTCTATGGTGAGAAAGGAAATATCTTCAAATAAAAACTAGACAGAAGCATTCTCATAAACTTGTTTGTGATGTGTGAACTCAGCTAACAGAGATGGATCTTTCTTTTGATAGAGCAGTTCTGAAAAACACTTTTTGTTGAATCTGCAAGTGGACATTTGGATAGATTTGAAGATTTCGTTGGAAACGGGAATATCTTCATATCAAATCTAGACAGAAGCATTCTCAGAGACGTCTTTGTGATGTTTGCATTCAACTCATAGAGTTGAACATTCCGTTTCAGAGAGCAGCTTTGAGGCACTCATTTTTGTAGTATGTGCAAGTGGATATTTGGAGCGCTCTGAGGCCTACGGTGAAAAAGCAAATATCTTCCCATAACCACTAGACAGAAACATTCTCAGAAACTCCTTTATGACGTGTGTACTCATCTAACAGAGAAGAACCTTCCTTTTGACAGAGCAGTTTTGATACACTCTTTTTGTAGAATCTGCAAGTGGATATTGGGATAGCTGTGAAGATTTCGTTGGAAACGGGAATATCTTCCTATAAAATCTAGACAGAAGCACTTCTCAGAAACTGCTCTGTGATGTCTGCATTCAAGTCACAGAGTTGAACATTGCCTTTCATAGAGCAGGTTTGAAACGCTCTTTTTGTAGTATATGGAAGTGGACGTTTCGGACGGTCTGAGGCCCATGGTGATAAAGGGAATATCTTCCCCTATAAGCTAGAAAGAAGCATTCTGTGAAACTTGTTTGTGATGTGTGTACTCAAGTAACAGAGTTGAACCTTTCTTTTTACAGAGCAGTTTTGAAACACTCTTTCTGTAGAATCTGCGACGGGATATTTGGATAGATTTCAGGATTTCGTTGGAAACGGGAATATCTTCATATAAAATCTCGACAGAAGCATTCTCAGAAACTTCTTTGTGATATCTGCCTTCAAGTCACAGAGTTGAATATTCCCTTTCACAGAGTAGGTTTGAAACACTCTTTTTGTAGTATCTGGAAGTGGACATTTGGAGTGCCTTGACGCCTACGGTGACAAGGGAAATATCTTCCCATAAAAACTAGACAGAAGCAATCTCAGAATCTTCTTTGGGATATATGCACGCAGCTAACAGAGTTCAACCTTTCTATTGACAGAGCAGTTTTGAAACAGTCTTTCTGTGGAATCTGCAAGTGGATATTTGGATAGCTTGGAGGATTTCGTTGGAAACGGGATTACGTATAAAAAGTAGACAGCAGCATCCTCAGAAACTTCTTTGTGATGTGTGCATTCAAGTCACAGAGTTGAACATTCCCTTTCGTACAGCAGTTTTGAAACACTCTTTCTGTAGTATCTGGAAGTGAACATTAGGAGAGCTTTCAGGTCTATGGTGAGAAAGGAAATATCTTCAAATAAAAACTAGACAGAAGCATTCTGATAAACTTGTTTGTGAAGTGTGAACTCAGCTAACAGAGGTGGATCTTTCTTTTGATTGAGCAGTTCTGAAAAACACTTTTTGTTGAATCTGCAAGTGGACATTTGGATAGATTTGAAGATTTCGTTGGAAACGGGAATATCTTCATATCAAATCTAGACAGAAGCATTCTCAGAAACGTCTTTGCGATGTTTGCATTCAACTCATAGAGTTGAACATTCCGTTTCAGAGAGCAGCTTTGAGACACTCTTTTTGTAGTATGTGCAAGTGGATATTTGGAGTGCTCTGAGGCCTACGGTGAAAAAGCAAATATCTTCCCATAACCACTAGACAGAAACATTCTCAGAAACTCCTTTATGACGTATGTACTCAACTAACAGAGAAGAACCTTCCTTTTGACAGAGGAGTTTTGATACACTCTTTTTGTAGAATCTGCAAGTGGATATTTGGATAGCTGTGAAGATTTCGTTGGAAACGGGAATATCTTCCTATAAAATCTAGACAGAAGCATTCTCAGAAACTGCTCTGTGATGTCTGCATTCAAGTCACAGAGTTGAACATTGCCTTTCCTAGAGCAGGTTTGAAACGCTCTTTTTGTAGTATATGGAAGTGGACGTTTTGGACGGTTTGAGGCCCATGGTGATAAAGGGAATATCTTCCCCTACAAGCTAGAAAGAAGCATTCTGTGAAACTTGTTTGTGATGTGTGTACTCAACTAACAGAGTTGAACCTTTCTTTTTACAGAGCAGTTTTGAAACACTCTTTTTGTAGAATCTGCGAGGGGATATTTGGAGAGATTTCAGGATTTCGTTGGAAACGGGAATATCTTCATATAAAATCTCGACAGAAGCATTCTCAGTAAACTTCTTTGTGATATGTGCATTCAAGTCACAGAGTTGAATATTCCCTTTCACAGAGTAGGTTTGAAACACTCTTTTTGTAGTATCTGGAAGTGGACATTTGGAGCGCCTTGACGCCTACGGTGAAAAGGGAAATATCTTCCCATAAAAACTAGACAGAAGCAATCTCAGAATCTTCTTTGGGATATATGCACGCAGCTAACAGAGTTGAACCTTTCTATTGACAGCAGTTTTGAAACAGTCTTTCTGTGGAATCTGCCAGTGGATATTTGGATAGCTTGGAGGATTTCGTTGGAAACAGGATTACGTATAAAAAGTAGACAGCAGCATCCTCAGAAACTTCTTTGTGATGTGTGCATTCAAGTCACAGCAGTTGAACATTCCCTTTCGTACAGCAGTTTTGAAACACTCTTTCTGTAGTATCTGGAAGTGAACATTAGGACAGCTTTCAGGTCTATGGTGAGAAAGGAAATATCTTCAAATAAAAACTAGACAGAAGCATTCTAATAAACTTGTTTGTGAAGTGTGAACTCAGCTAACAGTGGTGGATCTTTCTTTTGATACAGCAGTTTTGAAAAACACTTTGTTGAATCTGCAAGTGGACATTTGGATAGATTTGAAGATTTCGTTGGAAACGGGAATATCTTCATATCAAATCTAGACAGAAGCATTCTCAGAAACGTCTTTGTGATGTTTGCATTCAACTCATAGAGTTGAACATTCCCTTTCAGAGAGCAGCTTTGAAGCACTCTTTTTGTAGCATGTGCAAGTGGACATTTGGAGCGCCCTGAGGCCTATGGGGAAAAAGCAAATATCTTCCCATAACCACTAGACAGAAACATTCTCAGAAACTCCTTTATGACGTATGCACTCACCTAACAGAGAAGAACCTTCCTTTTGACAGAGCAGTTTTGATACACTCTTTTTGTAGAATCTGCAAGTGGATATTGGGATAGCTGTGAAGATTTCGTTGGAAACGGGAATATCTTCCTATGAAATCTAGACAGAAGCATTCTCAGAAACTGCTCTGTGATGTCTGCTTTCAAGTCACAGAGTTGAACATTGCCTTTCCTAGAGCAGGTTTGAAACGCTCTTTTTGTAGTATATGGAAGTGGATGTTTCGGACGGTTTTAGGCCCATGGTGATAAAGGGAATATCTTCCCCTACAAGCTAGAAAGAAGCATTCTGTGAAACTTGTTTGTGATGTGTGTACTGAACTAACAGAGTTGAACCTTTCTTTTTACAGAGCAGTTTTGAAACACTCTTTTTGTAGAATCTGTGAGGGGATATTTGGATAGATTTCAGGATTTCGTTGGAAACGGGAATATCTTCATATGAAATCTCGACAGAAGCATTCTCAGAAACTTCCTTGTGATATGTGCATTCAAGTCACAGAGTTGAATATTCCCTTTCACAGAGTAGGTTTGAAACACTCTTTTTGTAGAATCTGGAAGTGGACATTTGGAGCGCCTTGACACCTACGGTGAAAAGGGAAATATCTTCCCATAAAAACTAGACAGAAGCAATCTCAGAATCTTCTTTGGGATATATGGACGCAGCTAACAGAGTTGAACCTTTCTATTGACAGAGCAGTTTTGAAACAGTCTTTCTGTGGAATCTGCAAGTGGATATTTGGATAGCTTGGAGGATTTCGTTGGAAACGGGATTACGTATAAAATGTAGACAGCAGCATCCTCAGAACCTTCTTTGTGATGTGTGCATTCAAGTCACAGAGTTCAACATTCCCTTTCGTACAGCAGTTTTGAAACACTCTTTCTGTAGTAACTGGAAGTGAACATTAGGACAGCTTTCAGGTCTATGGTGAGAAAGGAAATATCTTCAAATAAAAACTAGACAGAAGCATTCTGATAAACTTGTTTGTGAAGTGTGAACTCAGCTAACAGTGGTGGATCTTTCTTTTCATACAGCAGTTTTGAAAAACACTTTGTTGAATCTGCAAGTGGACATTTGGATAGATTTGAAGATTTCGTTGGAAACGGGAATATCTTCATATCAAATCTAGACAGAAGCATTCTCAGAAACGTCTTTGTGATGTTTGCATTCAACTCATAGATTTGAACATTCCGTTTCAGAGAGCAGCTTTGAAGCACTCTTTTTGTAGTATGTGCAAGTGGATATTTGGAGAGCTCTGACGCCTACGGTGAAAAAGCAAATATCTTCCCATAACCACTAGACAGAAACATTCTCAGAAACTCCTTTATGACGTATGTACTCAACTAACAGAGAAGAACCTTCCTTTTGACAGAGCAGTTTTGATACACTCTTTTTGTAGAATCTGCAAGTGCATATTTGGATAGCTGTGAAGATTTCGTTGGAAACGGGAATATCTTCCTATAAAATCTAGACAGAAGCATTCTCAGAAACTGCTCTGTGATGTCTGCATTCAAGTCACAGAGTTGAACATTGCCTTTCATAGAGCAGGTTTGAAATGCTGTTTTTGTAGTATATGGAAGTGGACGTTTCGGACGGTTTGAGGCCCATGGTGATAAAGGGAATATCTTCCCCTACAAGCTAGAAAGAAGCATTCTGTGAAACTTGTTTGTGATGTGTGTACTCAACTAACAGAGTTGAACCTTTCTTTTTGCAGAGCAGTTTTGAAACACTCTTTTTGTAGAATCTGCGAGGGGATATTTGGATAGATTTCAGGATTTCGTTGGAAACGGGAATATCTTCATATAAAATCTCGACAGAAGCATTCTCAGAAACTTCCTTGTGATATGTGCATTCAAGTCACAGAGTTGAATATTCCCTTTCACAGAGTAGGTTTGAAACACTCTTTTTGTAGTATCTGGAAGTGGACATTTGGAGCGCCTTGACGCCTACGGTGAAAAGGGAAATATCTTCCCATAAAAACTAGACACAAGCAATCTCAGAATTTTCTTTGGGATATATGCACACAGCTAACAGAGTTGAACTTTTCTATTGACATAGCAGTTTTGAAACAGTCTTTCTGTGGAATATGCAAGTGGATATTTCGATAGCTTGGAGGATTTCGTTGGAAACGGGATTACGTATAAAAAGTAGACAGCAGCATCCTCAGGAAACTTCTTTGTGATGTGTGCATTCAAGTCACAGCAGTTGAACATTCCCTTTCGTACAGCAGTTTTGAAACACTCTTTCTGTAGTATCTGGAAGTGAACATTAGGACAGCTTTCAGCTCTATGGTGAGAAAGGAAATATCTTCAAATAAAAACTAGACAGAAGCATTCTCATAAACTTCTTTGTGATGTGTGAACTCAGCTAACCGAGGTGGATCTTTCTTTTGATAGAGCAGTTCTGAAAAACACTTTTTGTTGAATCTGCAGGTGGACATTTGGATAGATTTGAAGATTTCGTTGGAAACGGGAATAACTTCATTTCAAATCTAGACAGAAGCATTCTCAGAAACGT
Organism: Homo sapiens; assembly: GCF_000001405.40. Classification (NCBI taxonomy): domain Eukaryota; kingdom Metazoa; phylum Chordata; class Mammalia; order Primates; family Hominidae; genus Homo; species Homo sapiens. The sequence continues at coordinate 11,666,452 of NC_000021.9, forward strand.
CTTTGTGATGTTTGCATTCAACTCATAGAGTTGAACATTCCCTTTCAGAGAGCAGCTTTGAAGCACTCTTTTTGTAGTATGTGCAAGTGGATATTTGGATCGCTCTGAGGCCTAAGGTGAAAAAGCAAATATCTTCCCATAACCACTAGACAGAAACATTCTCAGGAACTCCTTTATGATGTATGCACTCACCTAACAGAGAAGAACCTTCCTTTTGACAGAGCAGTTTTGATACACTCTTTTTGTAGAATCTGCAAGTGGATATTTGGATAGCTGTGAAGATTTCGTTGGAAACGGGAATATCTTCCTATAAAATCTAGACAGAAGCATTCTCAGGAACTGCTCTGCGATGTCTGTATTCAAGTCACAGGGTTGAACATTGCCTTTCATAGAGCAGGTTTGAAACGCTCTTTTTGTAGTATATGGAAGTGGACGTTTCGGACGGTTTGAGGCCCATGGTGATAAAGGGAATATCTTCCCCTACAAGCTAGAAAGAAGCATTCTGTGAAACTTGTTTGTGATGTGTACTCAACTAACAGAGTTGAACCTTTCTTTTTACAGAGCAGTTTTGAAACACTCTTTTTGTAGAATCTGCGAGGGGATATTTGGATAGATTTCAGGATTTCGTTGGAAACGGGAATGTCTTCATATAAAATCTCGACAGAAGCATTCTCAGAAACTTCTTTGTGATATCTGCATTCAAGTCACAGAGTTGAATATTCCCTTTCACAGAGTAGGTTTGAAACACTCTTTTTGTAGTATCTGGAAGTGGACATTTGGAGCGCCTTGACGCCTACGGTGAATAGGGAAATATCTTCCCATAAAAACTAGACAGAAGCAATCTCAGAATTTTCTTTGGGATGTATGCACATAGCTAACAGAGTTGAACCTTTCTTTTTACAGAGCAGTTTTGAAACACTCTTTTTGTAGAATCTGCAAGTGGATATTTGGATAGCTTGGAGGATTTCGTTGGAAACGGGATTACGTATAAAAAGTAGACGGCAGCATCCTCAGAAACATCCTTGTGATGTGTGCATTCAAGTCACAGAGTTGAACATTCCCTTTCGTACAGCAGTTTTGAAACACTCTTTCTGTAGTATCTGGAAGTGAACTTTAGGAGAGCTTTCAGGTCTATAGTGAGAAAGGATATATCTTCAAATAAAAACTAGACAGAAGCATTCTCATAATCTTGTTTGTGATGTGTGAACTCAGCTAACAGAGGTGGATCTTTCTTTTGATAGAGCAGTTCTGAAAAACACTTTTTGTTGAATCTGCAAGTGGACATTTGGATAGATTTGAAGATTTCGTTGGAAACGGGAATATCTTCATATCAAATCTAGACAGAAGCATTCTCAGAAACGTCTTTGCGATGTTTGCATTCAACTCATAGAGTTGAACATTCCCTTTCAGAGAGCAGCTTTGAAGCACTCTTTTTGTAGCATGTGCAAGTGGACATTTGGAGCGCCCTGAGGCCTACGGGGAAAAAGCAAATATCTTCCCATAACCACTAGACAGAAACATTCTCAGAAACTGCTTTATGACGTATGCACTCACCTAACAGAGAAGAACCTTCCTTTTGACAGAGCAGTTTTGATACACTCTTTTTGTAGAATCTGCAAGTAGATATTTGGATAGCTGTGAAGATTTCGTTGGAAACGGGAATATCTTCCTATAAAATCTAGACAGAAGCATTCTCAGAAACTGCTCTGTGATGTCTGCATTCAAGTCACAGAGTTGAACATTGCCTTTCATAGAGCAGGTTTGAAACGCTCTTTTTGTAGTATAGGGAAGTGGATGTTTCGGACGGTTTGAGGCCCATGGTGATAAAGGGAATATCTTCCCCTACAAGCTAGAAAGAAGCATTCTGTGAAACTTGTTTGTGATGTATGTACTCAACTAACAGAGTTGAACCTTTCTTTTTACAGAGCAGTTTTGAAACACTCTTTTTGTAGAATCTGCGAGGGGATATTTGGATAGATTTCAGGATTTCGTTGGAAACGGGAATATCTTCATATAAAATCTCGACAGAAGCATTATCAGAAACTTCTTGGTGATATGTGCATTCAAGTCACAGAGTTGAATATTCCCTTTCACAGAGTAGGTTTGAAACACTCTTTTTGTAGTATCTGGAAGTGGACATTTGGAGCGCCTTGACGCCTACGGTGAAAAGGGAAATATCTTCCCATAAAAACTAGACAGAAGCAATCTCAGAATCTTCTTTGGTATATATGCACGCAGCTAATAGAGTTGAACCTTTCTATTGACAGAGCAGTTTTGAAACAGTCTTTCTGTGGAATCTGCAAGTGGATATTTGGATAGCTTGGGGGATTTCTTTGGAAAAGGGATTACGTATAAAAAGTAGACAGCAGCATCCTCAGAAACTTCTTTGTGATGTGTGCATTCAAGTCACAGAGTTGAACATTCCCTTTCGTACAGCAGTTTTGAAACACTCTTTCTGTAGTATCTGGAAGTGAACATGAGGACAGCTTTCAGGTCTATGGTGAGAAAGGAAATATCTTCAAATAAAAACTAGACAGAAGCATTCTCATAAACTTGTTTGTGATGTGTGAACTCAGCTAACAGAGGTGGATCTTTCTTTTGATAGAGCAGTTCTGAAAAACACTTTTTGTTGAATCTGCAAGTGGACATTTCGATAGATTTGAAGATTTCGTTGGAAACGGGAACATCTTCATATCAAATCTAGACAGAAGCATTTTCAGAAACGTCTTTGTGATGTTTGCATTCAACTCATAGAGTTGAACATTCCGTTTCAGAGAGCAGTTTTGAGGCACACTTTTTGTAGTATGTGCAAGTGGATATTTGGAGCGCTCTGAGGCCTACGGTGAAAAAGCAAATATCTTCCCATAACCACTAGACAGAAACATTCTCAGAAACTCCTTTATGACGTATGCACTCACCTAACAGAAAAGAACCTTCCTTTTGATAGAGCAGTTTTGATACACTCTTTTTGTAGAATCTGCAAGTGGATATTTGGATAGCTGTGAAGATTTCGTTGGAAACGGGAATATCTTCCTATAAAATCTAGACAGAAGCATTCTCAGAAACTGCTCTGTGATGTCTGCATTCAAGTCACAGAGTTGAACATTGCCTTTCCTAGAGCAGGTTTGAAACGCTCTTTTTGTAGTATATGGAAGTGGACGTTTCGGACGGTTTGAGGCCCATGGTGATAAAGGGAATATTCTTCCCCTACAAGCTAGAAAGAAGCATTCTTTGAAACTTGTTTGTGATGTGTGTACTCAACTAACAGAGTTGAACCTTTCTTTTTACAGAGCAGTTTTGAAACACTCTTTTTGTAGAATCTGCGAGGGGATATTTTGATACATTTCAGCATTTCGTTGGAAACGGGAATATCTTCATATCAAATCTAGACAGAAGCATTCTCAGAAAGTTCTTTGTGATATCTGCACTCAAGTCACAGAGTTGAATATTCCCTTTCACAGAGTAGGTTTGAAACACTCTTTTTGTAGTATCTGGAAGTGGACATTTGGAGCGCCTTGACACCTACGGTGAAAAGGGAAATATCTTCCGATAAAAACTAGACAGAAGCAATCTCAGAATCTTCTTTGGGATATATGCACGCAGCTAACAGAGTTGAACCTTTCTATTGGCAGAGCAGTTTTGAAACAGTCTTTCTGTGGAATCTGCAAGTGGATATTTGGATAGCTTGGAGGATTTCGTTGGAAACGGGATTACGTATAAAAAGTAGACAGCAGCATCCTCAGAAACTTCTTTGTGATGTGTGCATTCAAGTCACAGAGTTGAACATTCCCTTTTGTACAGCAGTTTTGAAACACTCTTTCTGTAGTATCTGGAAGTGAACATTAAGACAGCTTTCAGGTCTATGGTGAGAAAGGAAATATCTTCAAATAAAAACTAGACAGAAGCATTCTCATAAACTTGTTTGTGATGTGTGAACTCAGCTAACAGAGGTGGATCTTTCTTTTGATAGAGCAGTTCTGAAAAACACTTTTTGTTGAATCTGCAAGTGGACATTTGGATAGATTTGAAGATTTCGTTGGAAACGGGAATATCTTCATATCAAATTTTGACAGAAGCATTCTCAGAAACGTCTTTGTGATGTTTGCATTCAACTCATAGAGTTGAACATTCCGTTTCAGAGAGCAGCTTTGAAGCACTCTTTTTGTAGTATGTGCAAGGGGATATTTGGAGCGCTCTGAGGCCTAAGGTGAAAAAGCAAATATCTTCCCATAACCACTAGACAGAAACATTCTCAGAAACTCCTTTATGACGTATGCACTCACCTAACAGAGAATAACCTTCCTTTTGACAGAGCAGTTTTGATACACTCTTTTTGTAGAATCTGCAAGTGGATATTTGGATAGCTGTGAAGGTTTCGTTGGAAACGGGAATATCTTCCTATAAAATCTAGACAGAAGCATTCTCAGAAACTGCTCTGTGATGTCTGCATTCAAGTCACAGAGTTGAACATTGCCTTTCATAGAGCAGGTTTGAAACGCTCGTTTTGTAGTATATGGAAGTGGACTTTTCGGACGGTTTGAGGCCCATGGTGATAAAGGGAATATCTTCCCCTACAAGCTAGAAAGAAGCATTCTGTGAAACTTGCTTGTGATGTTTGTACTCAACTAACAGAGTTGAACCTTTCTTTTTACAGAGCAGTTTTGAAACACTCTTTTTGTAGAATCTGCGAGGGGATATTTGGATAGATTTCAGGATTTCGTTGGAAACGGGAATATCTTCATATAAAATCTCGACAGAAGCATTCTCAGAAACTTCTTTGTGATATGTGCATTCAAGTCACAGAGTTGAATATTCCCTTTCACAGAGTAGGTTTGAAACACTCTTTTTGTAGTATCTGGAAGTGGACATTTGTAGCGCCTTGACGCCTACGGTGAAAAGGGAAATATCTTCCCATAAAAACTAGACAGAAGCAATCTCAGAATCTTCTTTGGGATATATGCACGCAGCTAACAGAGTTGAACCTTTCTATTGACAGAGCAGTTTTGAAACAGTCTTTCTGTGGAATCTGCAAGTGCATATTTGGATAGCTTGGAGGATTTCGTTGGAAACGGGATTACGTATAAAAATTAGACAGCAGCATCCTCAGAAACTTCTTTGTGCGGTGTGCATTCAAGTCACAGAGTTGAACATTCCCTTTCGTACAGCAGTTTTGAAACACTCTTTCTGTAGTATCTGGAAGTGAACATTAGGACAGCTTTCAGGTCTATGGTGAGAAAGGAAATATCTTAAAATAAAAACTAGACAGAAGCATTCTCATAAACTTGTTTGTGATGTGTGAACTCAGCTAACAGAGGTGGATCTTTCTTTTGATAGAGCAGTTCTGAAAAACACTTTTTGTTGAATCTGCAAGTGGACATTTGGATAGATTTGAAGATTTCGTTGCAAACGGGAATATCTTCATATCAAATCTAGACAGAAGCATTCTCAGAAAAGTCTTTGTGATGTTTGCATTCAACTCACAGAGTTGAACATTCCCTTTCAGAGAGCAGCTTTGAAGCACTCTTTTTGTAGTATGTGCAAGGGGATATTTGGAGCGCTCTGAGGCCTACGGTGAAAAAGCAAATATCTTCCCATAACCACTAGACAGAAACATTCTCAGAAACTCCTTTATGACGTATGCACTCACCTAACAGAGAAGAACCTTTCTTTTGACAGAGCAGTTTTCATACACTCTTTTGGTAGAATCTGCAAGTGGATATTTGGATAGCTGTGAAGATTTCGTTGGAAACGGGAATATCTTCCTATAAAATCTAGACAGAAGCATTCTCAGAAACTGCTCTGTGATGTCTGCATTCAAGTCACAGAGTTGAACATTGCCTTTCATAGAGCAGGTTTGAAATGCTCTTTTTGTAGTATATGGAAGTGGACGTTTCGGACGGTTTGAGGACCACGGTGATAAAGGGAATATCTTCCCCTACAAGCTAGAAAGAACAATTCTGTGAAACTTGTTTGTGATGTGTGTACTCAACTAACAGAGTTGAACCTTTCTTTTTACAGAGCAGTTTTGAAACACTCTTTTTGTAGAATCTGCGAGGGGATATTTGGATACATTTCAGGATTTCGTTGGAAACGGGAATATCTTCATATAAAATCTCGACAGAAGCATTCTCAGCAAACTTCTGTGTGATATCTGCATTCAAGTCACAGGAGTTGAATATTCCCTTTCACCGAGTAGGTTTGAAACACTCTTTTTGTAGTATCTGGAAGTGGACATTTGGAGCGCCTTGACGCCTACGGTGTAAAGGGAAATATCTTCCCATAAAAACTAGACAGAAGCAATCTCAGAATCGTCTTTGGGATATATGCACGCAGCTAACAGAGTTGAACCTTTCTATTGACAGAGCAGTTTTGAAACAGTCTTTCTGTGGAATCTGCAAGTGGATATTTGGATAGCTTGGAGGATTTCGTTGGAAACAGGATTACGTATAAAAAGTAGACAGCCAGCATCCTCAGAAACTTCTTTGTGATGTGTGCATTCAAGTCACAGAGTTGAACATTCCCTTTCGTACAGCAGTTTTGAAACACTCTTCCTGTAGTATCTGGAAGTGAACATTAGGACAGCTTTCAGCTCTATGGTGAGAAAGGAAATATCTTCAAATAAAAACTAGACAGAGCATTCTCATAAACTTCTTTGTGATGTGTGAACTCAGCTAACCGAGGTGGATCTTTCTTTTGATAGAGCAGTTCTGAAAAACACTTTTTGTTGAATCTGCAAGTGGACATTTGGATAGATTTGAAGATTTCGTTGGGAACGGGAATATCTTCATATCAAATCTAGACAGAAGCATTCTCAGAAACGTCTTTGTGATGTTGGCATTCAACTCATAGAGTTGAACATTCCGTTTCAGAGAGCAGTTTTGAAGCACTCTTTTTGTAGTATGTGCAAGGGGATATTTTGAGCGCTCTGAGGCCTAAGGTGAAAAAGCAAATATCTTCCCATAACCACTAGACAGAAACATTCTCAGAAACTCCTTTATGACGTATGCACTCACCTAACAGAAAAGAACCTTCCTTTTGACAGAGCAGTTTTGAAACACTCTTTTTGTAGAATCTGCAAGTGGATATTTGGATAGCTGTGAAGATTTCGTTGGAAACGGGAATATCTTCCTATAAAATCTAGACAGAAGCATTCTCAGAAACTGCTCTGTGATGTCTGCATTCAAGTCACAGAGTTGAACATTGCCTTTCATAGAGCAGGTTTGAAACGCTCTTTTTGTAGTATATGGAAGTAGACGTTTCAGACGGTTTGAGGCCCATGGTGATAAAGGGAATATCTTCCCCTACAAGCTAGAAAGAAGCATTCTGTGAAACTTGTTTGTGATGTGTGTACTCAACTAACAGAGTTGAACCTTTCTTTTCACAGAGCAGTTTTGAAACACTCTTTTTGTAGAATCTGCGAGCGGATATTTGGATAGATTTCAGGATTTCGTTGGAAACGGGAATATCTTCATATAAAATGCTCGACAGAAGAATTCTCAGAAACTTCTTTGTGATATGTGCATTCAAGTCACAGAGTTGAATATTCCCTTTCACAGAGTAGGTTTGAAACACTCTTTTTGTAGTATCTGGAAGTGGACATTTGGAGCGCCTTGACGCCTACGGTGGAAAGGGAAATATCTTCCCATAAAAACTAGACAGAAGCAATCTCAGAATCTTCTTTGGGATATATGCACGCAGCTAACAGAGTTGAACCTTTCTGTTGACAGAGCAGTTTTGAAACAGTCTTTCTGTGGAATCTGCAAGTGGATATTTGGATAGCTTGGAGGATTTCGTTGGAAACGGGATTACGTATAAAAAGTAGACAGCAGCATCCTCAGAAACTTCTTTGTGATGTGTGCATTCAAGTCACAGAGTTGAACATTCCCTTTCGTACAGCAGTTTTGAAACACTTTTTCTGTAGCATCTGGAAGAGAACATTAGGACAGCTTTCAGGTCTAGGGTGAGAAAGGCAATATCTTCAAATAAAAACTAGACAGAAGCATTCTCATAAACTTGTTTGTGATGTGTGAACTCAGCTAACAGAGGTGGATCTTTCTTTTGATACAGCAGTTCTGAAAAACACTTTTCGTTGAATCTGCAAGTGGACATTTGGATAGATTTGAAGATTTCGTTGGAAACGGGAATATCTTCATATCAAATCTAGACAGAAGCATTCTCAGAAACGTCTTTGTGATGTTTGCATTCAACTCATAGAGTTGAACATTCCGTTTCAGAGATCAGCTTTGAAGCACTCTTTTTGTAGTATGTGCAAGTGGATATTTGGATCGCTCTGAGGCCTAAGGTGAAAAAGCAAATATCTTCCCATAACCACTAGACAGAAACATTCTCAGAAACTCCTTTATGACGTATGCACTCACCTAACAGAGAAGAACCTTCCTTTTGACAGAGCAGTTTTGATACACTCTTTTTGTAGAATCTGCAAGTGGATATTTGGATAGCTGTGAAGATTTCGTTGGAAACGGGAATATCTTCCTATAAAATCTAGACTGAAGCATTCTCAGAAACTGCTCTGCGATGTCTGCATTCAAGTCACTGAGTTGAACATTGCCTTTCATAGAGTAGGTTTGAAACGCTCTTTTTGTAGTATATGGAAGTAGACGTTTCGGACGGTTTGAGGCCCATGGTGATAAAGGGAATATCTTCCCCTACAAGCTAGAAAGAAGCATTCTGTGAAACTTGTTTGTGATGTGTGTACTCAACTAACAGAGTTGAACCTTTCTTTTTAAAGAGCAGTTTTGAAACACTCTTTTTGTAGAATCTGCGAGGGGATATTTGGATACATTTCAGGATTTCGTTGGAAACGGGAATATCTTCATATAAAATCTCGACAGAAGCATTCTCAGAAACTTCTTTGTGATATCTGCATTCAAGTCACAGAGTTGAATATTCCCTTTCACAGAGTAGGTTTGAAACACTCTTTTTGTAGTATCTGGAAGTGGACATTTGGAGCGCCTTGACGCCTACGGTGAAAAGGGAAATATCTTCTCATAAAAACTAGACAGAAGCAATCTCAGAATCTTCTTTGGGATATATGCACGCAGCTAACAGAGTTGAACCTTTCTATTGACAGAGCAGTTTTGAAACAGTCTTTCTGTGGAATCTGCAAGTGGATATTTGGATAGATTGGAGGATTTCGTTGGAAACGGGATTACGCATAAAAAGTAGACAGCAGCATCCTCAGAAACTTCTTTGTGATGTGTGCATTCAAGTCACAGAGTTGAACATTCCCTTTCGTACAGCAGTTTTGAAACACTCTTTCTGTAGTATCTGGAAGTGAACATTAAGACAGCTTTCAGCTCTATGGTGAGAAAGGAAATATCTTCAAATAAAAACTAGACAGAAGCATTCTCATAACCTTGTTTGTGATGTGTGAACTCAGCTAACAGAGGTGGATCTTTCTTTTGATAGAGCAGTTCTGAAAAACACTTTTTGTTGAATCTGCAAGTGGATATTTGGATAGATTTGAAGATTTCTTTGGAAACGGGAATATCTTCATATCAAATCTAGACAGAAGCATTCTCAGAAACGTCTTTGTGATGTTTGCATTCAACTCATAGAGTTGAACATTCCCTTTCAGAGAGCAGCTTTGAAGCACTCTTTTTGTAGTATGTGCAAGGGGATATTTTGAGCGCTGTGAGGCCTAAGGTGAAAAAGCAAATATCTTCTCATAACCACTAGACACAAACATTCTCAGAAACTCCTTTATGACGTATGCACTCACCTAACTGAGAAGAACCTTCCTTTTGACAGAGCAGTTTTGATACACTCTTTTTGTAGAATCTGCAAGTGGATATTTGGATAGCTGTGAAGATTTCGTTGAAAACGGGAATATCTTCCTATAAAATCTAGACAGAAGCATTCTCAGAAACTGCTCTGTGATGTCTGCATTCAAGTCACAGAGTTGAACATTGCCTTTCCTAGAGCAGGTTTGAAACGCTCTTTTTGTAGTATATGGAAGTTGACGTTTCGGACGGTTTGAGGCCCATGGTGATAAAGGGAATATCTTCCCCTACAAGCTAGAAAGAAGCATTGTGTGAAACTTGTTTGTGATGTGTGTACTCAACTAACAGAGTTGAACCTTTCTTTTCACAGAGCAGTTTTGAAACACTCTTTTTGTAGAATCTGCAAGGGGATATTTGGATAGATTTCAGGATTTCGTTGGAAACGGGAATATCTTCATATAAAATCTCGACAGAAGCATTCTCAGAAACTTCTTTGGAATATGTGTATTCAAGTCACAGAGTTGAATACTCCCTTTCACAGAGTAGGTTTGAAACACTCTTTTTGTAGTATCTGGAAGTGGACATTTGGAGCGCCTTGACGCCTACAGTGAAAAGGGAAATATCTTCCCATAAAAACTAGACAGAAGCAATCTCAGAATCTTCTTTGGGATATATGCACGCAGCTAACAGAGTTGAACCTTTCTATTGACAGAGCAGTTTTGAAACAGTCTTTCTGTGGAACCTGCAAGTGGATATTTGGATAGCTTGGAGGATTTCGTTGGAAACGGGATTACGTATAAAAAGTAGACAGCAGCATCCTCAGAAACTTCTTTGTGATGTGTGCTTTCAAGTCACAGTGTTGAACATTCCCTTTCGTACAGTAGTTTTGAAACACTCTTTCTGTAGTATCTGGAAGTGAACATTAGGACAGCTTGCAGGTCTATGGTGAGAAGGGAAATATCTTCAAATAAAAACTAGACAGAAGCATTCTCATAAACATGTTTGTGATATGTGAACTCAGCTAACAGAGGCGGATCTTTCTTTTGATAGAGCAGTTCGGAAAAACACTTTTTGTTGAATCTGCAAGTGGACATTTGGATAGATTTGAAGATTTCGTTGGAAACGGGAATATCTTCATATCAAATCTAGACAGAAGTATTCTCAGACACGTCTTTGTGATGTTTGCATTCAACTCATAGAGTTGAACATTCCCTTCCAGAGAGCAGCTTTGAAGCACTCTTTTTGTAGCATGTGCAAGTGGACATTTGGAGTGCCCTGAGGCCTACGGGGAAAAAGCAAATATCTTCCCGTAACCACTAGACAGAAACATTCTCAGAAACTCCTTTATGACGTATGCACTCACCTAACAGAGAAGAACCTTCCTTTTGACAGAGCAGTTTTGATACACTCTTTTTGTACAATCTGCAAGTGGATATTTGGATAGCTGTGAAGATTTCGTTGGAAACGGGAATATCTTCCTATAAAATCTACACAGAAGCATTCTCAGAAACTGCTCTGTGATGTCTGCATTCAAGTCACAGAGTTGAACATTGCCTTTCATAGAGCAGGTTTGAAACGCTCTTTTTGTAGTATATGGAAGTGGACTTATCGGACGGTTTGAGGCCCATGGTGATAAAGGGAATATCTTCCCCTGCAAGCTAGAAAGAAGCATTCTGTGAAACTTGTTTGTGATGTGTGTACTCAACTAACAGAGTTGAACCTTTCTTTTCACAGAGCAGTTTTGAAACACTCTTTTTGTAGAATCTGCGAGGGGAAATTTGGATACATTTCAGGATTTCGTTGGAAACGGGAATATCTTCATACAAAATCTCGACAGAAGCATTCTCAGAAACTTCTTTGTGATATGTGCATTCAAGTCACAGAGTTGAATATTCCCTTTCACAGAGTAGGTTTGAAACACTCTTTTTGTAGCATCTGGAAGTGGACATTTGGAGCGCCTTGACTCCTACGGTGAAAAGGGAAATATCTTCCCATAAAAACTAGACAGAAGCAATCTCAGAATCTTCTTTGGGATATATGCACGCAGCTAACAGAGTTGAACCTTTCTATTGACAGAGCAGTTTTGAAACAGTCTTTCTGTGGAATCTGCAAGTGGATATTTGGATAGCTTGGAGGGTTTCGTTGTAAACGGGATTACGTATAAAAAGTAGACAGCAGCATCCTCAGAAACTTCTTTGTGATGTGTGCATTCAAGTCACAGAGTTGAACATTCCCTTTCGTACAGCAGTTTGAAACACTTTCTGTAGTATCTGGAAGTGAACATTAGGACAGCTTTCAGGTCTATGGTGAGAAAGGAAATATCTTCAAATAAAAACTAGACAGAAGCATTCTCATAAACTTGTTTCTGATGTGTGAACTAAGCTAACAGAGGTGGATCTTTCTTTTGATAGAGCAGTTCTGAAAAACACTTTTTGTTGAATCTGCAAGTGGATATTTGGATAGATTTGAAGATTTCGTTGGAAACGGGAATATCTTCATATCAAATCTAGACAGAAGCATTCTCAGAAAAGTCTTTGTGATGTTTGCATTCAACTCATAGAGTTGAACATTCCCTTTCAGAGAGCAGCTTTGAAGCACTCTTTTTGTAGTATGTGCAAGTGGATATTTGGAGCGCTCTGAGGCCTATGGTGAAAAAGCAAATATCTTCCCATAACCACTAGACAGAAACATTCTCAGAAACTCCTTTATGACATATGCACTCACCTAACAGAGAAGAACCTTCCTTTTGACAGAGCAGTTTTGATACACTCTTTTTGTAGAATCTGCAAGTGGATATTTGGATAGCTGTGAAGATTTCGTTGGAAACGGGAATATCTTCCTATAAAATCTAGACAGAAGCATTCTCAGAAACTGCTCTGTGATGTCTGCATTCAAGTCACAGAGTTGAACATTGCCTTTCATAGAGCAGGTTGTAAATGCTCTTTTTGTAGTATATGGAAGTGGACATTTCGGACGGTTTGAGGCCCATGGTGATAAAGGGAATATCTTCCCCTACAAGCTAGAAAGAAGCATTCTGTGAAACTTGTTTGTGATGTGTGTACTCAACTAACAGAGTTGAACCTTTCTTTTCACAGAGCAGTTTTGAAACACTCTTTTTGTAGAATCTGCGAGGGGATATTTGGATAGATTTCAGGATTTCGTTGGAAACGGGAAAATATCTTCATATAAAATCTCGACAGAGAAGCATTCTCAGAAACTTCTTTGTGATATCTGCATTCAAGTCACAGAGTTGAATATTCCCTTTCACAGAGTAGGTTTGAAACACTCTTTTTGTAATATCTGGAAGTGGACATTTGGAGCGCCTTGACGTCTACGGTGAAAAGGGAAATATCTTCCCATAAAAACTAGACAGAAGCAATCTCAGAATCTTCTTTGGGATATATGCAGGCAGCTAACAGAGTTGAACCTTTCTATTGACAGAGCAGTTTTGAAACAGTCTTTCTGTGGAATCTGCAAGTGGATATTTGGATAGATTGGAGGATTTCGCTGGAAACGGGATTACGTATAAAAAGTAGACAGCAACATCCTCAGAAACTTCTTTGTGATGTGTGCATTCAACTCACAGAGTTGAACATTCCCTTTCGTACAGCAGTTTTGAAACACTCTTTCTGTAGTATCTGGAAGTGAACATTAGGACAGCTTTCAGCTCTATGGTGAGAAAGGAAATATCTTCAAATAAAAACTAGACAGATAAGCATTCTCATAAACTTGTTTGTGATGTGTGAACTCAGCTAACAGAGGTGGATCTTTCTTTTGATAGAGCAGTTCGGAAAAACACTTTTTGTTGAATCTCCAAGTGGACATTTGGATAGATTTGAAGATTTCGTTGGAAACGGGAATATCTTTATATCAAATCTAGACAGAAGCATTCTCGGAAACGTCTTTGTCATGTTTGCATTCACCTCATAGAGTTGAACATTCCGTTTAAGAGAGCAGCTTTGAAGCACTCTTTTTGTAGTATGTGCAAGGGGATATTTGGAGCGCTCTGAGGCCTAAGGTGAAAAAGCAAATATCTTCCCATAACCACTAGACAGAAACATTCTCAGAAACTCCTTTATGACGTATGTACTCACCTAACAGAGAAGAACCTTCCTTTTGACAGAGCAGTTTTGATACACTCTTTTTGTAGAATCTGCAAGTGGATATTTGGATAGCTGTGAAGATTTCGTTGGAAACGGGAATATCTTCCTATAAAATGTAGACAGACAAGCATTCTCAGAAACTGCTCTGTGATGTCTGCATTCAAGTCACAGAGTTGAACATTGCCTTTCATAGAGCAGGTTTGAAACTCTCTTTTTGTAGTATATGGAAGTAGACGTTTCGGACGGTTTGAGGCCCATGGTGATAAAGGGAATATCTTCCCCTACAAGCTAGAAAGAAGCATTGTGTGAAACTTGTTTGTGATGTGTGTACTCAACTAACAGAGTTGAACCTTTCTTTTTACAGAGCAGTTTTGAAACACTCTTTTTGTAGAATCTGCGAGGGGATATTTGGATACATTTCAGCATTTCGTTGGAAACGGGAATATATTCATATAAAATCTCGACAGAAGCATTCTCAGAAACTTCTTTGTGATATGTGCATTCAAGTCACAGAGCTGAATATTCCCTTTCACAGAGTAGGTTTGAAACACTCTTTTTGTAGTATCTGGAAGTGGACATTTGGAGCGCCTTGACACCTACGGTGAAAAGGGAAATATCTTCCCATAAAAACTAGACAGAAGCAATCTCAGAATCTTCTTTGGGATATATGCACGCAGCTAACAGAGTTGAACCTTTCTATTGACAGAGCAGTTTTGAAACAGTCTTTCTGTGGATTCTGCAAGTGGATATTTGGATAGGTTGGAGGATTTCGTTGGAAACGGGATTACGTATAAAAAGTAGACAGCAGCATCCTCAGAAACTTCTTTGTGATGTGTGCATTCAAGTCACAGAGTTCAACATTCCCTTTCGTACAGCAGTTTTGAAACACTCTTTCTGTAGTATCTGGAAGTGAACATTAGGACAGCTTTCAGGTCTATGGTGAGAAAGGAAATATTCTTCAAATAAAAACTAGACAGAAGCATTCTCATAAACTTGTTTGTGATGTGTGAACTCAGCTAACAGAGGTGGATCTTTCTTTTGATAGAGCAGTTCTGAAAAACACTTTCTGTTGAATCTGCAAGTGGACATTTGGATAGATTTGAAGATTTCGTTGGAAACGGGAAGATCTTCATATCAAATCTAGACAGAAAGCATTCTCAGAAACGTCTTTGTGATGTTTGCATTCAACTCATAGAGTTGAACATTCCCTTTCAGAGAGCAGCTTTGAAGCACTCTTTTTGTAGTATGTGCAAGTGGATATTTGGAGCGCTCTGAGGCCTACGGTGAAAAAGCAAATATCTTCCCATAACCACTAGACAGAAACATTCTCAGAAACTCCTTTATGACGTATGCACTCACCTAACAGAAAAGAACCTTCCTTTTGACAGAGCAGTTTTGATACACTCTTTTTGTAGAATCTGCAAGTGGATATTTGGATAGCTGTGAAGATTTCGTTGGAAACGGGAATATCTTCCTATAAAATTTAGACAGAAGCATTCTCAGAAACTGCTCTGTGATGTCTGCATTCAAGTCACAGAGTTGAACATTGCCTTTCATAGAGCACGTTTGAAACGCTCTTTTTGTAGTATATGGAAGTAGACTTTTCGGACGGTTTGAGGCCCATAGTGATAAAGGGAATATCTTCCCCTACAAGATAGAAAGAAGCACTCTGTGAAACTTGTTTGTGATGTGTGTATTCAACTAACAGAGTTGAACCTTTCTTTTTACAGAGCAGTTTTGAAACACTCTTTTTGTAGAATCTGCAAGGGGATATTTGGATAGATTTCAGGATTTCGTTGGAAACGGGAATATCTTCATATAAAATCTCGACAGAAGCATTCTCAGAAACTTCTTTGTAATATGTGCATTCAAGTCACAGAGTTGAATATTCCCTTTCACAGAGTAGGTTTGAAACACTCTTTTTGTAGTATCTGGAAGTGGACATTTGGAGCGCCTTGACACCTATGGTGAAAAGGGAAATATCTTCCCATAAAAAGTAGACAGAAGGAATCTCAGAATCTTCTTTGGGATATATGCACGCAGCTAACAGAGTTGAACCTTTCTATTGACAGAGCAGTTTTGAAACAGTCTTTCTGTGGAATCTGCAAGTGGATATTTGGATAGCTTGGAGGATTTCGTTGGAAACGGGATTACGTATCAAAAGTAGACAGCAGCATCCTCAGAAACTTCTTTGTGATGTGTGCATTCAAGTCACAGACTTGAACATTCCCTTTCGTACAGCAGTTTTGAAACACTCTTTCTGTAGTATCTGGAAGTGAACATTAGGACAGCTTTCAGCTCTATGGTGAGAAAGGAAATATCTTCAAATAAAAACTAGACAGAAGCATTCTCATAAACTTGTTTGTGATGTGTGAACTCAGCTAACAGAAGTGGATCTTTCTTTTGATAGAGCAGTTCTGAAAAACACTTTTTGTTGAATCTGCAAGTGGACATTTGGATAGATTTGAAGATTTCCTTGGAAACGGGAATATCTTCATATCAAATCTAGACAGAAGCATTCTCAGAAACGTCTTTGTGATGTTTGCATTCAACTCATAGAGTTGAACATTCCCTTTAAGAGAGCAGCTTTGAAGCACTCTTTTTGTAGCATGTGCAAGTGGACATTTGGAGCGCCCTGAGGCCTACGGGGAAAAAGAAAATATCTTCCCATAACCACTAGACAGAAACATTCTCAGAAACTGCTTTATGACGTATGCACTCACCTAACAGAGAAGAACCTTCCTTTTGACAGAGCAGTTTTGATACACTCTTTTTGTAGAATCTGCAAGTGGATATTTGGATAGCTGTGAAGATTTCGTTGGAAACGGGAATATCTTCTTATAAAATCTAGACAGAAGCATTCTCAGAAACAGCTCTGTGATGTCTACATTCAAGTCACAGAGTTGAACATTGCCTTTCATAGAGCAGGTTTGAAACGCTCTTTTTGTAGTATATGGAAGTGGACGTTTCGGACGGTTTGAGACCCATGGTGATAAAGGGAATATCTTCCCCTACAAGCTAGAAAGAAGCATTCTGTGAAACTTGTTTGTGATGTGTGTACTCAACTAACAGAGTTGAACCTTTCTTTTTACAGAGCAGTTTTGAAACACTCTTTTTGTAGAATCTGCGAGGGGATATTTGGATAGATTTCAGCATTTCGTTGGAAACGGGAATATCTTCATATAAAATCTCGACAGAAGCATTCTCAGAAACTTCTTTGTCATATCTGCCTTCAAGTGACAGAGTTGAATATTCCCTTTCACAGAGTAGGTTTGAAACACTCTTTTTGTAGTATCTGGAAGTGGACATTTGGAGTGCCTTGACGCCTACGGTGAAAAGGGAAATATCTTCCCATAAAAACTAGACAGAAGCAATCTCAGAATCTTCTTTGGGATATATGTACGCAGCTAATAGAGTTGAACCTTTCTATTGACAGAGCAGTTTTGAAACAGTCTTTCTGTGGAATCTGCAAGGGGATATTTGGATAGCTTGGAGGATTTCGTTGGAAACGGGATTACGTATAAAAAGTAGACAGCAGCATCCTCAGAAACATCCTTGTGATGTGTGCATTCAAGTCACAGAGTTGAACATTCCCTTTCGTACAGCAGTTTTGAAACACTCTTTCTGTAGTATCTGGAAGTGAACATTAGGACAGCTTTCAGGTCTATGGTGAGAAAGGAAATATCTTCAAATAAAAACTAGACAGAAGCATTCTCATAAACTTGTTTGTGATGTGTGAACTCAGCTAACAGAGGTAGATCTTTCTTTTGATAGAGCAGTTCTGAAAAACACTTTTTGTTGAATCTGCAAGTGGACATTTGGATAGATTTGAAGATTTCGTTGGAAACGGGAATATCTTCATATCAAATCTAGACAGAAGCATTCTCAGAAACGTCTTTGCGATGTTTGCATTCAACTCATAGAGTTGAACATTCCCTTTGAGAGAGCAGCTTTGAAGCACTCTTTTTGTAGCATGTGCAAGTGGACATTTGGAGCGCCCTGAGGCCGACGGGGAAAAAGCAAATATCTTCCCATAACCACTAGACAGAAACATTCTCAGAAAATCCTTTATGACCGTATGCACTCACCTAACAGAGAAGAACCTTCCTTTTGACAGAGCAGTTTTGATACACTCTTTTTGTAGAATCTGCAAGTGGATATTTGGATAGCTGTGAAGATTTCGTTTGAAACGGGAATATCTTCCTATAAGATCTAGACAGAAGCATTCTCAGAAACTGCTCTGTGATGTCTGCATTCAAGTCACAGAGTTGAACATTACCTTTCCTAGAGCAGGTTTGAAACGCTCTTTTTGTAGTATATGGAAGTGGACGTTTCGGACGGTTTGAGGACCATGGTGATAAAGGGAATATCTTCCCCTACAAGCTAGAAAGAAGCATTCTGTGAAACTTGTTTGTGATGTGTGTACTCAACTAACAGAGTTGAACCTTTCTTTTTACAGAGCAGTTTTGAAACCCTCTTTTTGTAGAATCTGCGAGGGGATATTTGGATACATTTCAGCATTTCGTTGGAAACGGGAATATCTTCATATAAAATCTCGACAGAAGCATTCTCAGAAACTTCTTGTGATATCTGCATTCAAGTCACAGAGTTGAATATTCCCTTTCACAGAGTAGGTTTGAAACACTCTTTTTGTAGTATCTGGAAGTGGACATTTGGAGCGCCTTGACCCCTACGATGAAAAGGGAAATATCTTCCCATAAAAACTAGACAGAAGCAATCTCAGAATCTTCTTTGGGATACATGCACGCAGCTAACAGAGTTGAACCTTTCTATTGACAGAGTAGTTTTGAAACAGTCTTTCTGTGGAATCTGCAAGTGGATATTTGGATAGCTTGGAGGATTTCGTTGGAAACGGGATTATGTATAAAAAGTAGACAGCAGCATCCTCAGAAACTTCTTTGTGATGTGTGCATTCAAGTCACAGAGTTGAACATTCCCTTTCGTACAACAGTTTTGAAACACTCTTTCTGTAGCATCTGGAAGTGAACATTAGGACAGCTTTCAGGTCTATGGTGAGAAAGGAAATATCTTCAAATAAAAACTAGACAGAAGCATTCTCATAAACTTGTTTGTGATGTGTGAACTCAGCTAACAGAGGTGGATCTTTCTTTTGATACAGCAGTTTTGAAAAACACTTTTTGTTGAATCCGCAAGTGGACATTTGGATAGATTTGAAGATTTCATTGGAAACGGGAATATCTTCATATCAAATCTAGACAGAAGCATTCTCAGAAACGTCTTTGTCCTGTTTGCATTCAACTCATAGAGTTGAACATTCCCTTTCAGAAAGCAGCTTTGAAACACTCTTTTTGTAGTATGTGCAAGTGGATATTTGGAGCGCTCTGAGGCCTACGGTGAAAAAGAAAATATCTTCCCATAACCACTAGACAGAAACATTCTCAGAAACTCCTTTATGACGTATGCACTCACCTAACAGAGAAGAACCTTCCTTTTGACAGAGCAGTTTTGATACACTCTTTTTGTAGAATCTGCAAGTGGATATTTGGATAGCTGTGAAGATTCCGTTGGAAACGGGAATATCTTCCTATAAAATCTAGACAGAAGCATTCTCAGAAACTGCTCTGTGATGTCTGTATTCAAGTCACAGAGTTGAACATTGCCTTTCATAGAGCAGGTTTGAAACGCTTTTTTGTAGTATATGGAAGTGGATGTTTCGGACGGTTGGAGGCCCATGGTGATAAAGGGAATATCTTCCCCTACAAGCTAGAAAGAAGCATTCTGTGAAACTTGTTTGTGATGCGTGTACTCAACTAACAGAGTTGAACCTTTCTTTTTACAGAGCAGTTTTGAAACACTCTTTTTGTAGAATCTGCGAGGGGATATTTGGATAGATTTCAGGATTTCGTTGGAAACGGGAATATCTTCATATAAAATCTCGACAGAAGCATTCTCAGAAACTTCTTTGTGATATCTGCATTCAAGTCACAGAGTTGAATATTCCCTTTCACAGAGTAGGTTTGAAACACTCTTTTTGTAGTATCTGGAAGTTGACATTTGGTGCGCCTTGACGCCTACGGTGAAAAGGGAAATATCTTCTCATAAAAAGTAGACAGAAGCAATCTCAGAATCTTCTTTGGGATATATGCACGCAGCTAACAGAGTTGAACCTTTCTATTGACAGAGCACTTTTGAAACAGTCTTTCTGTGGAATCTGCAAGTGGATATTTGGATAGCTTGGAGGATTTCGTTGGAAACGGGATTACGTATAAAAAGTAGACAGCAGCATCCTCAGAAACTTCTTTGTGATGTGTGCATTCAAGTCACAGAGTTGAACATTCCCTTTCGTATAGCAGTTTTGAAACACTCTTTCTGTAGTATCTGGAAGTGAACATTAGGACAGCTTTCAGGTCTATGGTGAGAAAGGAAATATCTTCAAATAAAAACTAGACAGAAGCATTCTCATAAACTTGTTTGTGATGTGTGAACTCAGCTAACGAACGTGGATCTTTCTTTTGATAGAGCAGTTCTGAAAAACACTTTTTGTTGAATCTGCAAGTGGACATTTGGATAGATTTGAAGATTTCGTTGGAAACGGGAATATCTTCATATCAAATCTAGACAGAAGCTTTCTCAGAAACGTCTTTGTGATGTTTGCATTCAACTCATAGAGTTGAACATTCCGTTTCAGAGAGCAGCTTTGAGGCACTCTTTTTGTAGTATGTGCAAGTGGATATTTGGAGCACTCTGAGGCCTACGGTGAAAAAGCAAATATCTTCCCATAACCACTAGACAGAAACATTCTCAGAAACTCCTTTATGACGTATGCACTCACCTAACAGAGAAGAACCTTCCTTTTGACAGAGCAGTTTTGATACACTCTTTTTGTAGAATCTGCAAGTGGATATTTGGATAGCTGTGAAGATTTCGTTGGAAACGGGAATATCTTGCCTATAAAATCTAGACAGAAGCATTCTCAGAAACTGCTATCTGATGTCTGCATTCAAGTCACAGAGTTGAACATTGCCTTTCCTAGAGCAGGTTTGAAACGCTCTTTTTGTAGTATATGGAAGTGGACGTTTCGGACGGTTTGAGGCCCATGGTGATAAAGGGAATATCTTCCCCTACAAGCTAGAAAGAAGCATTCTGTGAAACTTGTTTGTGATGTGTGTACTCAACTAACAGAGTTGAACCTTTCTTTTCACAGAGCAGTTTTGAAACACTCTTTTTGTAGAATCTGCGAGGGGATATTTGGATAGATTTCAGGATTTCGTTGGAAACGTGAATATCTTCATATAAAATCTCGACAGAAGCATTCTCAGAAACTTCTTTGTGATATGTGCATTCAAGTCACAGAGTTGAATATTCCCTTTCACAGAGTAGGTTTGAAACACTCTTTTTGTAGTATCTGGAAGTGGACATTTGGAGCGCCTTGACACCTACGGTGAAAAGGGAAATATCTTCCCATCAAAACTAGACAGAAGCAATCTCAGAATCTTCTTTGGGATATATGCACGCAGCTACCAGAGTTGAACCTTTCTATTGACAGAGCAGTTTTGAAACAGTCTTTCTGTGGAATCTGCAAGTGGATATTTGGATAGCTTGGAGGATTTCGTTGGAAACGGGATTACGTATAAAAAGTAGACAGCAGCATCCTCAGAAACTTCTTTGTGATGTGTGCATCCAAGTCACAGAGTTGAACATTCCCTTTCGTACAGCAGTTTTGAAACACTCTTTCTGTAGTATCTGGAAGTGAACATTAGGACAGCTTTCAGCTCTATGGTGAGAAAGGAAATATCTTCAAATAAAAACTAGACAGAAGCATTCTGATAAACTTGTTTGTGAAGTGTGATCTCAGCTAACAGAGGTGGATCTTTCTTTTGATAGAGCAGTTCTGAAAAACACTTTGTATGAATCTGCAAGTGGACATTTGGATAGATTTCAAGATTTCGTTGGAAACGGGAATATCTTCATATCAAATCTAGACAGAAGCATTCTCAGAAACGTCTTTGTGATGTTTGCATTCAACTCATAGAGTTGAACATTCCCTTTCAGAGAGCAGCTTTGAAGCACTCTTTTTGTAGTATGTGCAAGTGCATATTTGGAGCGCTCTGAGGCCTACGGTGAAAAAGCAAATATCTTCCCATAACCACTAGACAGAAACATTCTCAGAAACTCCTTTATGATGTATGCACTCACCTAACAGAGAAGAACCTTCCTTTTGACAGAGCAGTTTTGATACACTCTTTTTGTAGAATCTGCAAGTGGATATTTGGATAGCTGTGAAGATTTCGTTGGAAACGGGAATATCTTCATATAAAATCTAGACAGAAGCATTCTCAGAAACTGCTCTGTGAAGTCTGCATTCAAGTCACAGAGTTGAACATTGCCTTTCATAGAGCAGGTTTGAAACGCTCTTTTTGTAGTATATGGAAGTGGACGTTTCGGACGGTTTGAGGCCCATGGTGATAAAGGGAATATCTTCCCCTACAAGCTAGAAAGAAGCATTCTGTGAAACTTGTTTGTGATGTGTGTCCTCAACTAACAGAGTTGAACCTTTCTTTTTACAGAGCAGTTTTGAAACACTCTTTTTGTAGAATCTGCGAGGAGATATTTGGATAGATTTCAGGATTTTGTTGGAAACGGGAATATCTTCATATAAAATCGCGACAGAGGCATTCTCAGAAACTTCATTGTGATATCTGCATTCAAGTCACAGAGTTGAATATTCCCTTTCACAGAGTAGGTTTGAAACACTCTTTTTGTAGTATCTGTAAGTGGACATTTGGAGTGCCTTGACACCTACGGTGAAAAGGGAAATATCTTCCCCTAAAAACTAGACAGAAGCAATCTCAGAATCTTCTTTGGGATATATGCATGCAGCTAACAGAGTTGAACCTTTCTATTGACAGAGCAGTTTTGAAACAGTCTTTCTGTGGAATCTGCAAGTGGATATTTGGATAGCTTGGAGGATTTCATTGGAAACGGGATTACGTATAAAAAGTAGACAGCAGCATCCTCAGAAACTTCTTTGTGATGTGTGCATTCAAGTCACAGAGTTGAACATTCCCTTTCGTACAGCAGTTTTGAAACACTCTTTCTGTAGTATCTGGAAGTGAACATTAGGACAGCTTTCAGGTCTATGGTGAGGAAGGAAATATCTTCAAATAAAAACTAGACAGAAGCATTCTCATAAACTTGTTTTGATGTGTGAACTCAGCTAACAGAGGTGGATCTTTCTTTTGATACAACACTTTTGAAAAACACTTTTTGTTGAATCTGCAAGTGGACATTTGGATAGATTTGAAGATTTCTTTGGAAACGGGAATATCTTCATATCAAATCTAGACAGAAGCATTCTCAGAAACGTCTTTGTGATGCTTGCATTCAACTCATAGAGTTGAACATTCCCTTTCAGAGAGCAGCTTTGAAGCACTCTTTTTGTAGTATGTGCAAGTGGAGATTTGGAGCGCTTTGAGGCCTACGGGGAAAAAGCAAATATCTTCCCATAACCACTAGACAGAAACATTCTCAGAAACTCCTTTATGACGTATGCACTCACCTAACAGAAAAGAACCTTCCTTTTGACAGAGCAGTTTTGATACACGCTTTTTGTAGAATCTGCAAGTGGATATTTGTATAGCTGTGAAGATTTCGTTGGAAACGGGAATATCTTCCTATAAAATCTAGACAGAAGCATTCTCAGAAACTGCTCTGTGATGTCTGCATTCAAGTCACACAGTTGAACATTGCCTTTCATAGAGCAGGTTTGAAACGCTCTTTTTGTAGTATATGGAAGTAGACGTTTCGGACGGTTTGAGGCCCATGGTGATAAAGGGAATATCTTCCCCTACAAGCTAGAAAGAAGCATTCTGTGAATCTTGTTTGTGATGTGTGTACTCAACTAACAGAGTTGAACCTTTCTTTTTATAGAGCAGTTTTGAAACACTCTTTTTGTAGAATCTTCGAGGGGATATTTGGATAGATTTCAGGATTTCGTTGGAAACGGGAATATCTTCATATAAAATCTCGACAGAAGCATTCTCAGAAACTTCTTTGTGATATCTGCATTCAAGTCACAGAGTTGAATATTCCCTTTCACAGAGTAGGTTTGAAACACTCTTTTTGAAGTATCTGGAAGTGTACATTTGGAACGCCTTGACGCCTACGGTGAAAAGGAAAATATCTTCCCATAAAAACTAGACAGAAGCAATCTCAGAATCTTCTTTGGGATATATGCACGCAGCTAACAGAGTTGAACCTTTCTATTGACAGAGCTGTTTTGAAACAGTCTTTCTGTGGAATCTGCAAGTGGATATTTGGATAGCTTGGAGGATTTCGTTGGAAACGGGATTACGTATAAAAAGTAGACAGCAGCATCCTCAGAAACTTCTTTGTGATGTGTGCATTCAAGTCACAGAGTTGAACATTCCCTTTCGTACAGCAGTTTTGAAACACTCTTTCTGTAGTATCTGGAAGTGAACATTAGGACAGCTTTCAGGTCTATTTTGAGAAAGGAAATATCTTCAAATAAAAACTAGACAGAAGCATTCTCATAAACTTGTTTGTGATGTGTGAACCCAGCTAACAGAGGTGGATCTTTCTTTTGATAGAGCAGTTCTGAAAAACACTTTTTGTTGAATCTGCAAGTGGACATTTGGATAGATTTGATGATTTCGTTGGAAACGGGAATATCTTCATATCAAATCTAGACAGAAGGATTCTCAGAAACGTCTTTGTGATGTTTGCATTCAACTCATAGAGTTGAACATTCCGTTTCAGAGAGCAGCTTTGAAGCACTCTTTTTGTAGTATGTGCAAGTGGATATTTGGAGCGCTCTGAGGCCTAAGGTGAAAAAGCAAATATCTTCCCATAACCACTAGACAGAAACATTCTCAGAAACTCCTTTATGACGTATGTACTCATCTAACAGAGAAGAACCTTCCTTTTGACAGAGCAGTTTTGATACACTCTTTTTGTAGAATCTGCAAGTGGATATTTGGATAGCTGTGAAGATTTCGTTGGAAACGGGAATATCTTCCTATAAAATCTAGACAGAAGCATTCTCAGAAACTGCTCTGTGATGTCTGCATTCAAGTCACAGAGTTGAACATTGCCTTTCCTAGAGCAGTTTAGAAACGCTCTTTTTGTAGTATATGGAAGTGGACGTTTCGGACGGTTTGAGGCCCATGGTGATAAAGGGAATATCTTCCCCTACAAGCTAGAAAGAAGCATTCTGTGAAACTTGTTTGTGATGTGTGTACTCAACTAATAGAGTTGAAACTTTCTTTTTACAGAGCAGTTTTGAAACACTCTTTTTGTAGAATCTGCGAGGGGATATTTGGATAGATTTCTGGATTTCGTTGGAAAGGGGAATATCATCATATAAAATCTCGACAGAAGCATTCTCAGAAACTTCTTTGTGATATGTGCATTCAAGTCACAGAGTTGAATATTCCCTTTCACAGAGTAGGTTTGAAACACTCTTTTTGTAGTATCTGGAAGTGGACATTTGGAGCGCCTTGACGCCTACGGTGAAAAGGGAAAGATCTTCCCATAAAAACTAGACAGAAGCAATCTCAGAATCTTCTTTGGGATATATGCACGCAGCTAACAGAGTTGAACCTTTCTATTGACAGAGCAGTTTTGAAACAGTCTTTCTGTGGAATCTGGAAGTGGATATATGGATAGCTTGGAGGATTTCGTTGGAAACGGGATTACGTATAAAAAGTAGACAGCAGCATCCTCAGAAACTTCTTTGTGATGTGTGCATTCAAGTCACAGAGTTGAACATTCCCTTTCGTACAGCAGTTTTGAAACACTCTTTCTGTAGTATCTGGAAGTGAACATTAGGACAGCTTTCAGGTCTATGGTGAGAAAGGAAATATCTTTAAATAAAAACTAGACAGAAGCATTCTCATAAACTTGTTTGTGATGTGTGAACTCAGCTAACAGAGGTGGATCTTTCTTTTGATACAGCAGTTTTGAAAAACACTTTTTGTTGAATTTGCAAGTGGACATTTGGATAGATATGAAGATTTCGTTGGAAACGGGAATATCTTCATATCAAATCTAGACAGAAGCATTCTCAGAAACGTCTTTGTCATGTTTGCATTCAACTCATAGAGTTGAACATTCCCTTTCAGAGAGCTGCTTTGAAACACTCTTTTTGAAGTATGTGCAAGTGGATATTTGGAGCGCTCTGAGGCCTACGGTGAAAAAGCAAATATCTTCCCATAACCACTAGACAGAAACATTCTCAGGAACTCCTTTATGACGTATGCACTCACCTAACAGAGAAGAACCTTCCTTTTGACAGAGCAGTTTTGATACACTCTTTTTGTAGAATCTGCAAGTGGATATTTGGATAGCTGTGAAGATTTCGTTGGAAACGGGAATATCTTCCTATAAAATCTAGACAGAAGCATTCTCAGAAACTGCTCTGTGATGTCTGCATTCAAGTCACAGAGTTGAACATTGCCTTTCATAGAGCAGGTTTGAAACGCTCTTTTTGTAGTATATGGAAGTGGACGTTTCGGACGGTTTGAGGCCCATGGTGATAAAGGGAATATCTTCCCCTACAAGGTAGAAAGAAGCATTCTGTGAAACTTGTTTGTGATGTGTGTACTCAACTAACAGAGTTGAACCTTTCTTTTTACAGAGCAGTTTGGAAACACTCTTTTTGTAGAATCTGCGAGGGGATATTTGGATAGATTTCAGGATTTCGTTGGAAACGGGAATATCTTCATAAAAAATCTCGACAGAAGCACTCTCAGAAGCTTCTTTGTGATATGTGCATTCAAGTCACAGAGTTGAATATTCCCTTTCACAGAGTAGGTTTGAAACACTCTTTTTCTAGTATCTGGAAGTGGACATTTGGAGCGCCTTGACACCTACGGTGAAAAGGGAAATATCTTCCCCTAAAAACTAGACAGAAGCAATCTCAGAATTTTCTTTGGGATATATGCACACAGCTAACAGAGTTGAACTTTTCTATTGACAGAGCAGTTTTGAAACAGTCTTTCTGTGGAATCTGCAAGTGGATATTTGGATAGCTTGGAGGATTTCGTTGGAAACGGGATTATGTATAAAAAGTAGACAGCAGCATCCTCAGAAACTTCTTTGTGATGTATGCATTCAAGTCCCAGAGTTGAACATTCCCTTTCGTACAGCAGTTTTGAAACACTCTTTCTGTAGTATCTGGAAGTGAACATTAGGACAGATTTCAGGTCTATGGTGAGAAAGGAAATATCTTCAAATAAAAACTAGACAGAAGCATTCTCATAAACTTGTTTGTGATGTGTGAACTCAGCTAAAAGAGGTGGATCTTTCTTTTGATAGAGCAGTTCTGAAAAACACTTTTTGTTGAATCTGCAAGTGGACATTTGGATGGATTTGAAGATTTCTTTGGAAACGGGAATATCTTCATATCAAATCTAGACAGAAGCATTCTCAGAAACGTCTTTGTGATGTTTGCATTCAACTCATAGAGTTGAACATTCCCTTTCAGAGAGCAGCTTTGAAGCACTCTTTTTGTAGTATGTGCAAGGGGATATTTGGAGCTCTCTGAGGCCTAAGGTGAAAAAGCAAATATCTTCCCATAACCACTAGACAGAAACATTCTCAGAAACTCCTTTATGACGTATGCACTCACCTAACAGAGAAGAACCTTCCTTTTGACAGAGCAGTTTTGATACACTCTTTTTGGAGAATCTGCAAGTGGATATTTGGATAGCTGTGAAGATTTCGTTGGAAACGGGAATATCTTCCTATAAAATCTAGACAGAAGCATTCTCAGAAACTGCTCTGTGATGTCTGCATTCAAGTCACAGAGTTGAACATTGCCTTTCATAGAGCAGGTTTGAAATGCTCTTTTTGTAGTATATGGAAGTGGATGTTTCGGACGGTTTGAGGCCCATCGTGATAAAGGGAATATCTTCCCCTACAAGCTAGAAAGAAGCATTCTGTGAAACTTGTTTGTGATGTGTGTACTCAACTAACAGAGTTGAACCTTTCTTTTTACAGAGCAGTTTTGAAACACTCTTTTTGTAGAATCTGCGAGGGGATATTTGGATACATTTCAGCATTTCGTTGGAAACGAGAATATCTTCATATAAAATCTCGACAGAAGCATTCTCAGAAACTTCTTTGTGATATGTGCATTCAAGTCACATAGTTGAATATTCCCTTTCACAGAGTAGGTTTGAAACACTCTTTTTGTAGTATCTGGAAGTGGACATTTGGAGCGCCTTGACACCTACGGTGAAAAGGGAAGTATCTTCCCATCAAAACTAGACAGAAGCAATCTCAGAATTTTCTTTGGGATATATGCACACAGCTAACAGAGTTGAACTTTTCTATTGACATAGCAGTTTTGAAACAGTCTTTCTGTGGAATCTGCAAGTGGATATTTGGATAGCTTGGAGGATTTCGTTGGAAACGGGATTACGTATAAAAATTAGACAGCAGCATCCTCAGAAACTTCTTTGTGATGTGTGCATTCAAGTCACAGAGTTGAACATTCCCTTTCGTACAGCAGTTTTGAAACACTCTTTCTGTAGTAACTGGAAGTGAACATTAGGACAGCTTTCAGGTCTATGGAGAGAAAGGAAATATCTTCAAATAAAAACTAGACGGAAGCATTCTCATAAACTTGTTTGTGATGTGTGAACTCTGCTAACAGAGGTGGATCTTTCTTTTGATAGAGCAGTTCTGAAAAACACTTTTTGTTGAATCTGCAAGTGGACATTTGGATAGATTTGAAGATTTCGTTGGAAACGGGAATATCTTCATATCAAATCTAGACAGAAGCATTCTCAGAAACGTCTTTGTGATATTTGCATTCAACTCATAGAGTTGAACATTCCCTTTCAGAGAGCAGCTTTGAAGCACTCTTTTTGTAGTATGTGCAAGTGGATATTTGGATCGCTCTGAGGCCTAAGGTGAAAAAGCAAATATCTTCCCATAACCACTAGACAGAAACATTCTCAGAAACTTCTTTATGACGTATGTACTCAACTAGCAGAGAAGAACTTTCCTTTTGACAGAGCATTTTTGATACACTCTTTTTGTAGTATCTGCAAGTGAATATTTGGATAGCTGTGAAGATTTCGTTGGAAACAGGAATATCTTCATATGAAATCTAGACAGAAGCATTCTCAGAAACTGCTCTGTGATGTCTGCATTCAAGTCACAGAGTTGAACACTGCCTTTCCTAGAGCAGGTTTGAAACGCTCTTTTTGTAGTATATGGAAGTGGACGTTTCGGACGGTTTGAGGCCCATGGTGATAAAGGGAATATCTTCACCTACAAGCTAGAAAGAAGCATTCTGTGAAACTTGTTTGTGATGTGTGTACTCAACTAACAGACTTGAACCTTTCTTTTTACAGAGCAGTTTTGAAACACTCTTTTTGTAGAATCTGCGAGGGGATATTTGGATAGATTTCAGGATTTCGTTGGAAACGGGAATATCTTCATATAAAATCTCGACAGAAGCATTCTCAGAAACTTCTTTGTGATATGTGCATTCAAGTCACAGAGTTGAATATTCCCTTTCACAGAGTAGGTTTGAAACACTCTTTTTGTAGTATCTGGAAGTGGACATTCGGAGCGCCTTGACGCCTACGGTGAAAAGGGAAATATCTTCCCATAAAAACTAGACAGAAGCAATCTCAGAATCTTCTTTGGGATATATGCACGCAGCTAACAGAGTTGAACCTTTCTATTGACAGAGCAGTTTTGAAACATTCTTTCTGTGGAATCTGCAAGTGGATATTTGGATAGCTTGGAGGATTTCGTTGGAAACGGGATTACGTATAAAAAGTAGACAGCAGCATCCTCAGAAACTTCTTTGTGATATGTGCATTCAAGTCACAGAGTTGAACATTCCCTTTCATACAGCAGTTTTGAAACACTCTTTCTGTAGTATCTGGAAGTGAACTTTAAGAGAGCTTTCAGGTATATTGTGAGAAAGGATATATCTTCAAATAAAAGCTAGACAGAAGCATTCTCATAAACTTATTTGTGATGTGTGAACTCAGCTAACAGAGGTGGATCTTTCTTTTGATAGAGCAGTTCTGAAAAACACTTTTTGTTGAATCTGCAAGTGGACATTTGGATAGATTTGAAGATTTCGTTGGAAACGGGAATATCTTCATATCAAATCTAGACAGAAGCATTCTCAGAAACGTCTTTGTGATGTTTGCATTCAACTCATAGAGTTGAACATTCCCTTTCAGAGAGCAGCTTTGAAGCACTCTTTTTGTAGCATGTGCAAGTGGATATTTGGAGCCCTCTGAGGCCTACGGTGAAAAAGCAAATATCTTCCCATAACCACTAGACAGAAACATTCTCAGAAACTCCTTTATGACGTATGCACTCACCTAACAGAGAAGAACCTTCCTTTTGACAGAGCAGTTTTGATACACTCTTTTTGTAGAATCTGCAAGTGGATATTTGGATAGCTGTGAAGATTTCGTTGGAAACCGGAATATCTTCCTATAAAATCTAGACAGAAGGATTCTCAGAAACTGCTCTGTGATGTCTGCATTCAAGTCACAGAGTTGAAAATTGCCTTTCATAGAGCATGTTTGAAAGGCTCTTTTTGTAGTATATGGAAGTGGACGTTTCGGACGGTTTGAGGCCCATGGTGATAAAGGGAATATCTTCCCCTACAAGCTAGAAAGAAGCATTCTGTGAAACTTGTTTGTGATGTGTGTACTCAACTAACAGAGTTGAACCTTTCTTTTCACAGAGCAGTTTTGAAACACTCTTTTTGTAGAATCTACGAGGGGATATTTGGATAGATTTCAGCATTTCGTTGGAAACGGGAATATCTTCATATAAAATCTCGACAGAAGCATTCTCAGAAACTTCTTTGTGATATGTGCATTCAAGTCACAGAGTTGAATATTCCCTTTCACAGAGTAGGTTTGAAACACTCTTTTTGTAGTATCTGTAAGTGGACATTTGGAGCGCCTTGACACCTACGGTGAAAAGGGAAATATCTTCCCATAAAAACTAGACAGAAGCAATCTCAGAATCTTCTTTGGGATATATGCACGCAGCTAACAGAGTTGAACCTTTCTATTGACAGAGCAGTTTTGAAACAGTCTTTCTGTGGAATCTGCAAGTGCATATTTGGATAGCTTGGAGGATTTCGTTGGAAACGGGATTACGTATAAAAAGTAGACAGCAGCCTCCTCAGAAACTTCTTTGTGATGTGTGCATTCAAGTCACAGAGTTGAACATTCCCTTTCGTACAGCAGTTTTGAAACACTCTTTCTGTAGTATCTGGAAGTGAACATTAGGACAGCTTTCAGGTCTATGGTGAGAAAGGCAATATCTTCAAATAAAAACTAGACAGAAGCATTCTCATAAAATAGTTTGTGATATGTGAACTCAGCTAACAGACGTGGATCTTTCTTTTGATACAGCAGTTTTGAAAAACACTTTTTGTTGAATCTGCAAGTGGACATTTGGATAGATTTGAAGATTTCATTGGAAACGGGAATATCTTCATATCAAATCTAGATAGAAAGCATTCTCAGAAACGTCTTTGTGATGTTTGCATTCAACTCATAGAGTTGAACATTCCCTTTCAGAGAGCAGCTTTGAAGCACTCTTTTTGTAGTATGTGCAAGTGGATATTTGGAGCGCTCTGAGGCCTACGGTGAAAAAGCAAATATCTTCCCATAACCACTAGGCAGAACTTTCTCAGAAACTCCTTTATGACGTATGTACTCACCTAACAGAGAAGAACCTTCCTTTTGACAGAGCAGTTTTGATACACTCTTTTTGTAGAATCTGCAAGTGGATATTTGGATACCTGTGAAGATTTCGTTGGAAACGGGAATATCTTCCTATAAAATCTAGACAGAAGCATTCTCAGAAACTGCTCTGTGATGTCTGCATTCAAGTCACAGAGTTGAACATTGCCTTTCATAGAGCAGGTTTGAAACACTCTTTTTGTAGTATATGGAAGTGGACGTTTCGGACGGTTTGAGGCCCATGGTGATGAAGGGAATATCTTCCCCTACAAGCTAGAAAGAAGCATTCTGTGAAACTTGTTTGTGATGTGTGTACTCAACTAACAGAGTTGAACCTTTCTTTTTACAGAGCAGTTTTGAAACACTCTTTTTGTAGAATCTGCGAGGGGATATTTGGATAGATTTCAGGATTTCGTAGGAAACGGGAATATCTTCATAGAAAATCTCGACAGAAGCATTCTCAGAAAGTACTTTGTGATATCTGCATTCAAGTCACAGAGTTGAATATTCCCTTTCACAGAGTAGGTTTGAAACACTCTTTTTGTAGTATCTGGAAGTGGTCATTTGGAGCGCCTTGACGTCTACGGTGAAAAGGGAAATATCTTCCCATAAAAACTAGACAGCAGCAATCTGAGAATCTTCTTTGGGATACATGCACGCAGCTAACAGAGTTGAACCTTTCTATTGACAGAGCAGTTTTGAAAAAGTCTTTCTGTGGAATCTGCAAGTGGATATTTGGATAGATTGGAGGATTTCGTTGGAAACGGGATTACGTATAAAAAGTAGACAGCAGCATCCTCAGAAACTTCTTTGTGATGTGTGCATTCAAGTCACAGGGTTGAACATTCCCTTTCGTACAGCAGTTTTGAAACACTCTTTCTGTAGTATCTGGAAGTGAACATTAGGACAGCTTTCAGGTCTATGGTGAGAAAGGAAATATCTTCAAATAAAAACTAGACAGAAGCATTCTCATAAACTTGTTTGTGATGTGTGAACTCAGCTAACAGAGGTGGATCTTTCTTTTGATAGAGCAGTTCTGAAAAACACTTTTTGTTGAATCTGCAAGTGGACATTTGGATAGATTTGAAGATTTCGTAGGAAACGGGAATATCTTCATATCAAATCTAGACAGAAGCATTCTCAGAAACGTCTTTGCGATGTTTGCATTCAACTCATAGAGTTGAACATTCCGTTTCAGAGAGCAGCTTTGAGGCACTCTTTTTGTAGTATGTGCAAGTGGATATTTGGAGCGCTCTGAGGCCTTCGGTGAAAAAGCAAATATCTTCCCATAACCACTAGACGGAAACATTCTCAGAAACTCCTTTATGACGTATGCACTCACCTAACAGAGAAGAACCTTCCTTTTGACAGAGCAGTTTTGATACACTCTTTTTGTAGAATCTGCAAGTGGATCTTTGGATAGCTGTGAAGATTTCGTTGGAAACGGGAATATCTTCCTATAAAATCTAGACAGAAGCATTCTCAGAAACTGCTCTGTTCTGTCTGCATTCAAGTCACAGAGTTGAACATTGCCTTTCATAGAGCAGGTTTGAAACGCTCTTTTTGTAGTATATGGAAGTGGACGTTTCGGACGGTTTGAGGCCCATGGTGATAAAGGGAATATCTTCCCCTACAAGCTAGAAAGAAGCATTCTGTGAAACTTGTTTGTGATGTGTGTACTCAACTAACAGAGTTGAACCTTTCTTTTTACAGAGCAGTTTTGAAACACTCTTTTTGTAGAATCTGCAAGGGGATATTTGAATAGATTTCAGGATTTCGTTGGAAAGGGGAATATCTTCATATAAAATCTCGACAGAAGCGTTCTCAGAAACTTCTTTGTGATATGTGCATTCAAGTCAAAGAGTTGAATATTCGTTTTAACAGAGTCGGTTTGAAACACTCTTTTTGTAGTATCTGGAAGTGGACATTTGGAGCGCCTTGACGCCTACGGTGAAAAGGGAAATATCTTCCAATAAAAACTAGACAGAAGCAATCTCAGAATCTTCTTTGGGATATATGCACGCAGCTAACAGAGTTGAACCTTTCTATTGACAGAGCAGTTTTGAAACAGTCTTTCTGTGGAATCTGCAAGTGGACATTTGGATAGCTTGGAGAATTTCGTTGGAAACGGGATTACGTATAAAAAGTAGACAGCAGCATCCTCAGAAACTTCTTTGTGATGTGTGCATTCAAGTCACAGAGTTGAACATTCCCTTTCGTACAGCAGTTTTGAAACACTCTTTCTGTAGTATCTGGAAGTGAACATTAAGACAGCATTCAGGTCTATGGTGAGAAAGGAAATATCTTCAAATAAAAACTAGACAGAAGCATTCTCAAGAACTTGTTTGTGATGTGTGAACTCAGCTAACAGAGGTGGATGTTTCTTTTGATAGAGCAGTTCTGAAAAACACGTTTTGTTGAATCTGCAAGTGGACATTTGGATAGATATGAAGATTTCGTTGGAAACGGGAATATCTTCATATCAAATCTAGACAGAAGCATTCTCGGAAACGTCTTTGTCACGTTTGCATTCAACTCATAGAGTTGAACATTCCGTTTCAGAGAGCAGCTTTGAAGCACTCTTTTTGTAGTATGTGCAAGGGGATATTTTGAGCGCTGTGAGGCCTACGGTGAAAAAGCAAATATCTTCCCATAACCACTAGACAGAAACATTCTCAGAAACTCCTTTATGACGTATGCACTCACCTAACAGAAAAGAACCTTCCTTCTGACAGAGCAGTTTTGATACACTCTTTTTGTAGAATCTGCAAGTGGATATTTGGATAGCTGTGAAGATTTCGTTGGAAACGGGAATATCTTCCTATAAAATCTAGACAGAAGCATTCTCTGAAACTGCTCTGGGATGTCTGCATTCAAGTCACGGAGTTGAACATTGCCTTTCCTAGAGCAGGTTTGAAACGCTCTTTTTGTAGTATATGGAAGTGGACGTTTCGGACTGTTTGAGGCCCATGGTGATAAAGGGAATATCTTCCCCTACAAGCTAGAAAGAAGCATTGTGTGAAACTTGTTTGTGATGTGTGTACTCAACTAACAGAGTTGAACCTTTCTTTTTACAGAGCAGTTTTGAAACACTCTTTTTGTAGAATCTGCAAGGGGATATTTGGATAGATTTCAGGATTTCATTGGAAACGGGAATATCTTCATATAAAATCTCGACAGAAGCATTCTCAGAAACTTCTTTGTGATATCTGCATTCAAGTCACAGAGTTGAATATTCCCTTTCACAGAGTAGGTTTCAAACACTCTTTTTATAGTATCTGGAAGTGGACATTTGGAGCGCCGTGACGCCTACGGTGAAAAGGGAAATATCTTCCCATAAAAACTAGACAGAAGCAATCTCAGAATCTTCTTTGGGATATATGCACGCAGCTAACAGAGTTGTACCTTTCTATTGACAGAGCACTTTTGAAACAGTCTTTCTGTGGAATCTGCAAGTGGATATTTGGATAGCTTGGAGGATTTCATTGGAAACGGGATTACATATAAAAAGTAGACAGCAGCATCCTCAGAAACTTCTTTGTGATGTGTGCATTCAAGTCACAGAGTTGAACATTCCCTTTCATACAGCAGTTTTGAAACACTCTTTCTGTAGTAACTGGAAGTGAACATTAGGACAGCTTTCAGGTCTATGGTGAGAAAGGAAATATCTTCAAATAAAAACTAGACAGAAGCATTCTCATAAACTTGTTCGTGATGTGTGAACTCAGCTAACACACGTGGATCTTTCTTTTGATAGAGCAGTTCTGAAAAACAGTTTTTGTTGAATCTGCAAGAGGACATTTGGATAGATTTGAAGATTTCGTTGGAAACGGGAATATCTTCATATCAAATCTAGACAGAAGCATTCCCAGAAACGTCTTTGTGATGTTTGCATTCAACTCATAGAGTTGAACATTCCGTTTCAGAGAGCATCTTTGAAGCACTCTTTTTGTAGTATGTGCAAGTGGATATTTGGAGCGCTCTGAGGCCTACGGGGAAAAAGCAAATATCTTCCCATAACCACTAGACTGAAACATTCCCAGAAACTCCTTTATGACGTATGCACTCACCTAACAGAAAAGAACCTTCCTTTTGACAGAGCAGTTTTGATACACTCTTTTTGTAGAATCTGCAAGTGGATATTTGGATAGCTGTGAAGATTTCGTTGGAAACGGGAATATCTTCCTATAAAATCTAGACAGAAGCATTCTCAGAAACTGCTCTGTGATGTCTGCATTCAAGTCACAGAGTTGAACGTTGCCTTTCATAGAGCAGGTTTGAAACGCTCTTTTTGTAGTATATGGAAGTGGACTTATCGGACGGTTTGAGGCCCATGGTGATAAAGGGAATATCTTCCCCTACAAGCTAGAAAGAAGCATTGTGTGAAACTTATTTGTGATGTGTGTACTCAACTAACAGAGTTGAACCTTTCTTTTTACAGAGCAGTTTTGAAACACTCTTTTTGTAGAATCTGCGAGGGGATATTTGGATAGATTTCAGCATTTCGTTGGAAACGGGAATATCTTCATATAAAATCTCGACAGAAGCATTCTCAGAAACTTCTTTATGATATCTGCATTCAAGTCACAGAGTTGAATATTCCCTTTCACAGAGTAGGTTTGAAACACTCTTTTTGTAGTATCTGGAAGTGGACATTTGGAGCGCCTTGACCCCTACGGAGAAAAGGGAAATATCTTCCCATAAAAACTAGACAGAAGCAATCTCAGAATCTTCTTTGGGATATATGCACGCAGCTAACAGAGTTGAACCTTTCTATT
The DNA here is from genome assembly GCF_000001405.40 of Homo sapiens. Classification (NCBI taxonomy): domain Eukaryota; kingdom Metazoa; phylum Chordata; class Mammalia; order Primates; family Hominidae; genus Homo; species Homo sapiens. Next base: position 11,702,823 of record NC_000021.9, read on the forward strand.
GACAGAGCAGTTTTGAAACAGCCTTTCTGTGGAATCTGCAAGTGGATATTTGGATAGCTTGGAGGATTTCGTTGGAAACGGGATTACGTATAAAAAGTAGACAGCAGCATCCTCAGAAACTCCTTTGTGATGTGTGCATTCAAGTCACATAGTTGAACATTCCCTTTCGTACAGCAGTTTTGAAACACTCTTTCTGTAGTATCTGGAAGTGAACATTAGGACAGCTTTCAGCTCTATGGTGAGAAAGGAAATATCTTCAAATAAAAACTAGACAGAAGCATTCTCATAAACTTGTTTGTGATGTGTGAACTCGGCTAACACAGGTGGATCTTTCTTTTGATTGAGCAGTTCTGAAAAACACGTTTTGTTGAATCTGCAAGTGGACATTTGGATAGATTTGAAGATTTCGTTGGAAACGGGAATATCTTCATATCAAATCTAGAGAGAAGCATTCTCAGAAACGTCTTTGTGATGTTTGCATTCAACTCATAGAGTTGAACATTCCCTTTCAGAGAGCAGCTCTGAAGCACTCTTTTTGTAGTATGTGCAAGGGGATATTTGGAGCGCTCTGAGGCCTACGGTGAAAAAGCAAATATCTTCCCATAACGACTAGACAGAAACATTCTCAGAAACTCCTTTACGACGTATGCACTCACCTAACAGAGAAGAACCTTCCTTTTGACAGAGCAGTTTTGATACACTCTTTTTGTAGAATCTGCAAGTGGATATTTGGATAGCTCTGAAGATTTCGTTGGAAACGGGAATATCTTCCTATAAAATCTAGACAGAAGCATTCTCAGAAACTGCTCTGTGATGTCTGCATTCAAGTCACAGAGTTGAACATTACCTTTCATAGAGCAGGTTTGAAACGCTCTTTTTGTAGTATATGGAAGTGGACGTTTCGGACGGTTTGAGGCCCATGGTGATAAAGGGAATATCTTCCCCTACAAGCTAGAAAGAAGCATTCTGTGAAACTTGTTTGTGATGTGTGTACTCAACTAACAGAGTTGAACCTTTCTTTTTACAGAGCAGTTTTGAAACACTCTTTTTGTAGAATCTGCGAGGTGATATTTGGATAGATTTCAGGATTTCGTTGTAAACGGGAATATCTTCATATAAAATCTCGACAGAAGCATTCTCAGAAACTTCTTTGTGATATGTGCATTCAAGTCACAGAGTTGAATATTCCCTTTCACAGAGTAGGTTTGAAACACTCTTTTTGTAGTATCTGGAAGTGGACATTTGGAGCGCCTTGACACCTACGGTGAAAAGGGAAATATCTTCCCACAAAAACTAGACAGAAGCATCCTCAGAAACATCCTTGTGATGTGTGCATTCAAGTCACAGAGTTGAACATTACCTTTCGTACAGCAGTTTTGAAACACTCTTTCTGTAGTATCTGGAAGTGAACTTTAGGACAGCTTTCAGGTCTATAGTGAGAAAGGATATATCTTCAAATAAAAACTAGACAGAAGCATTCTCATAAACTTCTTTGTGATGTGTGAACTCACCTAACAGAGGTGGATCTTTCTTTTGATAGAGCAGTTCTGAAAAACACTTTTTGTTGAATCTGCAAGTGGACATTTGGATAGATATGAAGATTTCGTTGGAAACGGGAATATCTTCATATCAAATCTAGACAGAAGCATTCTCAGAAACGTCTTTGTGATGTTTGCATTCAACTCATAGAGTTGAACATTCCCTTTCAGAGAGCAGCTTTGAAGCACTCTTTTTGTAGTATGTGCAAGTGGACATTTGGAGCGCTCTGAGGCCTAAGGTGAAAAAGCAAATATCTTCCCATAACCACTAGACAGAAACATTCTCAGAAACTTCTTTATGACGTATGTACTCAACTAGCAGAGAAGAACTTTCCTTTTGACAGAGCTTTTTTGATACACTCTTTTGTAGTATCTGCAAGTGGATATTTGGATAGCTGTAAAGATTTCGTTGGAATCGGGAATATCTTCCTATAAAGTCAGGACAGAAGCATTCTCAGAAACTGCTCTGTGATGTCTGCATTCAAGTCACAGAGTTGAACATTGCCTTTCATAGAGCAGGTTTCAAACACTCTTTTGTTAGTATATGGAAGTGGACGTTTCGGACGGTTTGAGGCCCATGGTGATAAAGGAAATTTCTTCCCCTACAAGCTAGAAAGAAGCATTCTGTGAAACTTGTTTGTGATGTGTGTACTCCACTAACAGAGTTGAACCTTTCTTTTTACAGAGCAGTTTTGAAACACTCTTTTTGTAGAATCTGCGAGGGGATATTTGGATAGATTTCAGGATTTCGTTGGAAACGGGAATATCTTCATATAAAATCTCGACAGAAGCATTCTCAGAAACTTCTTTGTGATATCTACATTCAAGTCACAGGGTTGAATATTCCCTTTCACAGAGTAGGTTTGAAACACTCTTTTTGTAGTATCTGGAATTGGACATTTGGAGCACCTTGACACCTACGGTGAAAAGGGAAATATCTTCCCATAAAAACTAGACAGAAGCAATCTCAGAATCTTCTTTGGGATATATGCACGCAGCTAACAGAGTTGAACCTTTCTATTGACAGCAGTTTTGAAACAGTCTTTCTGTGGAATCTGCAAGTGGATATTTGGATAGCTTGGAGGATTTCGTTGGAAACAGGATTACGTATAAAAAGTAGACAGCAGCATCCTCAGAAACTTCTTTGGGATGTGTGCATTCAAGTCACAGAGTTGAACATTCCCTTTCGTACAGCAGTTTTGAAACACTCTTTATGTAGTATCTGGAAGTGAACATTAGGACAGCTTTCAGGTCTATGGTGAGAAAGGAAATATCTTCAAATAAAAACTAGACAGAAGCATTCTCATAAACTTGTTTGTGATGTGTGAACTCAGCTAACAGAGGTGGATCTTTCTTTTGATAGAGCAGTTCTGAAAAACACTTTTTGTTGAATCTGCAAGTGGCCATTTGGATAGATTTGAAGATTTCGTTGGAAACGGGAATATCTTCATATCAAATCTAGACAGAAGCATTCTCAGAAACGACTTTGTGATGTTAGCATTCAACTCATAGAGTTGAACATTCCCTTTCAGAGAGCAGCTTTGAAGCACTCTTTTTGTAGTATGTGCAAGTGGACATTTGGAGCGCTTTGAGGCCTACAGGGAAAAAGCAAATATCTTCCCATAACCACTAGACAGGAACATTCTCAGATTACTCCTTTATGACGTATGTACTCAACTAACAGAGAAGAACCTTCCTTTTGACAGAGCAGTTTTGATACACTCTTTTTGTAGAATCTGCAAGTGGATATTTGGATAGCTGTGAAGATTTCTTTGGAAACGGGAATATCTTCCTATAAAATCTAGACAGAAGCATTCTCAGAAACTGCTCTGTGATGTCTGCATTCAAGTCACAGAGTTGAACATTGCCTTTCATAGAGCAGGTTTGAAACGCTCTTTTTGTAGTATATGGAAGTAGACGTTTCGGACGGTTTGAGGCCCATGGTGATAAAGGGAATATCTTGCCCTACAAGCTAGAAAGAAGCATTCTGTGAAACTTGTTTGTGATGTGTGTACTCAACTAACAGAGTTGAACCTTTCTTTTTACAGAGCAGTTTTGAAACACTGTTTTTGTAGAATCTGCGAGGGGATATTTGGAGAGACTTCAGGATTTCGTTGGAAACGGGAATATCTTCATATAAAATCTCGACAGAAGCATTCTCAGAAACTTCCTTGTGATATGTGCATTCAAGTCACAGAGTTGAATATTCCCTTTCACAGAGTAGGTTTGAAACACTCTTTTTGTAGTATCTGGAAGTGGACATTTGGAGCGCCTGGACGCCTACGGTGAAAAGGCAAATATCTTCCCATAAAAACTAGACAGAAGCATTCTGTGAAACTTGTTTGTGATGTGTGTACTCAAGTAACAGAGTTGAACCTTTCTATTGACAGAACAGTTTTGAAACAGTCTTTCTGTGGAATCTGCAAGTGGATATTTGGATAGCTTGGAGGATTTCGTTGGAAACGGGATTACGTATAAAAAGTAGACAGCAGCATCCTCAGAAACTTCCTTGTGATGTGTGCATTCAAGTCACAGAGTTGAACATTCCCTTTCGTACAGCAGTTTTGAAACACTCTTTCTGTAGTATCTGGAAGTGAACATTAGGACAGCTTTCAGGTCTATGGTGAGAAAGGAAATACCTTCAAATAAAAACTAGACAGAAGCATTCTCATAAACTTGTTTGTGATGTGTGAACTCAGCTAACAGACGTGGATCTTTCTTTTGATACAGCAGTTTTGAAAAACACTTTTTGTTGAATCTGCAAGTAGACATTTGGATAGATTTGAAGATTTCGTTGGAAACGGGAATATCTTCATATCAAATCTAGACAGAAGCATTCTCAGAAACGTCTTTGTGATGTTTGCATTCAACTCATAGAGTTGAACATTCCCTTTCAGAGAGCAGCTTTGAAGCACTCTTTTTGAAGCATGTGCAAGTGGACATTTGGAGCGCCCTGAGGCCTACGGGGAAAAAGCAAATATCTTCCCATAACCACTAGATAGAAACATTCTCAGAAACTGCTTTATGACGTATGCACTCACCTAACAGAGAAGAACCTTCCTTTTGACAGAGCAGTTTTGATACACTCTTTTTGTAGAATCTGCAAGTGGATATTTGGATAGCTGTGAAGATTTCTTTGGAAACGGGAATATCTTCCTATAAAATCTAGACAGAAGCATTCTCAGAAACTGCTCTGTGATGTCTGCATTCAAGTCACAGAGTTGAACATTGCCTTTCATAGAGCAGGTTTGAAACGCTCTTTTTGTAGTATATGGAAGTGGACTTATCGGACGGTTGGAGGCCCATGGTGCTAAAGGGAATATCTTCCCCTACAAGCTAGAAAGAAGCATTCTGTGAAACTTGTTTGTGATGTGTGTACTCAACTAACAGAGTTGAACCTTCCTTTTTACAGAGCAGTTTTGAAACACTCTTTTTGTAGAATCTGCGAGGGGATATTTGGATAGATTTCAGGATTTCGTTGGAAACGGGAATATCTTCATATAAAATCTCGACAGAAGCATTCTCAGAAACTTCTTTGTGATATGTGCATTCAAGTCACAGAGTTGAATATTCCCTTTCACAGAGTAGGTTTGAAACACACTTTTTGTAGTATCTGGAAGTGGACATTTGGAGCGCCTTTACACCTACGGTGAAAAGGGAAATATCTTCTCATAAAAAGTAGACAGAAGCAATCTCAGAATCTTCTTTGGGATATATGCACGCAGCTAACAGAGTTGAACCTTTCTATTGACAGAGCAGTTTTGAAACAGTCTTTCTGTGGAATCTGCAAGTGGATACTTGGATAGCTTGGAGGATTTCGTTGGAAACGGGATTACGTATAAAAAGTAGACAGCAGCATCCTCAGAAACATCCTTGTGATGTGTGCATTCAAGTCACAGAGTTGAACATTCCCTTTCGTACAGCAGTTTTGAAACACTCTTTCTGTAGTATCTGGAAGTGAATTTTAGGACAGCTTTCAGGTCTATAGTGAGAAAGGATATATCTTCAAATAAAAACTAGACGGAAGCATTCTGATAAACTTGTTTGTGAAGTGTGATCTCAGCTAACAGAGGTGGATCTTTCTTTTGATAGAGCAGTTCTGAAAAACACTTTGTTGAATCTGGAAGTGGACATTTGGATAGATTTGAAGATTTCGTTGGAAACGGGAATATCTTCATATCAAATCTAGACAGAAGCATTCTCAGAAACGTCTTTGTCATGTTTGCATTCAACTCATAGAGTTGAACATTCCCATTCAGAGAGCAGCTTTGAAACACTCTTTTTGTAGTATGTGCAAGTGGATATTTGGAGCGCTCTGAGGCCTACGGTGAAAAAGCAAATATCTTCCCATAACCACTAGACAGAAACATTCTCAGAAACTCCTTTATGACGTATGCACTCACCTAACAGAGAAGAACCTTCCATTTGACAGAGCAGTTTTGATACACTCTTTTTGTAGAATCTGCAAGTGGATATTTGGATAGCTGTGAAGATTTCGCTGGAAACGGGAATATCTTCCTGTAAAATCTAGACAGAAGCATTCTCAGAAACTGCTCTGTGATGTCTGCATACAAGTCACAGAGTTGAACATTGCCTTTCATAGAGCAGGTTTGAAACGCTCTTTTTGTAGTATATGTAAGTAGACGTTTCGGACGGTTTGAGGCCCATGGTGATAAAGGGAATATCTTCCCCTACAAGCTAGAAAGAAGCATTGTGTGAAACTTGTTTGTGATGTGTGTACTCAACTAACAGAGTTGAACGTTTGTTTTTACAGAGCAGTTTTGAAACACTCTTTTTGTAGAATCTGCGAGGGGATATTTGGATACATTTCAGGATTTCGTTGGAAACGGGAATATCTTCATATAAAATCTCGACAGAAGCATTCTCAGAAACTTCTTTGTGATATCTGCCTTTAAGTCACAGAGTTGAATATCCCCTTTCACAGAGTAGGTTTGAAACACTCTTTTTGTAGTATCTGGAAGTGGACATTTGGAGCGCCTTGACACCTACGGTGAAAAGGGAAATATCTTCCCATAAAAACTAGACAGAAGCAATCTCAGAATCTTCTTTGTGATATATGCACGCAGCTAACAGAGTTGAACATTTCTATTGACAGAGCAGCTTTGAAACACTCTTTTGTGGAATCTGCAAGTGGATATTTGGATAGCTTGGAGGATTTCGTTGGAAACGGGATTACGTATAAAAATTAGACAGCAGCATCCTCAGAAACTTCCTTGTGATGTGTGCATTCAAGTCACAGAGTTGAACATTACCTTTCGTACAGCATTTTTGAAACACTCTTTCTGTAGTATCTGGAAGTGAACTTTATGAGAGCTTTCAGGTCTATAGTGAGAAAGGATATATCTTCAAATAAAAACTAGACAGAAGAGTTCTGATAAACTTGTTTGCGAAGTGTGAACTCAGGTAACAGAGGTGGATCTTTCTTTTGATACAGCAGTTTTGAGAAACACTTTGTTGAATCTGCAAGTGGACATTTGGATAGATTTGAAGATTTCGTTGGAAACGGGTATATCTTCATATCAAATCTAGACAGAAGCATTCTCAGAAACGTCTTTGTGATGTTTGCATTCAACTCATAGAGTTGAACATTCCCTTTCAGAGAGCAGCTTTGAAGCACTCTTTTTGTAGTATGTGCAAGTTGATATTTGGAGCGCTCTGAGGCCTAAGGTGAAAAAGCAAATATCTTCCCATAACCACTAGACAGAAACATTCTCAGAAACTCCTTTATGACGTATGCACTCACCTAACAGAGAAGAACCTTCCTTTTGACTGAGCAGGTTTGATACACTCTTTTTGTAGAATCTGCAAGTGGATATTTGGATAGCTGTGAAGATTTCGTTGGAAACGGGAATATCTTCCTATAAAATCTAGACAGAAGCATTCTCAGAAACTGCTCTGTGATGTCTGCATTCAAGTCACAGAGTTGAACATTGCCTTTCATAGAGCAGGTTTGAAATGCTCTTTTTGTAGTATATGGAAGTGGATGTTTCGGACGGTTGGAGGCCCATGGTGATAAAGGGAATATCTTCCCCTACAAGCTAGAAAGAAGCATTGTGTGAAACTTGTTTGTGATGTGTGTACTCAACTAACAGAGTTGAACCTTTCTTTTTACAGAGCAGTTTTGAAACACTCTTTTTGTAGAATCTGCGAGGGGATATTTGGATAGATTTCAAGATTTCGTTGGAAACGGGAATATCTTCATATAAAATCTCGACAGATGCATTCTGAGAAACTTCTTTGTGATATGTGCATTCTAGTCACAGAGTTGAATATTCCCTTTCACAGAGTAGGTTTGAAACACTCTTTTTGTAGTATCTGGAAGTGGACATTTGGAGCGCCTTGACGCCTACGGTGAAAAGGGAAATATCTTCCCATAAAAACTAGACAGAAGCAATCTCAGAATCGTCGTTGGGATATATGCACGCAGCTAACAGAGTTGAACCTTTCTATAGACAGAGCAGTTTTGAAACAGTCTTTCTGTGGGATCTGCAAGTGGATATTTGGATAGCTTGGAGGATTTCGTTAAAAACGGGATTACGTATAAAAAGTAGACAGCAGCATCCTCAGAAACTTCTTTGTGATGTGTGCATTCAAGTCACAGAGTTGAACATTCCCTTTCGTACAGCAGTTTTGAAACACTCTTTCTGTAGTATCTGGAAGTGAACATTAGGACAGCTTTCAGCTCTATGGTGAGAAAGGAAATATCTTCAAACAAAAACTAGACAGAAGCATTCTCATAAACTTGTTTGTTATGTGTGAACTCAGCTAACAGAGGTGGATCTTTCTTTTGATAGAGCAGTTCTGAAAAACACGTTTTGTTGAATCTGCAAGTGGACATTTGGATAGATTTGAAGATGTCGTTGGAAACGGGAATATCTTCATATCAAATCTAGACAGAAGCATTCTCAGAAACGTCTTTGTGATGTTTCCATTCAACTCATAGAGTTGAACATTCCCTTTCAGAGAGCAGCTTTGAAGCACTCTTTTTGTAGTATGTGCAAGTGGATATTTGGAGCGCTCTGAGGCCTACGGTGAAAAAGCAAATATCTTCCCATAACCAGTAGACAGAAACATTCTCAGAAACTCCTTTATGACGTATGTACTCAACTAACAGAGAAAAACCTTCCTTTTGACAGAGCAGTTTTGATACACTCTTTTTGTAGAATCTGCAAGTGGATATTTGGATAGCTGTGAAGATTTCGTTGGAAACGGGAATATCTTCCTATAAAATCTAGACAGAAGCATTCTCAGAAACTGCTCTGTGATGTCTGCATTCAAGTCACAGAGTTGAACATTGCCTTTCATAGAGGAGGTTTCAAACACTCTTTTTGTAGTATATGGAAGTGGACGTTTCAGACGGTTTGAGGCCCATGGTGATAAAGGGAATATCTTCCCCTACAAGCTAGAAAGAAGCATTCTGTGAAACTTGTTTGTGATGTGTGTACTCAACTAACAGAGTTGAACCTTTCTTTTTACAGAGCAGTTTTGAAACACTCTTTTTGTAGAATCTGCGAGGGTATATTTGGATACATTTCAGGATTTCGTTGGAAACGGGAATATCTTCATATAAAATCTCGACAGAAGCATTCTCAGAAACTTCTTTGTGATATGTGCATTCAAGTCACAGAGTTGAATATTCCCTTTCACAGAGTAGGTTTGAAACACTCTTTTTGTAGTATCTGGAAGTGGATATTTGGAGCGCCTTGACGCCTACGGTGAAAAGGGAAATATCTTCCCATAAAAACTAGACAGAAGCAATCTCAGAATCTTCTTTGGGATATATGCACGCAGTTAACAGAGTTGAACCTTTCTATTGACAGAGCAGTTTTGAAACAGTCTTTCTGTGGAATCTGCAAGTGGATATTTGGATAGCTTGGAGGATTTCGTTGGAAACGGGATTACCGTATAGAAAGTAGACAGCAGCATCGTCAGAAACTTCTTTGTGATGTGTGCATTCAAGTCACAGAGTTGAACATTCCCTTTCGTACAGCAGTTTTGAAACACTCTTTCTGTAGTATCTGGAAGTGAACATTAGGACAGCTTTCAGCTCTATGGTGAGAAAGGAAATATCTTCAAATAAAAACTAGACAGAAGCATTCTCATAAACTTGTTTGTGATGTGTGAAATCAGCTAACAGACGTGGATCTTTCTTTTGATATAGCAGTTTTGAAAAACACTTTTTGTTGAATCTGCAAGTGGACATTTGGATAGATTTGAAGATTTCGTTGGAAACGGGAATATCTTCATATCAAATCTAGACAGAAGCATTCTCGGAAACGTCTTTGTGATGTTTGCATTCAACTCATAGAGTTGAACATTCCGTTTCAGAGAGCAGCTTTGAAGCACTCTTTTTGTAGTATGTGCAAGGGGATATTTGGAGCGCTCTGAGTCCTAAGGTGAAAAAGCAAATATCTTCCCATAACCAATAGACAGAAACATTCTCAGAAACCCCTTTATGACGTATGTACTCAAATAACAGAGAAGGACCGTCCTTTTGACAGAGCAGTTTTGATACACTCTTTTTGTAGAATCTGCAAGAGGATATTTGGATAGCTGTGAAGATTTCGTTGGAAACGGGAATACCTTCCTATAAAATCTAGACAGAAGCATTCTCAGAAACTGCTCTGTGATGTCTGCATTCAAGTCACAGAGTTGAACATTGCCTTTCCTAGAGCAGGTTTGAAACGCTCTTTTTGTAGTATATGGAAGTGGATGTTTCGGACGGTTGGAGGCCCATGGTGATAAAGGGAAAATCTTCCCCTACAAGCTAGAAAGAAGCATTCTGTGAAACTTGTTTGTGATGTGTGTACTCAACTAACACAGTTGAACCTTTCTTTTTACAGAGCAGTTTTGAAACACTCTTTTTGTAGAATCTGCGAGGGGATATTTGGATAGATTTCAGGATTTCGTTGGAAACGGGAATATCTTCATATAAAATCTCGACAGAAGCATTCTCAGAAACTTCTTTGTGATATCTGCATTCAAGTCACAGAGTTGAATATTCCCTTTCACAGAGTAGGTTTGAAACACTCTTTTTGTAGTATCTGGAAGTGGACATTTGGAGCGCCGTGACACCTACGGTGAAAAGGGAAATATCTTCCCATAAAAACTAGACAGAAGCAATCTCAGAATCTTCTTTGGGATATATGCACGCAGCTAACAGAGTTGAACCTTTCTATTGACAGAGCAGTTTAGAAACAGTCTTTCTGTGGAATCTGCAAGTGGATATTTGGATAGCTTGGAGGATTTCGTTGGAAACGGGATTACGTATAAAAAGTAGACAGCAGCATCCTCAGAAACTTCTTTGTGATGTGTGCATTCAAGTCACAGAGTTGAACATTCCCTTTCGTACAGCAGTTTTGAAACACTCTTTCTGTAGTATCTGGAAGTGAACATTAGGACAGCTTTCAGGTCTATGGGGAGAAAGGAAATATCTTCAAATAAAAACTAGACAGAAGCATTCTCATAAACTTCTTTGTGATGTGTGAACTCAGCTAACAGAGGTGGATCTTTCTTTTGATAGAGCAGTTCTGAATAACACTTTTTGTTGAATCTGCAAGTGGACATTTGGATAGATTTGAAGATTTCGTTGGAAACGGGAATATCTTCATATCAAATCTAGACAGAAGCATTCTCAGAAACGTCTTTGTGATGTTTGCATTCAACTCATAGAGTTGAACATTCCGTTTCAGAGAGCAGCTTTGAGGCACTCTTTTTCTAGTATGTGCAAGTGGATATTTGGAGCGCTCTGAGGCCTACGGTGAAAAAGCAAATATCTTCCCATAACCACTAGACCGAAACATTCTCAGAAACTCCTTTATGACGTATGCACTCACCTAACAGAGAAGAACCTTCCTTTTGACAGAGCAGTTTTGATACACTCTTTTTGTAGAATCTGCAAGTGGATACTTGGATAGCTGTGAAGATTTCGTTGGAAACGGGAATATCTTCCTATAAAATCTAGACAGAAGCATTCTCAGAAACTGCTATGTGATGTCTGCATTCAAGTCACAGAGTTGAACATTGCCTTTCCTAGAGCAGGTTTGAAACACTCTTTTTGTAGTATATGGAAGTGGACGTTTCGGACGGTTTGAGGCCCATGGTGATAAAGGGAATATCTTCCCCTACAAGCTAGAAAGAAGCATTCTGTGAAACTTGTTTGTGATGTGTGTACTCAACTAACAGAGTTGAACCTTTCTTTTTACAGAGCAGTTTTGAAACACTCTTTTTGTAGAATCTGCGAGGGGATATTTGTATAGATTTCAGGATTTCGTTGGAAACGGGAATATCTTCATATAAAATCTCGACAGAAGCATTCTCAGAAACTTCTTTGTGATATGTGCATTCAAGTCACAGAGTTGAATATTCCCTTTCACAGAGTAGGTTTGAAACACTCTTTTTGTAGTATCTGGAAGTGGACATTTGGGGCGCCTTGACGCCTATGGTGAAAAGGGAAATATCTTCCCATAAAAACTAGACAGAAGCAATCTCAGAATCTTCTTTGGGATATATGCACGCAGCTAACAGAGTTGAACCTTTCTATTGACAGAGCAGTTTTGAAACAGTCTTTCTGTGGAATCTGCAAGTGGATATTTGGATAGCTTGGAGGATTTCGTTGGAAACGGGATTACGTATAAAAAGTAGACTGCAGCATCCTCAGAAACTTCTTTGTGATGTGTGCATTCAAGTCACAGTGTTGAACATTCCCTTTCGTACAGCAGTTTTGAAACACTCTTTCTGTAGTATCTGGAAGTGAACATTAGGACAGCTTTCAGGTATATGGTGAGAAAGGAAATATCTTCAAATAAAAACTAGACAGAAGCATTCTCATAAACTTGTTCGTGATGCGTGAACTCAGCTAACACACGTGGATCTTTCTTTTGATAGAGCAGTTCTGAAAAACACTTTTTGTTGAATCTGCAAGAGGACATTTGGATAGATTTGAAGATTTCGTTGGAAACGGGAATATCTTCATATCAAATCTAGACAGAGGCATTCTCAGAAACGTCTTTGTGATGTTTGCATTCAACTCATAGAGTTGAACATTCCCTTTCAGAGAGCAGTTTTGAAGCACTCTTTTTGTAGTATGTGCAAGTGGATATTTGGAGCGCTCTGACGCCTACGGGGAAAAAGCAAATATCTTCCCATAACCACTAGACAGAAACATTCTCAGAAACTCCTTTATGACGTATGCACTCACCTAACAGAAGAAGAACCTTCCTTTTGACAGAGCAGTTTTGATACACTCTTTTTGTAGAATCTGCAAGAGGATATTTGGATAGCTGTGAAGATTTCGTTGGAAACGGGAATATCTTCCTATAAAATCTAGACAGAAGCATTCTCAGAAACTGCTCTGTGATGTCTGCATTCAAGTCACAGTGTTGAACGTTGCCTTTCATAGAGCAGGTTTCAAACACTCTTTTTTTAGTATATGGAAGTGGACGTTTCGGACGGTTTGAGGACCATGGTGATAAAGGAAATATCTTCCCCTACAAGCTAGAAAGAAGCATTGTGTGAAACTAGTTTGTGATGTGTGTACTCAACTAACAGAGTTGAACCTTTCTTTTTACAGAGCAGTTTTGAAACACTCTTTTTGTAGAATCTGCGAGGGGATATTTGGATACATTTCAGGATTTCGTTGGAAACGGGAATATCTTCATATAAAATGTCGACAGAAGCATTCTCAGAAACTTCTTTGTGATATCTGCCTTCAAGTCACAGAGGTGAATATTCCCTTTCACAGAGTAGGTTTGAAACACTCTTTTTGTAGTATCTGGAAGTGGACATTTGGAGCGCCTTGACGCCTACGGTGAAAAGGGAAATATCTTCCCATAAAAACTAGACAGAAGCAATCTCAGAATCTTCTTTGGGATATATGCACGCAGCTAACAGAGTTGAACCTTTCTATTGACAGAGCAGTTTTGTAACAGTTTTTCTGTGGAATCTGCAAGTGGATATTTGGATAGCTTGGAGGATTTCGTTGGAAACGGGTTTACGTATAAAAAGTAGACAGTAGCATCCACAGAAACTTCTTTGTGATGTGTGCATTCATGTCACAGTGTTGAACATTCCCTTTCGTACAGCAGTTTTGAAACACTCTTTCTGTAGTATCTCTAAGTGAACATTAGGACATCTTTCAGGTCTATGGTGAGAAAGGAAATATCTTCAAATAAAAACTAGACAGAAGCATACTCATAAACTTGTTTGTGATGTGTGCACTCAGCTAACAGAGGTGGATCTTTCTTTTGATAGAGCAGTTCTGAAAAACACTTTTTGTTGAATCTGCAAGTGGACATTTGGATAGATTTGAAGATTTCGTTGGAAACGGGAATATCTTCATATCAAATCTAGACAGAAGCATTCTCAGAAACGTCTTTGTGATGTTTGCATTCAACTCATGGAGTTGAACATTCGGTTTCAGAGAGCAGCTTTGAGGCACTCTTTTTGTAGTATGTGCAAGTGGATATTTGGAGCGCTCTGAGGCCTACGGTGAAAAAGCAAATATCTTCCCATAACCACTAGACAGAAACATTCTCAGAAACTCCTTTATGACGTATGCACTCACCTAACAGAAAAGAACCTTCCTTTTGACAGAGCAGTTTTGATACACTCTTTTTGAAGAATCTGCAAGTGGATATTTGGATAGCTGTGAAGATTTCGTTGGAAACGGGAATATCTTCCTATAAAATCTAGACAGAAGCATTCTCAGAAACTGCTCTGTGATGTCTGCATTCAAGTCACAGAGTTGAACATTGCTTTTCATAGAGCGGGTTTGAAACGCTCTTTTTGTAGTATATGGAAGTAGACGTTTCGGACGGTTTGAGGCCCATGGTGATAAAGGGAATATCTTCCCCTACAAGCTAGAAAGAAGCATTCTGTGAAACTTGTTTGTGATGTGTGTACTCAACTAACAGAGTTGAACCTTTCTTTTTACAGAGCAGTTTTGAAACACTCTTTTTGTAGAATCTGCGAGGGGATATTTGGATAGATTTCACGATTTCGTTGGAAACGGGAATATCTTCATATAAAATCTCGACAGAAGCATTGTCAGAAACTTCTTTGTGATATGTGCATTCAAGTCACAGAGTTGAATATTCCCTTTCACAGAGTAGGTTTGAAACACCCTTTTTGTAGTATCTGGAAGTGGACATTTGGAGCGCCTTGACACCTACGGTGAAAAGGGAAATATCTTCCCATAAAAACTAGACAGAAGCAATCTCAGAATCTTCTTTGGGATATATGCACGCAGCTAACAGAGTTGAACCTTTCTATTGACAGAGTAGTTTTGAAACAGTCTTTCTGTGGAATCTGCAAGTGGATATTTGGATAGCTTGGAGGATTTCGTTGGAAACGGGATTACGTATAAAAAGTAGACAGCAGCATCCTCAGAAACTTCTTTGTGATGTGTGCATTCAAGTCACAGAGTTGAACATTCCCTTTTGTACAGCAGTTTTCAAACACTCTTTCTGTAGTATCTGGAAGTGAACATTAGGACAGCTTTCAGCTCTATGGTGAGAAAGGAAATATCTTCAAATAAAAACTAGACAGAAGCATTCTCATAAACTTGTTTGTGATGTGTGAACTCAGCTAACAGAGGTGGATCTTTCTTTTGATAGAGCATTTCTGAAAAACACTTTTTGTTGAATCTGCAAGTGGACATTTGGATAGATTTGAAGATTTCGTTGGAAACGGGAATATCTTCATATCAAATCTAGACAGCAGCATTCTCAGAAACGTCTTTGTGATGTTTGCATTCAACTCATAGAGTTGAACATTCCCTTTCAGAGAGCAGCTTTGAAGCACTCTTTTTGTAGTATGTGCAAGTGGATATTTGGAGCGCTCTGAGGCCTACGGTGAAAAAGCAAATATCTTCCCATAACCACTAGGCAGAAACATTCTCAGAAACTCCTTTATGACGTATGCACTCACCTAACAGAGAAGAACCTTCCTTTTGACACAGCAGTTTTGATACACTCTTTTTGTAGAATCTGCAAGTGGATATTTGGATAGCTGTGAATATTTCGTTGGAAACGGGAATATCTTCCTATAAAATCTAGACAGAAGCATTCTCAGAAACTGCTCTGTGATGTCTGTATTCAAGTCACAGAGTTAAACATTGCCTTTCATAGAGCAGGTTTGAAACGCTCTTTTTGTAGTATATGGAAGTGGATGTTTCGGACGGTTGGAGGCCCATGGTGATAAAGGGAATATCTTCCCCTACAAGCTAGAAAGAAGCATTCTGTGAAACTTGTTTGTGATGTGTGTACTCAACTAACAGAGTTGAACCTTTCTTTTTACAGAGCAGTTTTGAAACACTCTTTTTGTAGAATCTGCGAGCGGATATTTGGATACATTTCAGCATTTCGTTGGAAACGGGAATATCTTCATATAAAATCTCGACA
Organism: Homo sapiens; assembly: GCF_000001405.40. Classification (NCBI taxonomy): domain Eukaryota; kingdom Metazoa; phylum Chordata; class Mammalia; order Primates; family Hominidae; genus Homo; species Homo sapiens. The sequence continues at coordinate 11,718,784 of NC_000021.9, forward strand.
GAAGCATTCTCAGAAACTTCTTTGTGATATGTGCATTCAAGTCACAGAGTTGAATATTCCCTTTCACACAGTAGGTTTGAAACACTCTTTTTGTAGTATCTGGAAGTGGACATTTGGAGCGCCTTGACGCCTACGGTGAAAAGGGAAATATCTTCCCATAAAAACTAGACAGAAGCAATCTCAGAATCTTCTTTGGGATATATGCACGCAGCTAACAGAGTTGAACCTTTCTATTGACAGAGCAGTTTTGAAACAGTCTTTCTGTGGAATCTGCAAGTGGATATTTGGATAGCTTGGAGGATTTCGTTGGAAAAGGGATTACGCATAAAAAGTAGACAGCAGCATCCTCCGAAACTTCTTTGTGATGTGTGCATTCAAGTCACAGAGTTGAACATTCCCTTTCGTACAGCCGTTTTGAAACACTCTTTCTGTAGTATCTGGAAGAGAACATTAGGACAGCTTTCAGCTCTATGGTGAGAAAGGAAATATCTTCAAATAAAAACTAGACAGAAGCATTCTCATAAACTTGTTTGTGAAGTGTGAACTCAGCTAACACAGGTGGATCTTTCTTTTGATACAGCAGTATTGAAAAACACTTTGTTGAATCTGCAAGTGGACATTTGGATAGATTTGAAGATTTCGTTGGAAACGGGAATATCTTCATATCAAATCTAGACAGAAGCATTCTCAGAAACGTCTTTGCGATGTTTGCATTCAACTCATAGAGTTGAACATTCCGTTTCAGAGAGCAGCTTTGAGGCACTCTTTTTGTAGTATGTGCAAGTGGATATTTGGAGCGCTCTGAGGCCTACGGTGAAAAAGCAAATATGTTCCCATAACCACTAGACAGAAACATTCTCAGAAACTCCTTTATGATGTATGCACTCACCTAACAGAGAAGAACCTTCCTTTTGACAGAGCAGTTTTGATACACTCTTTTTGTAGAATCTGCAAGTGGATATTTGGATAGCTGTGAAGGTTTCGTTGGAAACGGGAATATCTTCCTATAAAATCTAGACAGAAGCATTCTCAGAAACTGCTCTGTGATGTCTGCATTCAAGTCACAGAGTTGAACATTGCCTTTCATAGAGCAGGTTTGAAACGCTCTTTTTGTAGTACATGGAAGTAAACGTTTCGGACGGTTTGAGGCCCATGGTGATAAAGGGAATATCTTCCCCTACAAGCTAGAAGGAGCATTCTGTGAAACTTGTTTGTGATGTGTGTACTCAACTAACAGAGTTGAACCTTTCTTTTTACAGAGCAGTTTTGAAACACTCTTTTTGTAGAATCTGCGAGGGGATATTTGGATAGATTTCAGGATTTCGTTGGAAACTGGAATATCTTCATAGAAAATCTCGACAGAAGCATTCTCAGAAACTTCTTTGTGATATGTGCATTCAAGTCACAGAATTGAATATTCCCTTTCACAGAGTAGGTTTGAAACACTCTTTTTGTAGTATCCGGATGTGGACATTTGGAGCACCTTGACGCCTACGGTGAAAAGGGAAATATCTTCCCATAAAAACTAGACAGAAACAATCTCAGAATCTTCTTTGGGATATATGCACGCAGCTAACAGAGTTGAACCTTTCTATTGACAGAGCAGTTTTGAAACAGTCTTTCTGGGGAATCTGCAAGTGGATATTTGGATAGCTTGGAGGATTTCGTTGGAAACGGGATTACGTATAAAAAGTAGACAGCAGCATCCTCAGAAACTTCTTTGTGATGTGTGCATTCAAGTCACAGAGTTGAACATTCCCTTTCGTACAGCAGTTTTGAAACACTCTTTCTATAGTATCTGGAAGTGAACATTAGGACAGCTTTCAGCTCTATGGTGAGAAAGGAAATATCTTCAAATAAAAACTAGACAGAAAGCATTCTCATAAACTTGTTTGTGATGTGTGAACTCAGCTAACAGAGGTGGATCTTTCTTTTGATAGAGCAGTTCTGAAAAACACTTTTTGTTGAATCTGCAAGTGGACATTTCGATAGATTTGAAGATTTCGTTGGAAACGGGAATATCTTCATATCAAATCTAGACAGAAGCATTCTCAGAAACGTCTTTGTGATGTTTGCATTCAACTCATAGAGTTGAACATTCCGTTTCAGAGAGCAGCTTTGAGGCACTCTTTTTGTAGTATGTGCAAGTGGATATTTGGAGCGCTCTGAGGCCTACGGTGAAAAAGCAAGTATCTTCCCATAACCACTAGACAGAAACATTCTCAGAAACTCCTTTATGACGTATGCACTCACCTAACAGAGAAGAACCTTCCTTTTGACAGAGCAGTTTTGATACACTCTTTTTGTAAAATCTGCAAGTGGATATTTGGATAGCTGTGAAGATTTCGTTGGAAACGGGAATATCTTCCTATAAAATCTAGACAGAAGCATTCTCAGAAACTGCTCTGTGATGTCTGCATTCAAGTCACAGAGTTGAACATTGCCTTTCATAGAGCAGGTTTGAAACGCTCTTTTTGTAGTATATGGAAGTAGACGTTTCGGACGGTTTCAGGCCCATGGTGATAAAGGGAATATCTTCCCCTACAAGCTAGAAAGAAGCATTCTGTGAAACTTGTTTGTGATGTGTGTACTCAACTAACAGAGTTGAACCTTTCTTTTTACAGAGCAGTTTTGAAACACTCTTTTTGTAGAATCTGCGAGGGGATATTTGGATACATTTCAGCATTTCATTGGAAACGGGAATATCTTCATATAAAATCTCGACAGAAGCATTCTCAGAAACTTCTTTGTGATATGTGCATTCAAGTCACAGATTTGAATGTTCCCTTTCACAGAGAAGGTTTGAAACACTCTTTTTGTAGTATCTGGAAGTGGACATTTGGAGCGCCTTGACGCCTACGGTGAAAAGGGAAATATCTTCCCATAAAAACTAGACAGAAGCCATCTCAGAATCTTCTTTGGGATATATGTACGCAGCTAATAGAGTTGAACCTTTCTATTGACAGAGCAGTTTTGAAACAGTCTTTCTGTGGAATCTGCAAGTGGATATTTGGATAGCTTGGAGGATTTCGTTGGAAACGGGATTACGTATAAAAAGTAGACAGCAGCATCCTCTGAAACTTCTTTGTGATGTGTGCATTCAAGTCACAGAGTTGAACATTCCCTTTCGTACAGCAGTTTTGAAACACTCTTTCTGTAGTATCTGGAAGTGAACATTAGGACAGCTTTCAGGTCTATGGTGAGAAAGGAAATATCTTCAAATAAAAACTAGACAGAAGCATTCTCATAAACTTGTTTGTGATGTGTGAACTCAACTAACATAGGTGGATCTTTCTTTTCATACAGCAGTTTTGAAAAACACTTTTTGTTGAACCTGCATGTGGACATGTGGATAGATTTGAAGATTTCGTTGGAAACGGGAATATCTTCATGTAAAATCTAGACAGAAGCATTCTCAGAAACGTCTTTGTGATGTTTGCATTCAACTCATAGAGTTGAACATTCCCTTTCAGAGAGCAGCTTTGAAGCACTCTTTTTGTAGTATGTGCAAGTGGATATTTGGAGCGCTCTGAGGCCTACGGTGAAAAAGCAAATATCTTCCCATAACCACTACACAGAAACATTCTCAGAAACTCCTTTATGACGTATGCACTCACCTAACAGAGAAGAACCTTCCGTTTGACAGAGCAGTTTTGATACACTCTTTTTGTAGAATCTGCAAGTGGATATTTGGATAGCTGTGAAGATTTCGTTGGAAACGGGAATATCTTCCTATAAAATCTAGACAGAAGCATTCTCAGAAACTGCTCTGTGATGTCTGCATTCAAGTCACAGAGTTGAACATTGCCTTTCATAGAGCAGGTTTGAAACGCTCTTTTTATAGTATATGGAAGTGGACTTATCGGACGGTTTGAGGCCCATGGTGATAAAGGGAATATCTTCCCCTACAAGCTAGAAAGAAGCATTGTGTGAAACTTGTTTGTGATGTGTGTACTCAACTAACAGAGTTGAACCTTTCTTTTTACAGAGCAGTTTTGAAACACTCTTTTTGTAGAATCTGCGAGGGGATATTTGGATAGATTTCAGGATTTCGTTGGAACCGGGAATATCTTCATATAAAATCTCGACAGAAGCATTCTCAGAAACTTCTTTGTGATATCTGCATTCAAGTCACAGAGTTGAATATTCCCTTTCACCGAGTAGGTTAGAAACACTCTTTTTGTAGAATCTGGAAGTGGACATTTGGAGCGCCTTGACGCCTACGGTGAAAAGGGAAATATCTTCCCATTAAAACTAGACAGAAGCAATCTCAGAATCTTCTTTGGGATATATGCACGCAGCTAACAGAGTTGAACCTTTCTATTGACAGAGCAGTTTTGAAACAGTCTTTCTGTGGAATCTGCAAGTGGATATTTGGGATAGCTTGGAGGATTTCGTTGGAAACGGGATTACGTATAAAAAGTAGACAGCAGCATCCTCAGAAACTTCTTTGTGATGTCTGCATTCAAATCACAGAGTTGAACATTCCCTTTCGTACAGCAGTTTTGAAACACTCTTTCTGTAGTATCTGGAAGTGAACATTTGGACAGCTTTCAGGTCTATGGTGAGAAAGGAAATATCTTCAAATAAAAACTAGACAGAAGCATTCTCATAAACTTGTTTGTGATGTGTGAACTCAGCTAACAGACGTGGATCTTTCTTTTGATAGAGCAGTTTTGAAAAACACTTTTTGTTGAATCTGCAAGTGGACATTTGGATAGATATGAAGATTTCGTTGGAAACGGGAATATCTTCATATCAAATCTAGACAGAAGCATTCTCAGAAACGTCTTTGTGATGTTTGCATTCAACTCATAGAGTTGAAAATTCCGTTTCAGAGAGCAGCTTTGAAGCACTCTTTTTGTAGTATGTGCAAGTGGATATTTGGAGCGCTCTGAGGCCTACGGGGAAAAAGCAAATATCTTCCCATAACCACTAGACAGAAACATTCTCAGAAACTCCTTTATGACGTATGCACTCACCTAACAGGAGTAAGAACCTTCCTTTTGACAGAGCAGTTTTGATACACTCTTTTTGTAGAATCTGCAAGTGGATATTTGGATAGCTGTGAAGATTTCGTTGGAAACGGGAATATCTTCCTATAAAATCTATACAGAAGCATTCTCAGAAACTGCTTTGTGATGTCTGCATTCAAGTCACAGAGTTGAACATTGCCTTTCCTAGAGCAGGTTTGAAATGATCTTTTTTAGTATATGGAAGTGGACGTTTCAGACGGTTTGAGGCCCATGGTGTTAAAGGGAATATCTTCCCCTACAAGCTAGAAAGAAGCATTCTGTGAAACTTGTTTGTGATGTGTGTACTCAACTAACAGAGTTGAACCTTTCTTTTTACAGAGCAATTTTGAAACACTCTTTTTGTAGAATCTGCGAAGGGATATTTGGATAGATTTCAGGATTTCGTTGGAAACGGGAGTATCTTCATATAAAATCTCGACAGAAGCATTCTCAGAAACTTCTTTGTGATATCTGCATTCAAGTCACAGAGTTGAATATTCCCTTTCACAGAGTAGGTTTGAAACACTCTTTTTGTAGTATCTGGAAGTGGACATTTTGAGCGCCTTGACACCTACGGTAAAAAGGGAAATATCTTCCCATAAAAACTAGACAGAAGCAATCTCAGAATTTTCTTTGGGATATATCCACGCAGCTAACAGAGTTGAACCTTTCTATTGACAGAGCAGTTTTGAAACAGTCTTTCTGTGGAATCTGCAAGTGGATATTTGGATAGCTTGGAGGATTTCGTTGGAAACGGGATTACGTATAAAAAGTAGACAGCAGCATCCTCAGAATCTTCTTTGTGATGTGTGCATTCAAGTCACAGAGTTGAACATTCCCTTTCGTACAGCAGTTTTGAAACACTCTTTCTGTAGTATCTGGAAGTGAACATTAGGACAGCTTTCAGCTCTATGGTGAGAAAGGAAATATCTTCAAATAAAAACTAGACAGAAGCATTCTCATAAACTTGTTTGTGTTGTGTGAACTCAGCTAACAGAGGTGGATCTTTCTTTTGATAGAGCAGTTCTGAAAAACACTTTTTGTTGAATCTGCAAGTGGACATTTGGATAGATTTGAAGATTTCGTTGGAAACGGGAATATCTTCGTATCAAATCTAGACAGAAAGCATTCTCAGAAACGTCTTTGTGATGTTTGCATTCAACTCATAGAGTTGAACATTCCGTTTCAGAGAGCAGCTTTGAAGCACTCTTTTTGTAGTATGTGCAAGTGGATATTTGGAGCGCTCTGAGGCCTACGGTGAAAAAGCAAATATCTTCCCATAACCACTAGACAGAAACATTCTCAGAAACTCCTTTATGACGTATGCACTCACCTAACAGAGAAGAACCTTCCTTTTGACAGAGCAGTTTTGATACACTCTTTTTGTAGAATCTGCAAGTGGATATTTGGATAGCTGTGAAGATTTCGTTGGAAACGGGAACATCTTCCTATAAAATCTAGACAGAAGCATTCTCAGAAACTGCTCTGTGATGTCTGCATTCAAGTCACAGAGTTGAACATTGCCTTTCATAGAGCAGGTTTGAAACGCTCTTTTTGTAGTATATGGAAGTGGATGTTTCGGACGGTTTGAAGCCCATGGTGATAAAGGGAATATCTTCCCCTACAAGCTAGAAAGAAGCATTCTCATAAACTTGTTTGTGATGTGTGTACTCAACTAACAGAGTTGAACCTTTCTTTTTACAGAGCAGTTTTGAAACACTCTTTTTGTAGAATCTGCAAGGGGATATTTGGATACATTTCAGGATTTCGTTGGAAACGGGAATATCTTCATATAAAATCTCGACAGAAGCATTCTCAGAAACTTCTTTGTGATATGTGCATTCAAGTCACAGAGTTGAATATTCCCTTTCACAGAGTAGGTTTGAAACACTCTTTTTGTAGTATCTGGAAGTGGACATTTGGAGCGCCTTGACGCCTACGGTGAAAAGGGAAATATCTTCTCATAAAAATTAGACAGAAGCAATCTCAGAATCTTCTTTGGGATATATGCACGCAGTTAACAGAGTTGAACCTTTCTATTGACAGAGCAGTTTTGAAACAGTCTTTCTGTGGAATCTGCAAGTGGATATTTGGATAGCTTGGAGGATTTCGTTGGAAACGGGATTACGTATAGAAAGTAGACAGCAGCATCCTCAGAAACTTCTTTGTGATGTGTGCATTCAAGTCACAGAGTTGAACATTCCCTTTCGTACAGCAGTTTTGAAACACTCTTTCTGTAGTATCTGGAAGTGAACATTAGGACAGCTTTCAGGTCTATGGTGAGAAAGGAAATATCTTCAAATAAAAACTACACAGAAGCATTCTCATAAACTTGTTTGTGATGTGTGAACTCAGCTAACAGAGGCGGATCTTTCTGTTGATAGAGCAGTTCGGAAAAACACTTTTTGTTGAATCTGCAAGTGGACATTTGGATAGATTTGAAGATTTCGTTGGAAACGGGAATATCTTCATATCAAATCTAGACAGAAGCATTCTCAGAAACGTCTTTGTGATGTTTGCATTCAACTCATAGAGTTGAACATTCCGTTTCAGAGAGCAGCTTTGAGGCACTCTTTTTGTAGTATGTGCAAGTGGATATTTGGAGCGCTCTGAGGTCTACGGTGAAAAAGCAAATATCTTCCCATAACCACTAGACAGAAACATTCTCAGAAACTCCTTTATGACGTATGCACTCACCTAACAGAGAAGAACCTTCCTTTTGACAGAGCAGTTTTGATACACTCCTTTTGTAGAATCTGCAAGTGGATATTTGGATAGCTGTGAAGATTTCGTTGGAAACGGGAATATCTTCCTATAAAATCTAGACAGAAGCATTCTCAGAAACTGCTCTGTGATGTCTGCATTCAAGTCACAGAGTTGAACATTGTCTTTCATAGAGCAGGTTTGAAACGCTCTTTTTGTAGTATATGGAAGTGGATGTTTCGGACGGTTGGAGGCCCATGGTGATAAAGGGAATATCTTCCCCTACAAGCTAGAAAGAAGCATTCTGTGAAACTTGTTTGTGCTGTGTGTACTCAACTAACAGAGTTGAACCTTTCTTTTTACAGAGCAGTTTTGAAACACACTTTTTGTAGAATCTGCGAGGGGATATTTGGATAGATTTCAGGATTTCGTTGGAAACGGGAATATCTTCATATAAAATCTCGACAGAAGCATTCTCAGAAACTTCTTTGTGATATCTGCATTCAAGTCACAGAGTTGAATATTCCCTTTCACAGAGTAGGTTTGAAACACTCTTTTTGTAGTATCTGGAAGTGGACATTTGGAGCGCCTTGACACCTACGGTGAAAAGGGAAATATCTTCTCATAAAAACTAGACAGAAGCAATCTCAGAATCTTCTTTGTGATATATGCACGCAGCTAACAGAGTTGAACCTTTCTATTGACTGAGCAGATTTGAAACAGTCTTTCTGTGGAATCTGCAAGTGGATATTTGGATAGATTGGAGGATTTCGTTGGAAACGGGATTACGTATAAAAAGTACACAGCAGCATCCTCAGAAACATCTTTGTGATGTGTGCATTCAAGTCACAGAGTTGAACATTCCCTTTCGTACAGCAGTTTTGAAACACTCTTTCTGTAGTATCTGGAAGTGAACATTAGGACAGCTTTCAGGTCTATGGTGAGAAAGAAAATATCTTCAAATAAAAACTAGACAGAAGCATTCTCATAAACTTGTTTTGGATGTGTGAACTCAGCTAACAGAGGTGGATCTTTCTTTTGATAGAGCAGTTCTGAAAAACACTTTTTGTTGAATCTGCAAGTGGACATTTGGATAGATTTGAAGATTTCTTTGGAAACGGGAATATCTTCATATCAAGTCTAGACAGAAGCATTCTCAGAAACGTCTTTTTGATGTTTGCATTCAACTCATAGAGTTGAACATTCCCTTTCAGAGAGCAGCTCTGAAGCACTCTTTTTGTAGTATGTGCAAGGGGATATTTGGAGCGCTCTGAGGCCTACGGTGAAAAACCAAATATCTTCCCATAACGACTAGACAGAAACATTCTCAGAAACTCCTTTATGAAGTATGTACTCAACTAACAGAGAAGAACCTTCCTTTTGACAGAGCAGTTTTGATACACTCTTTTTGTAGAATCTGCAAGTGGATATTTGGATAGCTGTGAAGATTTCGTTGGAAACGGGAATATCTTCCTATAAAATCTAGACAGAAGCATTCTCAGAAACTGCTCTGTGATGTCTGCATTCAAGTCACAGAGTTGAACATTGCCTTTCATAGAGCAGGTTTCAAACACTCTTTTTTTAGTATATGGAAGTGGACCTTTCGGACGGTTTACGGCCCATGGTGATAAAGGAAATATCTTCCCCTACAAGCTAGAAAGAAGCATTCTGTGAAACTTGTTTGTGATGTGTGTACTCAACTAACAGAGTTGAACCTTTCTTTTTACAGAGCAGTTTTGAAACACTCTTTTTGTAGAATCTGCGAGGGGGTATTTAGATAGATTTCAGGATTCCGTTGGAAACGGGAATATCTTCATATAAAATCTCGACAGAAGCATTCTCAGAAACTTCATTGTGATATCTGCATTCAAGTCACAGAGTTGAATATTCCCTTTCACAGAGTAGGTTTGAAACACTCTTTTTGTAGTATCTGGAAGTGGACATTTGGAGCGCCTTGACGCCTACGGTGAAAAGGGAAATATCTTCCCATAAAAACTAGACAGAAGCAATCTCAGAATCTTCTTTGGGATATATGTACGCAGCTAATAGAGTTGAACCTTTCTATTGACAGAGCAGTTTTGAAACAGTCTTTCTGTGGAATCTGCAAGTGGATATTTGGATAGATTGGAGGATTTCGTTGGAAACGGGATTACGTATAAAAAGTAGACAGCAGCATCCTCAGAAACTTCTTTGTGATGTGTGCATTCAAGTCACAGAGTTGAACATTCCCTTTCGTACAGCAGTTTTGAAACACTCTTTCTGTAGTATCTGGAAGTGAACATTAGGACCGCTTTCAGGTCTATGGTGAGAAAGGAAATATCTTCAAATAAAAACTAGACAGAAGCATTCTGATATACTTGTTTGTGAAGTGTGATCTCAGCTAACAGAGGTGGATCTTTCTTTTGATAGAGCAGTTCTGAAAAACACTTTGTTGAATCTGCAAGTGGACATTTGGATAGATTTGAAGATTTCGTTGGAAACGGGAATATCTTCATATCAAATCTAGACAGAAGCATTCTCAGAAACGTCTTTGTGATGTTTGCATTCAACTCATAGAGTTGAACATTCCGTTTCAGAGAGCAGCTTTGAAGCACTCTTTTTGTAGTATGTGCAAGTGGATATTTGGAGCGTTCTGAGGCCTACGGGGAAAAAGCAAATATCTTCCCATAACCACTAGACAAAAACATTCTCAGAAACTCCTTTATGACGTTTGTACTCACCTAACAGAGAAGAACCTTCCTTTTGACAGAGCAGTTTTGATACACTCTTTTTGTAGAATCTGCAAGTGGATATTTGGATAGCTGTGAAGATTTCGTTGGAAACGGGAATATCTTCCTATAAAATCTAGACAGAAGCATTCTCAGAAACTGCTCTGTGATGTCTGCATTCAAGTCACAGAGTTGAACATTGCTTTTCATAGAGCAGGTTTGAAACGCTCTTTTTGTAGTATATGGAAGTAGAAGTTTCGGACGGTTTGAGGCCCATGGTGATAAAGGGAATATCTTCCCCTACAAGCTAGAAAGAAGCATTCTGTGAAACTTGTTTGTGATGTGTGTACTCAACTAACAGAGTTGAACCTTTCTTTTTACAGAGCAGTTTTGAAACACTCTTTCTGTAGAATCTGCGAGGGGATATTTGGATAGATTTCAGGATTTCGTTGGAAACGGGAATATCTTCATAGAAAATCTCGACAGAAGCATTCTCAGAAACTTCTTTCTGATATCTGCATTCAAGTCACAGAGTTGAATATTCCCTTTCACAGAGTAGGTTTGAAACACTCTTTTTGTAGTATCTGGAAGTGGACATTTGGAGCGCCTTGACACCTACGGTGAAAAGGGAAATATCTTCCCATAAAAACTAGACAGAAGCAATCTCAGAATCTTCTTTGGGATATATGCACGCAGCTAACAGAGTTGAACCTTTCTATTGACAGAGCAGTTTTGAAACAGTCTTTCTGTGGAATCTGCAAGTGGATATTTGGATAGCTTGGGGGATTTCTTTGGAAACGGGATTACGTATAAAAAGTAGATAGCAGCATCCTCAGAAACTTCTTTGTGATGTGTGCATTCAAGTCACAGAGTTGATCATTCCCTTTCGTACAGCAGTTTTGAAACACTCTTTCTGTAGTATCTGGAAGTGAACATTAGGACAGCTTTCAGGTCTATGGTGAGAAAGGAAATATCTTCAAATAAAAACTAGACAGAAGCATTCTCATAAACTTCTTTGTGATGTGTGAACTCAGCTAACAGAGGTGGATCTTTCTTTTGATAGAGCAGTTCTGAAAAACACTTTTTGTTGAATCTGCAAGTGGACATTTTGATAGATATGAAGATTTCGTTGGAAACGGGAATATCTTCATATCAAATCTAGACAGAAGCATTCTCGGAAACGTCGTTGTGATGTTTGCATTCAACTCATAGAGTTGAACATTCCGTTTCAGAGAGCAGCTTTGAGGCACTCTTTTTGTAGTATGTGCAAGTGGATATTTGGAGCGCTCTGAGGCCTTCGGTGAAAAAGCAAATATCTTCCCATAACCACTAGACAGAAACATTCTCAGAAACTCCTTTATGACGTATGCACTCACCTAACAGAGAAGAACCTTCCTTTTGACAGAGCAGTTTTGATACACTCTTTTTGTAGAATCTGCAAGTGGATATTTGGATAGCTGTGAAGATTTCGTTGGAAAAGGGAATATCTTCCTATAAAATCTAGACAGAAGCATTCTCAGAAACTGCTCTGTGATGTCTGCATTCAAGTCACAGAGTTGAAAATTACCTTTCATAGAGCAGGTTTGAAACGCTCTTTTTGTAGTATATGGAAGTGGATGTTTCGGACGGTTGGAGGCCCATGGTGATAAAGGGAATATCTTCCCCTACAAGCTAGAAAGTAGCATTCTGTGAAACTTGTTTGTGATGTGTGTACTCAACTAACAGCAGTTGAACCTTTCTTTTCACAGAGCAGTTTTGAAACACTCTTTTCGTAGAATCTGCGAGGGGATATTTGGATAGATTTCAGCATTTCGTTGGAAACGGGAATATCTTCATATAAAATCTCGACAGAAGCATTCTCAGAAACTTCTTTGTGATATGTGCATTCAAGTCACAGAGTTGAATATTCCCTTTCACAGAGTAGGTTTGAAACACTCTTTTTGTAGTATCTGGAAGTGGATATTTGGAGCGCCTTGACACCTACGGTGAAAAGGGAGATATCTTCCCATAAAAACTAGACAGAAGCAATCTCAGAATCTTCTTTGGGATATATGCACGCAGCTAACAGAGTTGAACCTTTCTATTGACCGAGCAGTTTTGAAACAGTCTTTCTGTGGAATCTGCAAGTGGATATTTGGATAGCTTGGAGGATTTCGTTGGAAACGGGATTAAGTATAAAAAGTAGACAGCAGCATTCTCAGAAACTTCGTTGTGATGTGTGCATTCATGTCACAGAGTTCAACATTCCCTTTCATACAGCAGGTTTCAAACACTCTTTCTGTAGTATCTAGAAGTGAACATTAGGAGAGCTTTCAGGTCTGCGGTGAGAAAGGAAATATCTAAAAATAAAAACTAGACAGGAAGCATTCTCATAATCTTGTTTGTGATGTCTGAACTCAGCTAACAGAGGTGGATCTTTCTTTTGATAGAGCAGTTCTGAAAAACACTTTTTGTTGAATCTGCAAGTGGACATTTGGATAGATTTGAAGATTTCGTTGGAAACGGGAATATCTTCATATCAAATCTAGACAGAAGCATTCTCAGAAACGTCTTTGTGATGTTTGCATTCAACTCATAGAGTTGAACATTCCCTTTCAGAGAGCAGCTTTGAAGCACTCTTTTTGTAGTATGTGCAAGTGGATATTTGGAGTGCTCTGAGGCCTACGGTGAAAAAGCAAATATCTTCCCATAACCACTAGACAGAAACATTCTCAGAAACTCCTTTATGACGTATGCACTCACCTAACAGAGAAGAACCTTCCTTTTGACAGAGCAGTTTTGATACACTCTTTTTGTAGAATCTGCAAGTGGATATTTTGATACCTGTGAATATTTCGTTGGAAACGGGAATATCTTCCTATAAAATCTAGACAGAAGCATTCTCAGAAACTGCTCTGTGATGTCTGCATTCAAGTCACAGAGTTGAAAATTGCCTTTCATAGAGCAGGTTTGAAACGCTCTTTTTGTAGTATATGGAAGTGGATGTTTCGGACGCTTGGAGGCCCATGGTGATAAAGGGAATATCTTCCCCTACAAGCTAGAAAGAAGCATTCCTGTGAAACTTGTTTGTGATGTGTGTACTCAACTAACAGAGTTGAACCTTTCTTTTTACAGAGCAGTTTTGAAACACTCTTTTTGTAGAATCTGCGAGGGGATATTTGGATACATTTCAGGATTTCGTTGGAAACGGGAATATCTTCATATAAAATCTCGACAGAAGCATTCTAAGAAACTTCTTTGTGATATCTGCATTCAAGTCACAGAGTTGAATATTCCCTTTCACAGAGTAGGTTTGAAACACTCTTTTTGTAGTATCTGGAAGTGGACATTTGGAGCGCCTTGACGCCTACGGTGAAAAGGGAAATATCTTCCCATAAAAACTAGACAGAAGCAATCTCAGAATCTTCTTTGGGATATATGCACGCAGCTAACAGAGTTGAACCTTTCTATTGACAGAGCAGTTTTGAAACAGTCTTTCTGTGGAATCTGCAAGTGGATATTTGGATAGCTTGGAGGATTTCTTTGGAAATGGGACTACGTGTAAAAAGTAGACAGCAGCATCCTCAGAAACTTCTTTGTGATGTGTGCATTCAAGCCACAGATTTGAACATTCCCTTTCGTACAGCAGTTTTGAAACACTCTTTCTGTAGTATCTGGAAGTGAACATTAGGACAGCTTTCAGGTCTATGGTGAGAAAGGAAATATCTTCAAATAAAAACTAGACAGAAGCATTCTCATAAACTTGTTTGTGATGTGTGAACTCAGCTAACAGAGGTGGATCTTTCTTTTGATAGAGCAGTTCTGAAAAACACGTTTTGTTGAATCTGCAAGTGGACATTTGGATAGATTTGAAGATTTCTTTGGAAAAGGGAATATCTTCATATCAAATCTAGACAGAAGCATTCTCAGAAACGTCTTTGTGATGTTTGCATTCACCTCATAGAGTTGAACATTCCGTTTCAGAGAGCAGCTTTGAAGCACTCTTTTTGTAGTATGTGCAAGTGGATATTTGGAGCGCTGTGAGGCCTACAGTGAAAAAGCAAATATCTTCCCATAACCACTAGACAGAAACATTCTCAGAAACTCCTTTATGACGTATGTACTCACCTAACAGAGAAGAACCTTCCTTTTGACAGAGCAGTTTTGATACACTCTTTTTGTAGAATCTGCAAGTGGATATTTGGATAGCTGTGAAGATTTCTTTGGAAACGGGAATATCTTCCTATAAAATCTAGACAGAAGCATTCTCAGAAACTGCTCTGTGATGTCTGCATTCAAGTCACAGAGTTGAACATTGCCTTTCATAGAGCAGGTTTGAAACGCTCTTTTTGTAGTATATGGAAGTGGACATATCGGACGGTTTGAGGCCCATGGTGATAAAGGGAATATCTTCCCCTACAAGCTAGAAAGAAGCATTCTGTGAAACTTGTTTGTGATGTGTGTACTCAACTAATAGAGTTGAACCTTTCTTTTTACAGAGCAGTTTTGAAACACTCTTTTTGTAGAATCTGCGAGGGGATATTTGGATAGATTTCAGGATTTCGTTGGAAACGGGAATATCTTCATTTAAAATCTCGACAGAAGCATTCTCAGAAGCTTCTTTGTGATATGTGCATTCAAGTCACAGAGTTGAATATTCCCTTTCACAGAGTAGGTTTGAAACACTCTTTTTGTATTATCTGGAAGTGGACATTTTGAGCACCTTGACGCCTACGGTGAAAAGGGAAATATCTTCTCATAAAAAGTAGACAGAAGCAATCTCAGAATCTTCTTTGGGATATATGTACGCAGCTAATAGAGTTGAACCTTTCTATTGACAGAGCAGTTTTGAAACAGTCTTTCTGGGGAATCTGCAAGTGGATATTTGGATAGCTTGGAGGATTTCGTTGGAAACGGGATTACGTATAAAAAGTAGACAGCAGCATCCTCAGAAACATCCTTGTGATGTGTGCATTCAAGTCACAGAGTTGAACATTCCCTTTCGTACAGCAGTTTTGAAACACTCTTTCTGTAGTATCTGGAAGTGAACTTTAGGACAGCTTTCAGGTCTATAGTGAGAAAGGATATATCTTCAAATAAAAACTAGATGGAAGAATTCTGATAAACTTGTTTGTGAAGTGTGAACTCAGCTAACAGAGGTGGATCTTTCTTTTGATACAGCAGTTTTGAAAAACACTTTGTTGAATCTGCAAGTGGACATTTGGATAGATTTGAAGATTTCGTTGGAAACAGGAATATCTTCATATCAAATCTAGACAGAAGCATTCTCAGAAACGTCTTTGTGATGTTTGCATTCAACTCATAGAGTTGAACATTCCGTTTCAGAGAGCAGCTTTGAAGCACTCTTTTTGTAGTATGTGCAAGTGGATATTTGGAGCGCTGTGATGCCTACGGTGAAAAAGCAAATATCTTCCCATAACCACTAGACAGAAACATTCTCAGAAACTCCTTTATGACGTATGCACTCACCTAACAGAAAAGAACCTTCCTTTTGACAGAGCAGTTTTGATACACTCTTTTTGTAGAATCTGCAAGTGGATATTTGGATAGTTGTGAAGATTTCGTTGGAAACAGGAATATCTTCCTATAAAATCTAGACAGAAGCATTCTCAGAAACTGCTCTGTGATGTCTGCATTCAAGTCACAGAGTTGAACATTGCCTTTCATAGAGCAGGTTTGAAATGCTCTTTTTGTAGTATATGGAAGTGGACGTTTCAGACGGTTTGAGGCCCATGGTTTTAAAGGGAATATCTTCCCCTACAAGCTAGAAAGAAGCATTCTGTGAAACTTGTTTGTGATGTGTGTACTCAACTAACAGAGTTCAACCTTTCTTTTTACAGAGCAGTTTTGAAACACTCTTTTTGTAGAATCTGCGAGGGGATATTTGGATACATTTCAGGATTTCGTTGGAAACGGGAATATCTTCATATAAAATCTCGACAGAAGCATTCTCAGAAGCTTCTTTGTGATATGTGCATTCAAGTCACAGAGTTGAATATTCCCTTTCACAGAGTAGGTTTGAGACACTCTTTTTGTAGTATCTGGAAGTGGACATTTGGAGCACCTTGACGCCTACGGTGAAAAGGGAAATATCTTCTCATAAAAAGTAGACAGAAGCAATCTCAGAATCTTCTTTGGGATATATGTACGCAGCTAACAGAGTTGAACCTTTCTATTGAGAGAGCAGTTTTGAAACAGTCTTTCTGTGGAATCTGCAAGTGGATATTTGGATAGCTTGGAGGATTTCGTTGGAAACGGGATTACGTATAAAAAGTAGACAGCAGCATCCTCAGAAACTTCTTTGTGATGTGTGCATTCAAGTCACAGAGTTGAACTTTCCCTTTCGTACAGCAGTTTTGAAACACTCTTTCTGTAGTATCTGGAAGTGAACATTAGGACAGCTTTCAGGTCTATGGTGAGAAAGGAAATATCTTCAAATAAAAACTAGACAGAAGCATTCTCATAAACTGGTTTGTGATGTGTGAACTCAGCTAACAGAGGTGGATCTTTCTTTTGATAGAGCAGTTCTGAAAAACACTTTTTGTTGAATCTACAAGTGGACATTTGGATAGATTTGAAGATTTCGTTGGAAACGGGAATATCTTCATATCAAATCTAGACAGAAGCATTCTCAGAAACGTCTTTGTCATGTTTGCATTCAACTCATAGAGTTGAATATTCCCTTTCAGAGAGCAGCTTTGAAGAACTCTTTTTGTAATATGTGCAAGTGGACATTTGGAGCGCTATGAGGCCTACGGGGAAAAAGCAAATATCTTCCCATAACCACTAGACAGAAATATTCTCAGAAACTCCTTTATGACGTATGCACTCAGCTAACAGAGAAGAACCTTCCTTTTGACAGAGCAGTTTTGATACACTCTTTTTGTAGAATCTGCAAGTGGATATTTGGATAGCTGTGAAGATTTCGTTGGAAACGGGAATATCTTCCTATAAAATCTAGACAGAAGCATTCTCAGAAACTGCTCTGTGATGTCTGCATTCAAGTCACAGAGTTGAACATTGCCTTTCCTAGAGCAGGTTTGAAACGCTCTTTTTGTAGTATATGGAAGTGGACGTTTCCGACGCTTTGAGGCCCATGGTGATAAAGGGAATATCTTCCCCTACAAGCTAGAAAGAAGCATTCTGTGAAACTTGTTTGTGATGTGTGTACTCAATTAACAGAGTTGAACCTTTCTTTTTACAGAGCAGTTTTGAAACACTCTTTTTGTAGAATCTGCGAGGGGATATTTGGATACATTTCAGGATTTCGTTGGAAACGGGAATATCTTCATATAAAATCTCGACAGAAGCATTCTCAGAAGCTTCTTTGTGATATGTGCATTCAAGTCACAGAGTTGAATATTCCCTTTCACAGAGTAGGTTTGAAACACTCTTTTTGTAGTATCTGGAAGTGGACATTTGGAGCACCTTGACGCCTACGGTGAAAAGGGAAATATCTTCTCATAAAAAGTAGACAGAAGCAATCTCAGAATCTTCTTTGGGATATATGTACGCAGCTAACAGAGTTGAACCTTTCTATTGACAGAGTAGTTTTGAAACAGTCTTTCTGTGGAATCTGCAAGTGGATATTTGGATAGCTTGGAGGATTTCGTTGGAAACGGGATTACGTATAAAAAGTAGACAGCAGCATCCTCAGAAACTTCTTTGTGATGTGTGCATTCATGTCACAGTGTTGAACATTCCCTTTCGTACAGCCGTTTTGAAACACTCTTTCTGTAGTATCTCTAAGTGAATATTAGGACATCTTTCAGGTCTATGGTGAGAAAGGAAATATCTTCAAATAAAAACTAGACAGAAGCATTCTCATAAACTTGTTTGTGATGTGTGAACTCAGCTAACAGAGGTCTATCTTTCTTTTGATAGAGCAGTTCTGAAAAACACTTTTTGTTGAATCTGCAAGTGGACATTTGGATAGATTTGAAGATTTCGTTGGAAACGGGAATATCTTTATATCAAATCTAGACAGAAGCATTGTCAGAAACGTCTTTGTGATGTTTGCATTCAACTCATAGAGTTGAACATTCCCTTCCAGAGAGTAGCTTTGAAGCACTCTTTTTGTAGCATGTGCAAGTGGACATTTGGAGCGCCCTGAGGCCTACGGGGAAAAAGCAAATATCTTCCCATAACCACTAGACAGAACATTCTCAGAAACTCCTTTATGACGTATGCACTCACCTAACAGAGAAGAACCTTCCTTTTGACAGAGCAGTTTTGATACACTCTTTTTGTAGAATCTGCAAGTGGATATTTGGATACCTGTGAAGATTTCGTTGGAAACGGGAATATCTTCCTATAAAATCTAGACAGAAGCATTCTCAGAAACTGCTCTGTGATGTCTGCATTCAAGTCACAGAGTTGAACATTGCCTTTCATAGAGCAGGTTTGAAACGCTCTTTTTGTAGTATATGGAAGTGGACTTATCGGACGGTTTAAGGCCCATGGTGATAAAGGGAATATCTTCCCCTACAAGCTAGAAAGAAGCATTCTGTGAAACTTGTTTGTGATGTGTGTACTCAACTAACAGAGTTGAACCTTTCTTTTTACAGAGCAGTTTTGAAACACTCTTTTTGTAGAATCTGCGAGGGGATATTTGGATAGATTTCAGGAATTTCGTTGGAAACGGGAATATCTTCATATATAAATCTCGACAGAAGCATTCTCAGAAACTTCTTTGTGATATGTGCATTCACGTCACAGAGTTGAATATTCCCTTTCACAGAGTAGGTTTGAAACACTCTTTTTGTAGTATCTGGAAGTGGACATTTGGAGCGCCTTGACGCCTACGGTGAAAAGGGAAATATCTTCCCATAAAAACTAGACAGAAGCAATCTCAGAATCTTCTTTGGGATATATGCACGCAGCTAACAGAGTTGAATCTTTCTATTGAGAGAGCAGATTTGAAACAGTCTTTCTGTGGAATCTGCAAGTGGATATTTGGATAGATTGGAGGATTTCTTTGGAAATGGGATTACGTATAAAAAGTAGACAGCAGCATCCTCAGAAACTTCTTTGTGATGTGTGCATTCAAGTCACAGAGTTGAACATTCCCTTTCGTACAGCAGTTTTGAAACACTCTTTCTATAGTATCTGGAAGTGAACATTAGGACAGCTTTCAGGTCTATGGTGAGAAAGGAAATATCTTCAAATAAAAATTAGACAGAAGAATTCTGATAAACTTGTTTGTGAAGTGTGAACTCAGCTAACACAGGTGGATCTTTCTTTTGATACAGCAGTTTTGAAAAACACTTTGGTGAATCTGCAAGTGGACATTTGGATAGATTTGAAGATTTCGTTGGAAACGGGTATATCTTCATAACAAATCTAGACAGAAGCATTCTCAGAAAACGTCTTTGTGATGTTTGCATTCAACTCATAGAGTTGAACATTCCGTTTCAGAGAGCAGCTTTGAGGCACACTTTTTGTAGTATGTGCAAGTGGATATTTGGAGCGCTCTGAGGCCTACGGTGAAAAAGCAAATATCTTCCCATAACCACTAGACAGAAACATTCCCAGAAACTCCTTTATGACGTATGCACTCACCTAACAGAGAAGAACCTTCCTTTTGACAGAGCAGTTTTGATACACTCTTTTTGTAGAATCTGCAAGTGGATATTTGGATAGCTGTGAAGGTTTCGTTGGAAACGGGAATATCTTCCTATAAAATCTAGACAGAAGCATTCTCAGAAACTGCTCTGTGATGTCTGCATTCAAGTCACAGAGTTGAACATTGCCTTTCATAGAGCAGGTTTGAAATGCTCTTTTTGTAGTATATGGAAGTGGACGTTTCGGACGGTTTGAGGCCCATGGTGATAAAGGGAATATCTTCCCCTACAAGCTAGAAAGAAGCATTCTGTGAAACTTGTTTGTGATGTGTGTACTCAACTAACAGAGTTGAACCTTTCTTTTTACAGAGCAGTTTTGAAACACTCTTTTTGTAGAATCTGCGAGGGGATATTTGGATAGATTTGAGGATTTCGTTGGAAACGGGAATATCTTCATAGAAAATCTCGACAGAAACATTCTCAGAAACCTCTTTGTGATATCTGCATTCAAGTCACAGAGTTGAATATTCCCTTTGACAGAGTAGGTTTGAAACACTCCTTTTGTAGTATCTGGAAGTGGACATTTGGAGCACCTTGACGCCTACGGTGAAAAGGGAAATATCTTCCCATAAAAACTAGACAGAAGCAATCTCAGAATCTTCTTTGGGATATATGCACGCAGCTAACAGAGTTGAACCTTTCTATTGACAGAGCAGTTTTGAAACAGTCTTTCTGTGGAATCTGCAAGTGGACATTTGGACAGCTTGGAGGATTTCGTTGGAAACGGGATTACGTATAAAAAGTAGACAGCAGCATCCTCAGAAACTTCTTTGTGATGTGTGCATTCAAGTCACAGAGTTGAACATTCCCTTTCGTACAGCAGTTTTGAAACACTCTTTCTATAGTATCTGGAAGTGAACATTAGGACAGCTTTCAGGTCTATGGTGAGAAAGGAAATATCTTCAAATAAAAACTAGACAGAAGCATTCTCATAAACTTGTTTGTGATGTGTGAACTCAGCTAACAGACGTGGATCTTTCTTTTGATACAGCAGTTTTGAAAAACACTTTTTGTTGAATCTGCAAGTGGACATTTGGATAGATTTGAAGATTTCGTTGGAAACGGGAATATCTTCCTATAAAATCTAGACAGAAGCATTCTCAGAAACGTCTTTGTGATGTTTGCATTCAACTCATGGAGTTGAACATTCCGTTTCAGAGACCAGCTTTGAAGCACTCTTTTTGTAGTATGTGCAAGTGGATATTTGGAGCGCTCTGAGGCCTACGGTGAAAAAGCAAATATCTTCCCATAACCACTAGACAGAAACATTCTCAGAAACTCCTTTATGACGTATGTACTCAACTAACAGAGAAGAACCTTCCTTTTGACAGAGCAGTTTTGATACACTCTTTTTGTAGGATCTGCAAGTGGATATTTGGATAGCTGTGAAGATTTCGTTGGAAACGGGAATATCTTCCTATAAAATCTAGACAGAAGCATTCTCAGAAACCGCTCTGTGATGTCTGCATTCAAGTCACAGAGTTGAACATTGCCTTTCCTAGAGCAGGTTTGAAACGCTCTTTTTGTAGTATATGGAAGTGGACGTTTCGGACGGTTTGAGGCCCATGGTGATAAAGGGAATATCTTCCCCTACAAGCTAGAAAGAAGCATTCTGTGAAACTTGTTTGTGATGTGTGTACTCAACTAACAGCAGTTGAACCTTTCTTTTTACAGAGCAGTTTTGAAACACTCTTTTTGTAGAATCTGCGAGGGGATATTTGGATAGATTTCAGGATTTCGTTGGAAACGGGAATATCTTCATATAAAATCTCGACAGAAGCATTCTCAGAAACTTCTTTGTGATATGTGCATTCAAGTCACAGAGTTGAATATTCCCTTTCACAGAGTAGGTTTGAAACACTCTTTTTGTAGTATCTGGAAGTGGACATTTGGAGCGCCTTGACGCCGACGGTGAAAAGGGAAATATCTTCCCATAAAAACTAGACAGAAGCAATCTCAGAATCTTCTTTGGGATATATGCACGCAGCTAACAGAGTTGAACCTTTCTATTGACAGAGCAGTTTTGAAACAGTCTTTCTGTGGAATCTGCCAGTGGATATTTGGATAGCTTGGAGGATTTCGTTGGAAACGGGATTAAGTATAAAAAGTAGACAGCAGCATCCTCCGAAACTTCTTTGTGATGTGTGCATTCAAGTCACAGAGTTGAACATTCCCTTTCGTACAGCAGTTTTGAAACACTCTTTCTGTAGTATCTGGAAGTGAACATTAGGACAGCTTTCAGGTCTATGGTGAGAAAGGAAATATCTTCAAATAAAAACTAGACAGAAGCATTCTCATAAACTTGTTTGTGATGTGTGAACTCAGCTAACAGAGGTGGATCTTTCTTTTGATAGAGCAGTTCTGAAAAACACTTTTTGTTGAATCTGCAAGTGGACATTTGGATAGATTTGAAGATTTCGTTGGAAACGGGAATATCTTCATACCAAATCTAGACAGAAGCATTCTCAGAAACGTCTTTGTCATGTTTGCATTCAACTCATAGAGTTGAACATTCCCTTTCAGAGAGCAGCTTTGAAACACTCTTTTTGTAGTATGTGCAAGTGGATATTTGGAGCGCTCTGAGGCCTAAGGTGAAAAAGAAAATATCTTCCCATAACCACTAGACAGAAACATTCTCAGAAACTCCTTTATGACGTATGCACTCACCTAACAGAGAAGAACCTTCCTTTTGACAGAGCAGTTTTGATACACTCTTTTTGTAGAATCTGCAAGTGGATATTTGGATACCTGTGAAGATTTCGATGGAAACGGGAATATCTTCCTATAAAATCTAGACAGAAGCATTCTCAGAAACAGCTCTGTGAAGTCTGCATTCAACTCACAGAGTTGAACATTGCGTTTCATAGAGCAGGTTTGAAACGCTCTTTTTGTAGTATATGGAAGTGGACGTTTCGGACGGTTTGAGACCCATGGTGATAAAGGGAATATATTCCCCTACAAGCTAGAAAGAAGCATTCTGTGAAACTTGTTTGTGATGTGTGTACTCAACTAACAGAGTTGTACCTTTCTTTTCACAGAGCAGTTTTGAAACACTCTTTTTGTAGAATCTGCGAGGGGATATTTGGATAGATTTCAGGATTTCCTTGGAAACGGGAATATCTTCATATAAAATCTCGACAGAAGCATTCTCAGAAACTTCTTTGTGATATCTGCATTCAAGTCACAGAGTTGAATATTCCCTTTCACAGAGTAGGTTTGAAACACTCTTTTTGTAGTATCTGGAAGTGGACTTTTGGAGCACCTTGACACCTATGGTGAAAAGGGAAATATCTTCCGATAAAAACTAGACAGAAGCAATCTCAGAATCTTCTTTGGGATATATGCACGCAGCTAACAGAGTTGAACCTTTCTATTGACAGAGCAGTTTTGAAACAGTCTTTCTGTGGAATCTGCAAGTGGATATTTCGATGGCTTGGAGGATTTCGTTGGAAACGGGATTACGTATAAAAAGTAGACAGCAGCATCCTCAGAAACTTCTTTGTGATGTGTGCATTCAAGTCACAGAGTTGAGCATTCCCTTTCATACAGCAGTTTTGAAACACTCTTTCTGTAGTATCTGGAAGTGAACATTAGGACAGCTTTCAGCTCTATGGTGAGAAAGGAAATATCTTCAAATAAAAACTAGAGAGAAGCATTCTCATAAACTTGTTTGTGATGTGTGAACTCAGCTAACAGAGGTGGATCTTTCTTTGGATAGAGCAGTTCTGAAAAACACTTTTTGTTGAATCTGCAAGTGGACATTTGGATAGATTTGAAGATTTCGTTGGAAACGGGAATATCTTCATATCAAATCTAGACAGAAGCATTCTCAGAAACGTCTTTGTGATGTTTGCATTCAACCCATAGAGTTGAACATTCCGTTTCAGAGAGCAGCTTTGAAGCGCTCTTTTTGTAGTATGTGCAAGGGGATATTTTGAGCGCTCTGAGGCCTAAGGTGAAAAAGCAAGTATCTTCCCATAACCACTAGACAGAAACATTCTCAGAAACTCCTTTATGACGTATGCACTCACCTAACAGAGAAGAAACTTCCTTTTGACAGAGCAGTTTTGATACACTCTTTTTGTAGAATCTGCAAGTGGATATTTGGATAGCTGTGAAGATTTCATTGGAAACGGGAATATCTTCCTGTAAAATCTAGACAGAAGCATTCTCAGAAACTGCTCTGTGATGTCTGCATTCAAGTCACAGAGTTGAACATTGCCTTTCATAGAGCAGGTTTGAAACGCTCTTTTTGTAGTATATGGAAGTGGATGTTTCAGACGGTTTGAGGCCCATGGTGATAAAGGGAATATCTTCCCCTACAAGCTAGAAAGAAGCATTGTGTGAAACTTGTTTGTGATGTGTGTACTCAACTAACAGAGTTGAACCTTTCTTTTTACAGAGCAGTTTTGAAACACTCTTTTTGTAGAAACTGCGAGGGGATATTTGGATACATTTCAGGATTTCGTTGGAAACGGGAATATCTTCATATAAAATCTCGACAGAAGCATTCTCAGAAACTTCTTTGTGATATGTGCATTCAAGTCACAGAGTTGAATATTCCCTTTCACAGAGTAGGTTGGAAACACTCTTTTTGTAGTATCTGGAAGTGGACATTTGGAGCGCCTTGACACCTACGGTGAAAAGGGAAATATCTTCCCATAAAAACTAGACAGAAGCAATCTCAGAATCTTCTTTGGGATATATGCACGAAGCTAACAGAGTTGAACCTTTCTATTGACAGAGCAGTTTTGAAACAGTCTTTCTGTGGAATCTGCAAGTGGATATTTGGATAGCTTGGAGGATTTCGTTGGAAACGGGATTATGTATAAAAAGTAGACAGCAGCATCCTCAGAAACTTCTTTGTGATGTGTGCATTCAAGCCACAGATTTGAACATTCCCTTTCGTACAGCAGTTTTGAAACACTCTTTCTGTAGTATCTGGAAGTGAACATTAGGACAGCTTTCAGGTCCATGGTGAGAAAGGAAATATCTTCAAATAAAAACTAGACAGAAGCATTCTCATAAACTTGTTTGTGATGTGTGAACTCAGCTAACAGAGGTGGATCTTTCTTTTGATAGAGCAGCTCTGAAAAACACTTTTTGTTGAATCTGCAAGTGGACATTTGGATAGATTTGAAGATTTCGTTGGAAACGGGAATATCTTCATATCAAATCTAGACAGAAGCATTCTCAGAAACGTCTTTGTGATGTTTGCATTCAACCCATAGAGTTGAACATTCCGTTTCAGAGAGCAGCTTTGAAGCACTCTTTTTGTAGTATGTGCAAGGGGATATATGGAGCGCTCTGAGGCCTAAGGTGAAAAAGCAAATATCTTCCCATAACCACTAGACAGAAACATTCTCAGAAACTCCTTTATGACGTATGCACTCACCTAACAGAAAAGAACCTTCCTTTTGACAGAGCAGTTTTGATACACTCTTTTTCTGGAATCTGCAAGTGGATATTTGGATAGCTGTGAAGATTTCGTTGGAAACGGGAATATCTTCCTATAAAATCTAGACAGAAGCATTCTCAGAAACTGCTCTGTGATGTCTCCATTCAAGTCACAGAGTTGAACATTGCCTTTCATAGAGCAGGTTTGAAACGCTCTTTTTGTAGCATATGGAAGTGGATGTTTCGGACGGTTGGAGGCCCATGGTGATAAAGGGAATATCTTCCCCTACAAGCTAGAAAGAAGCATTCTGTGAAACTAGTTTGTGATGTGTGTACTCAACTAACAGAGTTGAACCTTTCTTTTTACAGAGCAGTTTTGAAACACTCTTTTTGTAGAATCTGCGAGGGGATATTTGGATAGATTTCAGGATTTCGTTGGAAACGGGAATATCTTCATATAAAATCTCGACAGAAGCATTCTCAGAAACTTCTTTGTGATATGTGCATTCAAGTCACAGAGTTGAATATTCCCTTTCACAGAGTAGGTTTGAAACACTCTTTTTGTAGTATCTGGAAGTGGACATTTGGAGCGCCCTGACGCCTACGGTGAAAAGGAAAATATCTTCTCATAAAAAGTAGACAGAAGCAATCTCAGAATCTTCTTTGGGATATATGCACGCAGCTAACAGAGTTGAACCTTTCTATTGACAGAGCAGTTTTGAAACAGTCTTTCTGTGGAATCTGCAAGTGGATATTTGGATAGCTTGGAGGATTTCGTTGGAAACGGGATTACGTATGAAAAGTAGACAGCAGCATCCTCAGAAACTTCTTTGTGAGGTGTGCATTCAAGTCACAGAGTTGAACATTCGCTTTCGTGCAGCAGTTTTGAAACACTCTTTCTGTAGTATCTGGAAGTGAACATTAGGACAGCTTTCAGGTCTATGGTGAGAAAGGAAATATCTTCAAATAAAAACTAGACAGAAGCATTCTCATAAACTTGTTTGTGATGTGTGAACTCAGCTAACAGAGGTGTATCTTTCCTTTGATAGAGCAGTTCTGAAAAACACGTTTTGTTGAATCTGCAAGTGGACATTTTGATAGATTTGAAGATTTCGTTGCAAACGGGAATATCTTCATATCAAATCTAGACAGAAGCATTCTCGGAAACGTCTTTGTGATGTTTGCATTCAACACATAGAGTTGAACATTCCGTTTCAGAGAGCAGCTTTGAAGCACTCTTTTTGTAGTATGTGCAAGTGGATATTTGGAGCACTCTGAGACCTAGGGTGAAAAAGCAAATATCTTCCCATAACCACTAGACAGAAACATTCTCAGAAACTCCTTTATGACGTATGTACTCAACTAAGAGAGAAGAACTTTCCTTTTGACAGAGCATTTTTGATACACTCTTTTTGTACTATCTGCAAGTGGATATTTGGATAGCTGTGAAGATTTCGTTGGAAACGGGAATATCTTCCTATAAAACCTAGACAGAAGCATTCTCAGAAACTGCTCTGTGATGTCTGCATTCAAGTCACAGAGTTGAACATTGCCTTTCCTAGAGCAGGTTTGAAACGCTCTTTTTGTAGTATATGGAAGTGGACGTTTCGGAGGGTTTGAGACCCATGGTGATAAAGGGAATATATTCCCCTACAAGCTAGAAAGAAGCATTCTGTGAAACTTGTTTGTGATGTGTGTACTCAACTAACAGAGTTGAACCTTTCTTTTTACAGAGCAGTTTTGAAACACTCTTTTTGTAGAATCTGCGAGGGGATATTTGGATAGATTTTAGGATTTCGTTGGAAACGGGAATATCTTCATATAAAATCTCGACAGGAAGCATTCTCAGAAACTTCTTTGTGATATGTGCATTCGAGTCACAGAGTTGAATATTCCCTTTCACAGAGTAGGTTTGAAACACTCTTTTTGTAGTATCTGGAAGTGGATATTTGGAGCGCCTTGACACCTACGGTGAAAAGGGAAATATCTTCCCATAAAAACTAGACAGAAGCAATCTCAGAATTTTCTTTGGGATATATGCACACAGCTAACAGAGTTGAACTTTTCTATTGACATACCAGTTTTGAAACAGTCTTTCTGTGGAATCTGCAAGTGGATATTTGGATAGCTTGGAGGATTTCGTTGGAAACGGGATTACGTATAAAAAGTAGACAGCAGCATCCTCAGAAACTTCTTTGTAATGTGTGCATTCAAGTCACAGAGTTGAACATTCCCTTTCGTACAGCAGTTTTGAAACACTCTTTCTGTAGTATCTGGAAGTGAACATTAGGACAGCTTTCAGCTCTATGGTGAGAAAGGAAATATCTTCAAATAAAAACTAGACAGAAGCATTCTCATAAACTTGTTTGTGATGTGTGAACTCAGCTAACAGAGGTGGATCTTTCTCTTGATAGAGGAGTTCTGAAAAACACTTTTTGTTGAATCTGCAAGTGGACATTTGGATAGATTTGAAGATTTCGTTGGAAACGGGAATATCTTCATAT